>NC_000003.12:55767575-56070606 GCF_000001405.40 Homo sapiens
TAGACCTCTAAGAAGCCCGCCTAATCAGACATGCCCAGGTAGATCAAGACTCAGCTTAAACTAGAGATGGCACAGAGACCCTCCTGCCAGCTCTGCTCTGTAGGTGATGTTCTCCGGGAGTACACTAAAGGGCATCAGGGATGAACAACAAATAACTGATGTGAATGAGTGATGTCTGATGTAGACATGAAAAATGAAGTGTTGGCCCTATGTTCAAGTTAAGCTATGAACGTTCTCGTTACTTATTCAACAAACATTTGGGGGTCTACTGAGTACCAAATGTAGGATGGTGATATGGTTTGGATTTGTGTCCCTGCCCAAATCTCATGTCAAACTGTACTCCCCAGTGTTGGAGGAGGGGCCTGGTGGGAGGCGATTGGATCATGGGGGCAGATTTCCCCTTTGCTGTTCTCATAATAGTGAGTTCTCACAAGATCTGGTTGTTTAAAAGTGTGTAGCACCTCCTTCTCCACTCTCTTCCTCCTTTTTCTGGCCATGTAAGATGTGCCTACTTCCCCTTCACCTTCTACTATGATTGTAAGTTTCCTGAGGTCTCCCCAGCCATGCTTCTGGTACAGCCTGCAAAACCATGAGCCAATTAAACCTCTTTTCTGTATAAATTACCTAGTTTTAGGTATTTGTTTATAGCAATGTGAGAATGGACTAATACAGATGGAAAGAAGAAAGAAGGCTGGTTTGCAAATCAGAACATCAATCCTGGAATAAAGCACTATCTGGGAATCCATAAGTCAGTGCCTTCACATCCATCGCTCATTCTTCCACTCAAGAACTACTTAATGATCACCAACTCTGTAATAGGCACTGTGCTTTGTGATGGGGATACAGTGGTGAACACAAAGGACTAGGTTTTGCCTTCCTGAAATTCAAAGTGTCATAAGAGAGAAGAACAATAAACAAGTAAAAAAATGAAACTTCAGATAAAGACAATCTAAAGGAATAAAGGGACAAAGAGTTACAGGGGAGAGGGTATACTTTAGCTAGGCCTTCCTGTGAAGGAGATGTTTGAACTGAGCCCTGAGGGATGGAGGACATGGGGCCAGCTAGGGGAAGATCACAAGGAAGTGCAGACCAGATGGGAGAACGCTAAGTGTAAACGCTGTGAGGCAAGTATGAGCTTAGAAGAAGCAAGCCAATGGGGCCGGAGCTTAGGAAGACAGAAGAAGGTGACATCAGATGGGTTTGGGGAGTAGGCAGCGGGCAGCAGCAGGTTACACACCCTAGTTGGGGGTTGGGTTTTACTTTAGTTTTATGTTTTAATATTATTTTTGCCTCTGAGCATGCAATAGAGGGAACAGACATGATCAAACTCATACCCTAAGATTATCCCTGTGGCCACTGTGTGGATAGATCTTAGGACGGGAGAAAAATCAGTACCACAGTGTCCTCATCTGTAAAATGAGACATTGGATTGCATGGGCTCTAAGGTCCCTTTGGCTCTGAAATTTTAACATCTATGATGAACTGGGATGAGTGTTAGGATCACAGTGAGCCTGTCTGCCTGGTTCACTGCTATCTCGCTTGGAGGCCTCCGAAGGCTCCAGCATACAAAGGTGGCTGGTAAATATATACCAAATGAATGACTCTGATTTTCATTTACCTAAGACTTGCCCTCTTAACATTAAAGAAGTCTGTCTTTTTAGACCTAAGTGGTTATCATCACTGCTGATGAGGTCAAGTCATTCAACATTTATTTGGGGGCAGTTTGGGAGCTGATAGTGAACCAGCCTGGATTAAGAGCTCTGGGGCACACCAGGTTCTTCTCCAGTAGTTTTACATTCTTCAGGGATGGCCTCTTTTCCCTCCTTGCTGAACCTATTTCTGAGCACATCTTAGGGGGAACATCACAGGGTCTCTGTCTGGGTTGGGCAGAAGGTAGAAAAGGTATATACAAGCAGAGGATGCAAAGGTTTGCAGGTTGAGAATGCAGGATATTGTCAGACGATGTTAGATAATGAATT
This sequence comes from Homo sapiens, assembly GCF_000001405.40. Taxonomy (NCBI): domain Eukaryota; kingdom Metazoa; phylum Chordata; class Mammalia; order Primates; family Hominidae; genus Homo; species Homo sapiens. The sequence continues at coordinate 55,769,555 of NC_000003.12, forward strand.
CTTCAGTTCTCAGGGGATAAAAATTATAAATATATTTGGTTGAACAATTAGAAATTTCTATCTTTTCAGATAAAAAAAGTTGAATATCAGCAATTTCATTGGGTTCAATCTAATGTATAGTAACCAATATACATTACATATTGGTTACTATATCTGAGTGCCATAAAAGACGGTATTCATCCACAAGCCACAGAGTGTCACACTTCATCTTAAGGAAATCTAAAAACACTTCACTCCAGGTTTTGGAAAATAACTCTGAAAACAGCTAAATAAAACTCTGGAAAGGCAAGTGAATGGAAGGAGGGGGATATGGCAGAAGGTTCTTGTGGCAGATCATGTTGTCATTCACAATTATTTGCTCCCTGCTTCCCTCTAATAGCAGCCAACATCCCCTCCCTTTGCCAGGTGATTTGCAGGCCTTCCTGTAGGAAAAGTACACTTCCTTGCCCCATCGTCAGGCTTGGCCATGTGATCTGCCTTGACGAATGGGATATAAGAGAAAGTAATGCGTGCAAACTGCAAGCAGACACTTTAAGAGCCATTGTATGCTTCTTCTAACTCTTTTTTCTCTGCCAGGAGAATGGCATATCCCAAACAGAGGCTGCTACCTCATCCTGGATCCTAGAGTGATGGTGACATGTAGAGCACAAGCACAGACCCCAGTGACCCATGGCTGACATGCAACCACTGAGCTGTAGGGGTCACTTGTTATCCTCCAAAGCCCACTAATATAGCTTATAAACTTGCAGCCTCCAGGCCACATCAGAACCATAGGAACATTGTGTTTGACTTGCATGGAATTTTAAAAATTTATTTTTTTAGTCGGTTGCCAAAATATTAAAAAATCCCAGTTTGAGGCTTTCTCTAACAATTGGAAGAATTGGTAACATCAGAGCTGTATTCCTGCATGACAGAAATCAACTGGAACAGAGGAGTGAGTGCCCCCTTCCCCCTTTGATGGGCAGATGCTCTCCAGCCCTCACTATTTCCTACCATCTTTCCAACTCTGAATCTAAGAGTTGGTTGCAATTTATCATCACTGTTAAACTGTTGGTTTTTAATTTTTTAATTTTTTTAAATTATACTTTAAGTTCTGGGATACATGTGCAGAATGTGCAGGTTTGTTACATAGGTACACATGTGCAGGTTTGTTACATAGGTACACATGTGCCATGGTGGTTTGCTGCACCCCTCAACTCGTTATCTATATTAGGTATTTCTCCTAATGCTCTCCCTCCCCTTGCCCCCCACCCCTGACAGGCCCCATTGTGTGATGTTCCCCTCCCTGTGTCCATGTGTTCTCATTGTTCAACTCCCACCTATGAGTGAGAACATGCGGTGTTTGGTTTTCTGTTCCTGTGTTAGTTTGCTGAGAATGATGGTTTCTAGCTTCATCCATGCCCCTGCCAAGGACATGAACTCATTGTTTTTTATGGCTGTATAGCATTCTATGGTGTATATGTGCCACATTTTCTTTATCCAGTCTATCATTGATGGGCATTTGGGTTGGTTCCAAGTCTTTGCTATTGTAAATAGTGCTGCAATAAACATACGTGTGTATGTGTCTTTATAGTAGAATGATTTCTAATCCTTTGGGTATATACCCAGTAATGGGATTGCTGGGTCAAATGGTATTTCTGGTTCTAGATCCTTGAGGAATCACCACACTGTCTTCCACAATGGTTGAACTCATTTACACTCCCACCAACTGTTGGTTTTTTAATACTTGATTCAATATAGATCATTCAGATTACAAATTATCCTGATTTACCTTAAAGATAAAATGGAGAATGACATTAGCAACATCGATTGTGCTAGGTACTAGGTACCTTATGTGCATTATCTCACTGAGTCTTCACGTCCACCCTGCTACCATTGCACAGAAGGGGAAACTGAGTCTGGGAGCCCAGAGTTAGACAAAAGTTAGTAAGAAGTAAAGCTAGGACTTGAACCCAGGTCTGTTTATCTCCAAATCCCATGCTCTTAACCTCTCTTGTGACTTGTTCGTGGTGGAAAAATTAGAAGATGAAAATAAGCAGAAATGCTGAGGCATAAACCCCACTAGGCTGGCTGACTGCAGGCACAAAGCATGAGCCTCCTAATCAAACTGGGCTTCCAATTAACACAATCTGTCAAAACAGCAGTAACTCTTGCTCCCATTGCACTGAGGCGAGATAATTAACCCTGCACACCTGATGAGACTGTGCCTTCTTCAGTACCCACTCTGCCCCACAGCAGGCCTGAGGAGGCAGGCTCTCCACCTGTAATGGGAAATAACCTTTGCACAGAGCACACAGGATGTCTGTAATTATGGGTTTTCTCAGAAATCTCAACTGTGTCTCACCTTTTGCTCCTATCCAGTTGTAACCTTCACAAACAACCACTCACTTGGAGGGGTGAAATATCCATCAGCGACCTGGGAGCAACTCATAAAGGATCTGGGCTCCAAGGCCTCACGTCTGTGGGCCTCTCCGCCCATCAGGACTGTTGTGAGTATTAAATAAGAAAATCCATGCCCAAAGGTTAGTATGGTACTCTAGGCATACAGTAAGGCATTAATACCTATTCTTAGAATTACCATTTATTTTATTAATTAATTTATTTTTGAGACAAAGTCTCACTCTGTCACCCAGGCTAGAGTGCAGTGGTGTGATCTTGGCTCACTGCAACTTCCGCCACCCAGGTTCAAGCAATTCTCCTGTCTCAGCCTCCCAAGTAGCTGGGACTGCAGGCATGCACCACCACGCCTGGCTACTTTTTGTATTCTTTTTTTTTTTTGAGACGGAGTCTCGCTCTGTAGCCCAGGCTGGAGTGCAGTGGCGCGATCTCGGCTCACTGCAAGCTCCGCCTCCCGGGTTCATGCCATTCTCCTGCCTCAGCCCCCTGAGTACCTGGGACTACAGGCACCCGCCACCACGCCTGGCTAAATTTTTTGTATTTTTTAGTAGAGACGGGGTTTCACCGCGTTAGCCAGGATGGTCTCGATCTCCTGACCTCGTGATCCGCCTGCCTCGGCCTTCCAAAGTGCTGGGATTACAGGCGTAAGCCACTGTGCCTGGCCTATTTTATTTTATGTTAATTTTTGAAAAAAGTATTTCAAGTTATCACCCATCCTTTCCCTCCCTAAGCTTTTATATTCATCAGCACTGAGCCCAGCATGCTGGAATTGTCAAATTTGCCAAGATGAAGAGGGTCCCTTGGGCCTGAAGCAACTCCTGCTGTAGTTACCCTGTCTTAGCTAAGGGTAATTCTATTCTTCCCATTTCTCAGACCCAAAACTTTAGTGTCAAGATTAATAGCACCACAACCTGCTCCCTGCCCCTGTACCCACATCCAATCCTTCAGCATTTCCTGTTGGCCCTACCTTCAAAATAGGTCCAAAGTGGACCATGACGCACCACCCCACTGCCAAGACCTGGTGGGGCTTGCCATCATCTCATGCCTGGATTATTGCAATGGCCTCCTAGCTGGTCTCCTGCTTCTTTTCTCAACACAGTAGCCAGGGATCCTGTTAAAATGTTACATTGGAGCAAGTGATTCCTCTGCTCAAAACCTTCCCAAAGGTCTCTGCATTTTTCTCAGAGCCAAGCCAAAGTCATCCCAATGGCTATCAGTCCCGTGTGACCTGGCTCCTAATTACTTGCCTAACGTTATTTCTACTCATCCTCCAACCATCACACAGGCTTCCTGGCTGGTCCCACCTTAGGGCCTTTGCACTGGCCATGCCCTCTGCCTGGAGCGCTCTTCCCTCTCGGACATGCACTTGGCTGGTTTCCTTACTCCTTCCAAACTTTGTTCAAATCTTGCCTTCTCTATGAGGTCTTTTCATAATTAAAAATTTGTGATCCCAACATTTCAGATTCCCTTTTCTGACTTCAAATCTTTCTCTTTAACACTTATCACTATCAAAATATCATATGCTAGGTTAAATCATACACAATTTCCTATTTTTAAACTTTTTGACCTATCCACATGCCAGTTTCATATGAGACAAGCTAATACTCATCTTGCCTGTCTTATTATTTCTCCCTTGTTGAGAATATCAGCTCTATGAGGCAGGAATGTTGGTTTCGTTCCCACCATCCGGAATGGTGCTGCGCACAAAGTAGGCCCCCAGTCAATGGTTATTCAATGAATATGGAATATGGCACAGTGCTTCCATTTCAATTTGTTTTTTAAAAAAAATCATTGCTGACAGGTGTTCCTGGGAAAGGCTATTTTGGTTAGAAGTATCCTCGCCTTCTTGCAAGTGCACAGAGAAAAACTGTAAGTATATTTTTTGGTTCACTGAACACCCAGGATATACTGAAAGGAACAGAGATTATAGAGGGAAAGAAGGCGGCTTTTGTGTATATACTTATCCAATTTGAGATTCTTGTCATTTTATTCTCTTCCTTCCCCAAATTTGGGTTGCTACCCCTGTCTGATGCCCAAAGTATTCTAACCAGAAGGCCCATAATCATAATCTTTTTGAAAAACATCCTTCTGGCTGCCCTGCTTAAGCTCAGAGCAGTAATTAACCCCACCGCCTTCTGAGACCTGGAGCACCCTCATTCAACACACACTTTTAATAGGATACATTCAGTCTCAGGCTAGACTGGGTAAAACATGGTCCTTACTGAAGGGAAAGAGGAGACAATGGGCCATAACCACATAGTTCTTAGTGGTCCAAGGACCACCTAACAGGGTTGGGAAGAAAGCTCATGGGATCTCAGGCAGTGAGGCATTATGTCAACATCGGTTCAACTAACAAGCTAAGATGGATTCTGCAGCCCAAGCTCAAGTCTGTGTGTGCATTTAGACACTGGGGAAATGAACTTCCCTGAGCTGTTGCCTGGAGCAGGATACAAAGCACTCAGGGACCCCCCGACTTCGTGGTCTCCCATCAATGTTATGATGCTGCAATCTTCCCCCTTTCCTTGGCTCTCCTGTTTCCCTGGTCTTGTTCTCTGGGTCCTGCTCTCTAGGTGTTCCAGTGGTTTCCCAAAGACCTGGTTTACAAAAGGAGGCATTTGTATTCATTCTGCAGGTTTGGCTTTGCAGAGCCAGGCCTTCAGAGGCTCGGATCTCCTTCAGAGCCTTGGCTGTCAGCCTGGGAGAACCCACCAGATTACCCACCAGGTAAACAGGATGGCCTGGCCCTTTTGGGTGACCCAGGCAGGCTTTCCTTAGCCTTGGCCAGCCAGGGGGAACATAATATGCCTTTCCAGTCAATTTCCTTTATTTTCCATTTAAAAAGAAAGTCCTTCATCAAAATAACAAACCATTAATATTACCTAATTACTAATATTTATTTTAACATGGTTAAGAGAATGGCACGTTTTACAAGTATTAGAGACATAAAACACAAGCCCAATTTGGTTCTTGCCTCATTAAACTTTAAATTGTTACAGTTCACTGCTTACAACAACACTGATTCTCACTCCCAGGTCTAACTAAAGAACAAATTTTAATTCAATGGACATTTTAGGAGAGACAACAGCCTTGTGGGAGTCTTTCCACAGCAGAAGCAGGAGCCCAGCTAGCATCAAATGTCCCCACACATGTCCTCCTGCCTTTAATCTCCTTAATCAGCTTTCCAACTACCCAACTTCAGGGGAAAGGCCTTCTTTGTCTTCAATTTTCTGTTTCCTTTTTCCTTGCTTGCTTGATGATGATAAAGACATGAGAGACAGAAAAAGAAAGAGAGAGTGGGGGTCGGGTGTGGTAGCTCACACCTGTAATCCCAGCATTTTGTAAGGCCTAGGCGGAAGGATCACTTGAGGTCAGGAGTTTGAGGCCAGCCTGATCAACATGGTAAAACCTTGTCTCTACTAAAACTACAAAAATTAGCCTGGCGCGGTTGTGCATGCCTGTGGTTCGAGCTCTCAGGAGGATGAGGTGGGAAGATCACTTGAGCCCAGGAGAATGAGGCTGCAGCGAACTATAGCAGTGTCATGGCACTCCAGCCTGGGCGACTCTGGCAGAATGAGACCCTGTCTCAAAATAAATAAATAAATAAATAAATAAATAAATAAATAAATAAATAAAAAAGGAAAAAGTGAGACAGACAGAGAGAGTAAGGAGAGATAGATAATAGACAGACAGAGAGAGTAAGGAGAGATAGATAATATGAACAAATGAGAGAGGATGAGACAGAAAAGATACTGAGAGGGCCCTGCCCTGTCTTGACCAGAAAAATCCAATGAGAAAATACTTTCCCTTCCTAATCCTCTGATTTTTACAACAGCAGACAATTAGTTATGAATCCAAACCAACTTTTCCCTGCGAACTTCTGCCAGTTTTGAGATAATTTGCTTTGTTTGGTGTGCAGCAGGGGTGGACCCAGTTGGCTTCCCCAGGGGCAGTCTGTATGTCAGCAACATTTGCATAATCCATCTCCTCATCTGGCCATGAGCTGTGCACCACAGGAGAAGAAGGATAAAGAAAGCAGTTTGGTGGTGATCCACAGACCAGTCTCACTGAGCTGAGACAGAACCTATCCTCACCTTTAGGCTGGGCAAGAGGGGGCCCTACTGTGAAGGCCTGCATATCAAAACACCAACACATACTTTTTTTTTTCTTTTCTGGCTCTTTAGAATGTTATTTGTTGTTGTTGTTGTTGTTGTTGAAAGTTTAGTAACTGACCAAGTGAACTGGAATTATAAAGGGCACACAAGCCACACGGGGCCTCCATTTGTCCTATTGTCCTAGGTCCTGGAAATCTCAAGAAGCGGGTCTGTCTGCACACCATGGAGAGAAGATAAGGGCAGAAATGATGGGGGAGATTGTCATGGAGAGCACAACGGAGTAAGAACAGACTGAGGATTTAAATACTTAGGTACATAATGTGACTAAGGATGGAGCAGGTCTAAGTGAGAGAGAAGGCTAACACCATTTCAGGGATGGAGCAGGGAAGCCGCTGAGTGGAGACGATGGGACTAAGAAGGAGCAGGTCCAGGGATTCACTAGGAACATTCTTGGGAACTCGAGACCAGAGGAGCTTAGGAAAAGGATAAAGACTTACACAAAGAAATAGGCGTGAGTTACTCATGTGAGCCTGGGGGTACGGAAAGGGGCTGGGAAGGGTCAAGCTGTGGGACAGCTAGACCTGGGTTGAAATATTAACTCCAGAACATCCTGGAGATTGGGAGCTGGAGCTGGTGGCCTCAGGCCTTTGACCTAGATCTCTCTAATCCTCAGGACCTTGTAAATGGTAGCCATCCCAAAGGGCTGCTGTGAGAAGAAAATGAGAAAGCTCATACAGTGGAGTAACATAGCACCCAACATGGCAAACACACACAAACGCTAGGCAGTGTGGTTGGCATTAGCATTCATTTTAGTATTAGTATTCGTTGTAGTTTTTCCGTGAATGTGATTCCATTTGGCTGCTCCTGCTGGAAAAAACACGGGAGACATCTACAACTTCCTCAACCCCAATCTTTTCTGGAATTCTCTTGGGAAGACTCTCTTCTTGCTTATAGAACCAAGTGTCTCCCTCCTCTCTTTCTCCTTCTCACCCCAAAGGCAGTTAAAAATACATAAAAAAAAAATAATAACAGCAATATCTGGCATCTCAAAAAGGAACATATGATTTCTCCTCAGGGACAAATGGCCTTGCCAGGCAGAGGCACCTGGCACCCTGTGGATCATACCTGGTGTCAATATTCCAGTTAGTGCCAGGGACATCTGGCTTCAGTGTGGCATCTGAGGGCCCATGTAGCATCAGGTTCTGGGGTAACAACCTGCAGAAAGCAGAAGTGTACCCAGCTAGAGCAGGAAAAAGCTGCAACTGTGTTACAGTGAAAATGAAATTTCATGTGGTGCTCTACAGAAGGGCTAAAGATGGGTGTCCTTCACCCACACCCAAGGACCTACCCCTCAGACCATCTCTAGATAGAAAGTCCAGAAACAAAAGTGGGCATACAGGCACCCCTGTGGGCTGGCGGAAGGAGGGAAAAGGGAGGCTTTGTGTCTAATCTGAACTTATTTATTGTCAGCCTCCAGCTCCATTAGAAATGCTGTTCATTACCCAGAAAGCCAAATTTGTGTGAGTTAATTTACAACTGAAAGATGTAATGTTATGGAGTAATCTATACTTTGATTTATTGTAAATTTCCTACTGGCATGAATTTTTATACACCAGGCTTTAGCTGATCCCCCTAACCGACAAATAATGCTTGACAATTACACACTATCAGGCAAACATGCTGGAACATACACTTTTACCCCTAATCCTGTATATAAATTTTACTTTTTACACTTGTGTGGCTCTCTTCCACATGGGAACTTCAGAATACTGTGCCCATTTAGTGTACTGTTTATCAAGATGAAATGTGACCGAATTGACTATTTCCTCAATGAGGCAATTCTAAAAAAAATTAATTTTGTTAGGTTTTTTATTTTCTAAAGAGAAACAAAACTTTCAGACCATAGGAAATTTCCTTGATGATGCTTCATATCAGATTAGGTAAGATTTCTGATGCCTGCTGTTGGCTGACATGATCCTTTTTCAATGAAGTAAATCCAAATGCTCATGAAAAAAATATATTTAAAAAAATTTTTTTCACAAAAGGGATTTTGTTAGAGTAGTACCTATGATGTAAATGCATATGCTTATGTATAACTAAATGAATACACGTGTGTATGTATATATGTAAATGCACACAAGATTGGAAAAATGCAGGTGTTCCTTAAATCCTCAGAGGGCTACTGGAGAAATCAGGTTCTCTGGAAACATGACTTGGGTAAGTCCGGCTGTTTCTAAGACTCTACTTTTGGCACTTTTATACCACATTCAGAGTGGTGTGGTAAGAAAACAGAGGAAGGAAAGGAGGAGGGAGAAGAGGTTATTCTGTGTGTCTATTCCATTTCATGTATTTCACTAGACATAATGCCTAATTATTTCATTTCTCAATTTTATTTTCAAACTCTTGGCATGGGGAGGTCTTTTCAAAAGACAGGAAATCCAGATGCTATAAAGGAAAAGACTGGGATTCATATAATTATGAAAGTTCTGTGTGGCAAAAAACAGCTACAACAGCAACTCCCTAAATGAGCAAAGCTGTAAGATAAATGTCAATTAGATAAGCACATTTCAGATAAATAATTTGCATCCACAATATGACACATTAATAAGAAAAAGGTCTATCAGCCAGCAGAAAGGTACAAAGGGTATGTATCATTAGCCCATGCAAAGGATATGAATATACAAAGCTCTGAATAAAGACATGTGAATGACTAATTGATAAAGGATGTTCATGCATACAAATAATTAGGAAAATGAAAAGTAAAACAACAACAAGTAAAACAATTAAACTTCTTGGAAAGTTTAATCAAGGAGAAAAAGGTGGAGACAGAATGTAAAGAAATAACTATAAAATGACAAAAAGGCAAGGGAATAGAACAGATAAAGAAGAGATTGGAATAATGACAATAGGCATATAAGTAGATGAAATGGACAATACTCTAGCAAAACAAAAATAATAGGGAAGAGGCAGATAATCTAAATGGGCCAATAACCCAATAACCAGGAAATAAAAAAAAAATGTTGCCAAAAAATTATCTCCAAAAATGGCCCTGGGTTTGGAGCATTTAATAGAAGAATACTTTCATACTTTCAAGAACAGACCAATGTTTTTGGCTGCTTAAAAAGTTCTGGAAATAGGCCAGGTGCGGTGGCTCACGCCTGTAATCCTAGCACTTTGGGAGGCCGAGGAGGGTGGATCACTTGAGGTCAGGAGTTCAAAACCAGCCTGGCCAACATGATGAAACCCCATCTCTACTAAAAATACAAAAAAAAAAAAAAAAAAAAAAAAATTAGCTGGGTGTAGTGGCGGTGCCTGTAATCCCAACTACTCAGGAGGCTGAGGCGGGAGAATCACTTAAATCCAGGAGGTGGAGGTTGCAGTGAGCCGAGATTGCGCTACTGCACTCCAGCCTGGGTGACAGAGTGAGACTCTGTCTCAAAAAAAAAAAAGTTCTGGAAATATAGACTGCTTCACAATTTAATTTTCAAAGCTGACGTATCTTGGATACATAAAAGAAGAAACTGTAGGTCAATTCTACTTGTGACTATGATATAAAAACTGTAAGCTGCAACACTTGCAAAAAAAACCCCAGCAGCACATTGCAGAAAGAATACAAACACGGCCAAGTAGGGTTTATTTAAGGAAAGTAATGATGATTTAATAGTGGGAATTCCATAATCTAACACATTACGTTAGTAAGTCAAGAGAGGTAAATACATATGAGATCATTCAAAGCAGTTCTTCTTTATCAGTGGTACACATCAGAATCGTGGGTCTGATTCCTACCACGGCAAATTATCTTACAGTGTAACTGGAGAAAGTCTTAGTCTTTTTTTTTTGTTAAGTGCTCTTTGGGAATTCTTAAATATACCTTAGTTTGAGAACCACTGATTTAGAAGAAAATGTTCATGAGGCATTAAATAAAAATTCAACAATTCTTGATATAAAATCACAGGAAACTAAGAATAAGAGCATATCTCTTTAATAAGGTCTATCTCATCTGAATAACAAACAAAGAAATAGTGAACTACAGGCAACATTCCCATGAAATCCAGAGGCAAGACAAGGATGCTCACTATAACCACTAGTATTTAGTATTGTTTTAGATATTCCACCTAAAACAATAAGACAAGGAAAACATACTAAAACCGCTATTGTAAAAGAGAAGCTTACCTGGGATTATTAACATATGATATGATAATCTATTCAGAAAGTACATAAAATCATGAAAAAGATTCCATTTCTTTTATGGAAAAGAGTCAACTAAAAAACTACTTGAACAAAAAATAATGCAGGAATGTGTCAGGTTAAAAATTCACTAAGCTCTACGTCAACCTGCACTGCCAGTTAAAAAGACAATGGAAAAAGTTTCCATTCATAATAGCTAATAGGTGTACCAAAAAACCCACAATAAATAGACATAACAAAAAATTATGAGTTCCAATTTTATAAATATCAAAAAGGGAAAAAAATCATCTTGGAATTAAAACCATGCAATAAATCCATACAAATAACATATTTTTTAAAATCTCCATCATAACAATTGTTATTTACTGAGTATGTCACATATGCCAGTCTTTATGTGGAAATGAGCATTTTACAAGTGCATTTCTTTTTCTATTCAGAAAAGTTCACTCCTCTGTGGCACACGCCAATATTATACTTAATTTACGGATGTGCCTTTTGCCCAAGGTCATAAAGTTGGTAGGTGGCAAATCCTGTATTCAAATTCAGCCAAATCTGCCATGCTCTTGACCACAGCTCTGTGGCAAATATCTCCTCCCACCAGGGCATCTGATTCTGTAGCCCTGTGTTGTGTGATAGCAAATGATACGCCAAGACGAGCTCACTCAGCTTCATAGGGTCAAAACCTTTCCACATCACTGTTTATTAAAACGTCCTAAATGAAGAATAGCAATAAAGGGCTCTGAAGGAAGCTATCAGTGACATCCGGGGCCTTAGCGTGTGGTATGTCACCCAAATACATTTGGACATTATATCATGGCTGTTGTTTTGGGCTCTTGCCCAAAACTCTGTGTGAGACCTCAGACAAGGAAGGCTGTCTCTGCTGCACTGAGCACTCTGTCAACACTCAAAATAATGCTGAGGCAGCCACAGCACAATGCAGGAAGGGATGTCCGGGGCCATGACATCTTGTAGAGGACACCCCATATTTATCACTGTTTCAAGTTCAGATCTGCATGAGCAACTGAAAGCAATACTTGGACTGTTGGAAGAACAAGCACTGGGATGGGAATGAGACCCTCCAGCCCTGAAACCACAGGCCCTGCCCACCAGCCCTGCTCTCCAGGGTAGGTGCTCAGAAAACCTTCCTGGACTTCTCCATATGATCCTAATGGAAGCCTGGGGGAAGAAACATTTGTCTTCTGAATTTTCAAGTTCATAGTGCATTCATTTAATTTTTTAAAAATGGTTTTTTTTTTGTCATGGCTTAATTCCTTGCTCCCTTTTCTTCTCCCAGAAAGTCTGAGGAGATGAAACAACTCATTTGAAAAAGGAAGAGAGAGCCAGGTGTGGTGGCTCACACCTGTAATCCCAGCACTTTGGGAGGCCGAGGGGGGTGGATCACCTGAGGTCAGGAGTTCAAGACCATCCTGGCCAACAGGTGAAACCCTGTCTCTACTAAAAATACAAAAAATTAGCTGGGTGATGTGGCCGGCGCCTGTAATCCCAGCTACCCAGGAGGCAAAGGCAGGAGAATCGATTGAACCCAGGATGTGGAGGTTGCAGTGAGCCGAGATCGCCCTACTACACTCCCGCCGGGGCAACAAGAGCAAAACTCAGCCTCACAGAAAAAAAAAAAAAAAAACGGAAAAGGAAGAGGGATATAAAGTATGAAGAACCAGAATGGAAAAGCAGCCTGTGAGAACCTTCCTTAACTCCACGTTGTTTCCCTGTGGATTGGGAACGATGGAGTTGTAGAGAGAAGGGGATCTGAGGGGACATTTTACCACTCCTCTCCCACCAGGGTGTACCACACAGATATCTGCCAGGGGCATCTCACATTGGTTCCCACTGTGTGCTCTGAGACACTCAGGCTTTCTCACACCTTGGCTGGAATTCTTTTCCTTTCCACCTGTGCAGGAGAGACAGCCCACTGAGAAGGTTCTGCATGTGTCAGGCCGACATTCTTGCTGTCATCAAAGACCACAGGGGTCTTACCTACAGGGTGATGCTAGCATTTTCCTGGGTACTTTGGATTGCTAAGTCCCATTAGCTTTTCTGCTTATCCCAAGTCCCCATACCCTCACCTCTTCCCCCTGCATCCTTTTGCATTTCAGCAAAAAGCACCATCATCTGGTCATTTAATCTGACCAGAAATCCTGTTTCCTATCCACCAGGTTCACTCCATTTCTTTGCCTTGAATCAGTACCCGTCTCTCCATTTCACAGGGCAGGCTGCCATCACCTTATATGTTACAACCCCAACAAGTTCCTTACTGGCTATCCTACTTTGATCTATTTACTCGACAAATACAGAGTCCCTCCTATGTTCCAAGAAGTATTTTAAGTGCTGGGAACACAGCAGTAAGAAAATAAAAACAAGCAAACAAAAGAACACCAGGGAAAATGGAATAGGGAGCAAAGATCGTATCACTACCATGAACAGGGTGTTAAGCAAGGCCAACTGACAATATGACAGACTCGCCTTTTCCTACCCTCTGTAAGCTTCCCCCTCTCCCCCACATTCAGCCAGGATCATCTTCTCAAGATGCAAATCAGGTCAAATCACCTTCCAGCTTGGAAATAGCCACTGACAGTTTAAATAGCAGAGGCATCAAATTAGTATTTGACAAATAAATGTGTAGGTTTTATTATCACAGTGAATATTTGCAATGACTCCCATTTTACAAAAGAATACAGTGACATTCAACAGATGGTAAATAGCAAAGCCAGAATTCACACCTCTGACTCCAGAGCCGGAAACAGCTGGTGTGGCCAGCCACAGCAGGAAGTGCCACAGAATGGGGCACTTTCCTTACAGTTGTCCCCGGAGGTGTGCATTTCACCCACATCATCTAATAATTCTCACCAAATGCTCCCTGGAAGGATGCAAGGAATACTTACCGAAGCCTGAAATGAATAATTTAGGTTTTTACAAATGCCTGCCCTTCACCTGGAGGAAGTGTGCACAGTACTAAGGTGCATGGGCTCGGCAGGCTGACTGCCTGGACTCAAATGCCAGCTTAGCCACTCCCTGGCCCAGTAACCAGCCTGGGCCTCAGTTTCTCCATTAATAAAAAGAAGCAAATACTTGTAGTACCAAGATCACAGGGCTAAGGTAAGGTCTAAGGTAAGCACTCAGCAATGTGCCTAGATTGTTATTTTTTAAACTAGTCTCTGAACAAATGTTATTTCTCTGAATCCAACAGTCCACCTGTCATTGTTACATTTACTAGCACTGAATTGATTCAATCTCAAGAAATGAAAAATGTGGATTTACTTTTAAAATATTTCACTCTTTACTCTAGAATGACAGCCCTAAAATAAAAAACTTTCCTGCTGCTGCCATTTAAAAATATTATTATCCATAAGGTAAATTCAGAGAGATTGATGGTATGGTCTTGATGTGCCTATCATTTGGGCTTACTGAGGCTGGAGAATGCCCATCCTTGAGAATATAGAAAAAAAAATAGTCAACTGCCTTGGGTGACAAAGTCTCATCACTTGCCCCAACAGGTGATAACGTGAGGATCACCAAACACCCATCCCCAAGGCAAGGTCCCAACACTGAAAGCCAAAGGTGGCTTTAAAAGGACGGGACAATAACCAAGAAACCAGGGTTAGCTGTCGAATATCTAAAATGGTATTGGCTTCCATGACATCTCTCTATCTTTCACCCCTAACTACTCTACAGGTTACCAGATTAATGTTTTTAAATATAAAATTTCTAAAAAGTAATTTCAGATGACTAAGATATTACCTTAAACTAGGACATTTTCATTCTAGAAGGGGAAGGGGTACTTGTTATAGTAGATGAAATTATGTTTGAACAGACAGAAATGGGCTAAGGCTTTTTAGGAATAATTTCTCACAGTTTACTTATGTAAAAAGAGGCAAAATTCTTTGTCTTTTGTTTTGTTTTTGTTTGTTTGTTTGTTTGTTTTGCTTTACAAAACCTCAATTTGTATTCTCTATCTTTGTGATTTTTTTTTCCCCTATACCTCCACACAATGATGGAATGAAGACTGTGAGAGAAACAAAGGTAATTCATTTTATAGGAGATTTAATATTTACAGAAATGCCAGAAGTTCATCATTTTCCATCTTTTCTAAAAAAGAGAGAGCTTCAAGAGAGTTTCTATAGGACTTATCAAGTTTCTTGATTTTGGTTACCAATTTAGGGGACTGTGTAAAAAAGGCTGCCTAGTGAGGTCATAGGACCCAAACCAGTCATATCAACAACATGACCTTGTGACGTTGAAATTCTTTATAGGAGCTCATAAATTATGCCTGTAGGTAAAACAGCCTCAACATGGTTTGGCCAGTGTTTTGAGTACGTCTCTTAACGTGAACAGTTTAGAGATCTTTCTTCTTCCTTTATGTTTTGTCATCTACTAATCCCACACCCACCCCATTTTTCTAGGTTTTGTGTATTCTTCTTAATAAGTCTGCACAAATCACTATAATGTAGCTGAAATCTTAATTTTCAAATTGTGCTTCAATTACCATCTACATGAAGCCAACTGGGAGACATGCCTTTGTCTCTTGGAGTTTGTCAGGAGTTAGTTCTTTGCATGTGCTGGATGGAAGTTGCTGCCAAAGCTAGAGTTTCCACAAATGCCAACAAAACAAACGGTTGCTCATTTATGCATCCATTATATTACTTACCCCCTAATATGTGTGGTAATTCTGGCCTTAAGGAGAGCAGAGGAGATAAGAAAGACATTTAAAGGCATAACCGAAGATGCATGATAGAAAGCCTCACGAAGGAAGGAAGGACATCATGGTTCAATACTGTGGAGGGCTCGGAAAGGGCAAAGGATACTTCCAGCTTCAGGAAAGACTTCTTGCAAAAGACATCATTAGATATAGGCCTTGAAGGACATTTGACCCAAAGGGAATGACTGAAAGAATTACCCGAAGGCAAGATAATTCAGGGTACACAAGGAAAACCTAAAAATAGGTCCAGATCAGAAGTCTTTGTCTTAATCTTCCTGCTTAGCCTTTGAGTGTTGAGACGGCAAATATGGGTTTGACAAATTAACCAGCACCATCCTTTGATTTCTCACTAAGTCCCATTTCAAATTATTTCAGAAAACAGATGCTGTTGAACTCATAAGGTTTCAAGGTTTCTGCCATCACTTCTCTCAGTTCCTTCTTTTAGCTAACCTCCATCCCTTGCTGTAATTTTGAGCCTGTTTCTTCTTTCTGCATCCATGGGCAATAGGTGGTTATCATGGTCCTTACTATGCCACTATCTTCCCTCTTTGTCCAACTCTCCAATGCCCTGCATTCCTCAACCTCAACTCTCCCCCACACTGAGGACCTCACATGGCAATGCAGGGTGCTCTGCTCATGCCAATGAAAAGCCAGCAAGGGCTGCCTCTTGAGGCTTGTGCTGTCCACATCTTCTCATTCATGCTGCCCGGAAGTGCCTTTGACTTTTCAGCAATGCCTCTACTTGGGGTCGATTCTCTTGACTAGATCTATACAAAGCCAGCTCTGCACCATCTTCAGCTCACAGTTTGTCTTTTCTCCTGCCCCGCTGAGTTCAAATAATTGTTACTGATAACTTCTTTAACACATCAAGGTCATAAGGAATTCTAATCCTTTCCTGTAAGATGCCAGCTACTTCTGAGTGGGTTGTGTTCCAACTCGGTGGTTACAGGGACTTTGAAATTGGCCATGTGTTTAACATATTGAACAAAGACTTAGATCTTGAAATGTGCATTTATCCTTTCACTTATTTTCTTAATTTGTGAATTGACTACCACTTATGGATCATGCCTGTACATCTGTTTTAGATGTGGGATTTTTTTTCAATTCGTCATTTGAATTAAACTCTACATAGTATGTCACACATAGCTTGCAATATGCCAGCATACAGTAGAACAATTATCTTTTCCTTTGCAAATCTGATTAAAAATGAGCCAAGTCCTGTCCTTCTGTGGAATGTGTACATGTAATGGGGCAGAGGGGTAAGGAGTTCTTTTGAGAAAACCAAAGCATGGCTTAACTATATATTTTAGAAAATATTATAGAGCTTTCTACCCACTGAATCTAATGCCATGGAAATTATTCAAATGCTGACTTGATGCCAAGGGCCATGCCCATTGAGCTCATTACAGAGGAACAAAAAAGTCTGATCTCTGGGTCTCCATACTAGAGTCAAGCCTCACAATTAATTCCATGTGTGTAACTGTGTGTGCAGGTGTGTACATGAGGCTCCCTTGTTACCACTGCTAATTATATATAATTGTATCTACAGTGTTGTGACACTTACTATGAACCAAGCACTGTGCCAAGTACTTTACATAAATGGTTCATTTCACCTTCCCAATAAGCCTATTGTACTGGGTACGTACTATTATTATCCCCATTTAACAGATGAATAAACTGAGGCTTGGAAAGGTAAAACTCACATAAACTCAACTCCGTCAACTCCAAAGTTCAGGTTCTTGACTGCATTGCCATTCTAAATGTATACATCTAAGTCAGAGGCCCCTGGAGTATTGGCTCCAGGTTTTGGCCATGGCTGGAATGGAGGATGAGTTGAGTGAGCTCTACCCAAGGACAATGATAGCATCTCCCTCAAGGTGGTGAGTAATGAAAAAATGTCCCCTGGCCTGTGTTCAAAAGGAAAGGTCTACTCAGCTAGTGCCCCAGCCCTTAGAAAGGTCACTCCCAGTACTTCACAGGAAGAACTATACTACTACAAGTCCTTGCCCTGAAATATATATGGCTGCATTATGAACTGTGGGACAGATAGGACCTAGTTTTAATACCAGCTTTCCTAATTACTATCTGCACAATCTTAGGCAAGGTAATTGGTGTCCCTGAGCATCAACTTACTCATCTGTAAGAAAAGAATAAAAATAGTATGTGTCGGCTGGGGGGCGATGGCTCACACCTGTAATCCTAGCACTTTGGGAGCCAAGGTGGGTGGATGGCTTAAGCCCGGGAATTTGAGACCAGCCCAGGAAATATGGTGAAACCCTGTCTCTACCAAAAATACAAAAATTAGCTGGGTGTGGTGGTGCGCGCCTGTAGTCCCAGCTACTAGGGAAGCTGAGGCAGGAGGATAGCTTGAGCCCAGGGAGTTGGAAGATGTGGAAAGTTGTGATCCTGCCACTGCACTCCAGCCTGGGTAACAGAGTGAGACCCTGCCTCAAAAATAAAAAAGAATGGTATTTATTTATTAATACCTAGTAGGGTTGTTATGAAAAATATGTTGGTTAAGCCCAGTATGTGATCTCCATTCAGATACAGGGCTAGACATGGCATCTCAATTATTTCTTATATGGCAGGATTTTTCACTAGTAACTTTTCATATATTTTACCTCTTTAGAGCTTTTAGTTACTAACACTCCATTTTATTTTATTTTAAATGGGAAATAGGAACAAGGGATATAAGAAGCATTCTTCTCTCCAGTAAATCTACAAAGACCCAAAACAGATCCCTATTGATCCATCAGAACTCACCAGAGAAAATTTACCACTCCATATCTGATAATACTACTCCCACAGGCTGAAAACAGCTTCAAAGTCAAATTCTCCAGAAGATATCATATCTCAAGCCCAAAGAAGTGGCATCCTCCTGAAACACATGGGCTTTCTAATTCCTGGGACCTATTAGTCCCTAATAAGAAGAAATCCATGTCCTGGAAGCCACCTCTTGGATGGTTAGAGATTTTTGATGTGTACCCAGGCCATAGTATTATTGACTAAGTAGCCAGTAGCAAATTTATCCTCACAATCTTTTCTTAAGTAATCCACATAAAATGACCCAGTGGTTCCAGAATCTTCCAAATTAGACATACTAAAAGGGAGAGGAGATTTTTAACTAATCCCTCACAGAACCAGTTAAACTCATTCACCTTAATTACTGTTTAGGCCAAGTGTTGTTATCACCTCTCTTCTCTCATCTGAAAGCTAAGGAATATGTGGCAGGGCTTGGGCCAGTTCCAATTGGGATGTAGATCTACATGTCTGACTTAAAACATGGCCCAGAATCTCCCCTGATAATCTCAGAGTTCTTTAAACACTGGACAGCTGGTTGCATTCCTTGACCACAGCAGGAGCCACTCTGCAAAGGGTATCTCGAGTCCTGGCCATGTGCTAGGAAAGGGCCTATGAACTCTCCCCTGTCTCTCCCCAAGAGAATGATCATCAGCTACAATGGGAGGACAACAGGCAATTCAAAACCAAAACCACAGCATAAAAAGACCTTGATCTTTTTGTCCTGTGAATCTTCCCTTGAGAATTCAGCCCCATTCCTCAATTCTCACCTGGATACACTGAGTCAAGCATATAATTCGGATGATATAGAGGCAGCAATGGCCTAGGAGAGGGTCCCTTTGGGTACTGCAACAATTCTGCAGCTGGTTGGTCAGCTGACGGTCTTTGAACACACCCTACCTCTCCCCAAGGTCTTGGTTTCCCAGATGTCAACATAAACAGGCTGGAGGTGATGGCCATCGAAGGTCAGCTCTGTTCAGTTCTGGTGGCCTACAGTTCTATTTTTATTTATTTTTTAAAATAAGCTTATTTATTGAGGGATAACATGCATACAGAACATTTCACACATCATAAACGGATAGCTCCATGAATTTTCACAAAGTGCTCATACATGTGTAACCAGTGCCCTTCTCCAAAACTAGAACATAACCAGCACCCAAAGCCTTCTTGTGTAGCTTCCCAGTCACCTCCCAAAAGGGGTAACCAGTCACGAGTTCTCTAACACCACAGACTAGTTTTTCCAATTCAGACTTTATGGGATCAAATGTCCTCTCCTTTATTGTTTCTTTCTCTCTCAGCATGTTAGTGAGATTCATCTTTGTCGTCGTGTTACAATAGTTCATGCTCATTGTTCTAGAGCATTTCACTGCCTGAATATACCAGCCTAAGGCTTAATATTTGCAGATGTCCCCCGCCAATTTTATCCTATAATGCATGATCCACTGTGACTGTCCTGCAAAAAGGCAGAAAAGCAGAACCCCCTAAAAGAGAGACTTTCTTTACTGCTTCCTAGGGCCATGGATGCCGTGTTTTTTCCAAGTCCATAGGGAAGCTGAGAGTCTTCTAAGTGGCCAGAGATGCTGAAAGCAAAGTATCAACACCATCAGCCTTGTTTAAGCAGCACCTTTCTGTGCTTGCTACTACTCCATGAGATTTACACAGATAAGATCCCAAGTCTCTTAGCAATTTTCAAGATAAGATCCCAAGTCTCTTAGCAAATTTCAAGCTAAAAAGACAACACTGATGCATAGAGAGATTACCGATGCAGACAAGAAACCCAATACATAATCTAATTTAAAGAAACCATTAAGTGCAAATGAAAGAAAATACTTCATGTGCAAAAGGAAGAATAATGGCATTTTGTGGGGTTATGTCAGGTACAATTGCTATCATTTCCCCCAAACAATTGGTCTGAGAAGAAGTCACATGGTATGCTGGAAGAGAAAGGCACTACAGAAAGAAACAGAAACTTTAAATGAACTTTCCTATTTAAGCAAACATAGAGGGTAATAAGCCTACTGGTGATACAAAAAGGCAGAAGAGTTCCAGAGCCATCATCTACATCCCTTGACAAGGCCAGGGGACTTTTTGGCATCAATGTGATGTGATTTGGCAGCCAGCATTGACACCGTTGGGAAATGTCAGCCTGAAAAGAGGCTGTTCTATTGGACAGATGTAAGGCCACGACTTAGCCTCACAGGCCTGGATTACTGCAGCATACTCTTAACTGGGCTTCCTGTCTCCAACTGTCAGTCCTTCCCTCCATTCTTTGAACTGAAGTCTAAAGGCTCTCCCCCAAACATGAACCTGATCCTGATACACTCTCACTTGAAATCTTTTCATGATTCTTTATTCCCTGCAGGATAAAGTCCAACTTCTTTGTAGCTTTTGGGGCTTTGGGGAGCTGACCTCTGATTGCTTTACCTTGCTCATCTCTCAACACGCTCCAGCCATATGGAACTTCTTATAGTTCCTTCTGCCTAGAGCACCTCCCTCATGGCCTTCATTGGGCTACTTCTGCTTCCTTGCAGGTGTTAGGGAGCTGCCAGTTTCTCTGGAAGCGCTTCCCCGAGGGCCCCTCTATTCTCCTGTAGCCCCCCACAATACAGTAATCATAGTTAAGATCTCATTCCCTGCTTTAGCAGCCCTGGCCAGTGCCTCACCCTCATCCCGTCAGCACTCAATAGCACAGAACTTGTCAACAGAGTCCTACCGTTGACACCAGCAATTCTACTTGTGGGCTTCTTCTTGGCATGCCCTGCACATACAGGCCAGGAGCACCAGAAGTTAATGCTCCTAAGAGCATCCCTCAGATAACAGCGGAAGGAAAATGGAGGGTGAATAACAACCCTACTATCCCCCACCTCCAGATAAGCTACTTGTATTCAAATCCTTGTCTGAAGGCCAACTTCTGGGGAAACCCAACCCAGACAATGGCCCATCCCCTAGCCAGACTGTGAATTCAGTGAAGCTTGGGACTAATGTCTTTTCATTTATCAGTGGACAGCAGCCATGCCTACCGTATGTCTGGCACATAGTACATAAATGTTTACTGAATGAATGGTAAACATTCAAGGAACCCTTGTTTCATTCCTGGTTTTCGACTCAAAGGCAATACAGAGCTCAGCAAAGAGCTTCGGCTCTGGAGTCAAAAGACCAAGTTCACTTCAAAAGGTGGAATCCTCCATTCCTGATGGGTGTGAGTTTGGGCAGGGGTGGGTAACCCACCTGGGCCTCAGCTTCCTCTTCTTGTCAACCAGGGTCATCATGAGACTCAAGGAGAACTGTTTAAAATTGCAGGGAGTTACACAAATTAAATAGTGTTTATTTTAGGCATTCATGTAATTCTTTGTGACTAAATATGGGGAAAGAGATTTTGTTCTAGATAACACAAGCACTTGTGGTGGGAAGAGGAAGTAAATGAAAATTGGGGCTGGGTAAACAGTTAATTCCACTTGGAGAGCCTTTAGAGGCAGAGATCTCTGTTTTGATAAAGATCATTTAAATTCCAAAAAAGAAAACAGAATGGAAATGAGAAAGTAAGTTTTTAAAAGTCCAGAAATAATTGCTAACTATAAACAGACATAAAAGATAGGTACATATCTCTATGTATGTGGAGATATGTATGTGTGTATATATAAGTATATATATATAAAACAGCAGACATGTAATGAACTATATTAAATATGAAAATCTTACTATGTTTTTCCACTTTGTTTTTGTCCTTTAACAGCTTCAGAATTCTAAAACTCAAACACATGTATGCTGAGAAATGTCTGAGATGTTTTTAGGTCAAGCTAAAATCAAATGTCATCTCATAATCTTATAATCTTCATAAAACTGCTTTTATTTTCAAGACATGCAAAAATCCATATTAACCCATCAGGCACAATTTTGAATATAGGACTCGAATGAAAAATTAGAGTGTAGTCAAAAACAGTGAAATTCTTATTTGTGGTCAATACTGAATGAATTAAATGTCTTTTGACATCTTTTTAATTTAAGGACCAGCTTTAAGAACAAAAATTCAGAGATACAAGGAATCCAGATTCATTTTTCTGCCCTTTATTTAACTGTTTTGTATTCTAGTGGGGAAAAAACATGGAAAAATCTGATCCACCTTCCTATTGATTAGCACTCTGCAAGAGTAAGGAGTATGTGAACATTTTTACTCCAGAGTTCTCAAAGTTAATCTTTCAAGGCTGGGCTTTCTCTCCAGACCCTCACCCACGACTGTGTATCTTATGTATTCATGCACATGGAGGACATAAAATACATGTCAAACAAAATAAAGCAAGTTATTAAGTACAACAAACCCCTAAATCTTGGTGGAAGTCAACAGATAAACAGACTATAACAGACTATAATAGTCTAAGTACACAATGCATAATTCATGGCTAAACCAAGGCTAGGCTTGTGCAATATTTCACCAGCTCCCCTTTGCAATCTTTGAGGTTAAGACTGGGTAAATTGCACTGACTGCTAACTCAGCAAAACTGAAAAATTAGAAAAGAAACCCCTAACCTTTCCAATAATGGGAACAGGCAAGAAGGCAGAGGGTGGAGAAAGGTATTGTTTAGCTCTCGAAGCTAGGCATTTAAAAGTCACTGTGTGCCTAGCTCTCAAAGCTAGGCATTTAAAAGCCATTATCTTATTAATATATAATTTTATTGTTGACAAATGTTTATTTTTCTGCTAAAATTAAGAGAGCAGATCACTTCCCTTCTTACACCTAATCACCAGCCCCTGTGCTCAGTTCACAATAGGCCTTCAATAAACATTTGTTTAAAGAACTTCCTTTTGATTTCCATTTGTTGTCTATGGAATGTAGCAATGAAATGTGAAGGTGAATATGCAATGACCAACAATAGTAATGGAAAGGTGAATAAAATTAAGCACCTCAATGCAATCTGGATCCCGGACAACTTTTCCATTTATTATTTCCCAAAATGTAGAACAAATGAATGTGCATGAATTTCCCAAAGCTAAGAAGTTGAAACCAAGTCCTTGGCAGCACTTCAATAGCCACAAATGAGGCTCTATTCCATTAAGGACCACCATGTCTTCCAGGGAATAGAGAGCTGGTGGATTCTGGGTGTAGAGTACAGTGTCATTTTTAGCAACTAAGAAATGAGAGAGGGAAGACAAATGTCAAGTCAGCACCAGCAGAAATTATTGTGTTTCCTGACAACGGGTGAACCATGCCTGGTGATGCTATAACCCTGAGCCCTGGGGAGTATATAGATTGGTCCAAATAGCAATATTTGTGCTAAGATAACTGTGGATGCAATTTATTTACTTATTTTATTTTATTTTATTTTGAGACAGGGTCTTCCTCTGTCATCTAGGCTGGAGTGCAGCGCAATCTCTGCTCACTGCAAACTCCGCCTCCCAGGTTTAAGGGATTCTCCTGCCTTAGCTTCCTGATGTAGATGCAATTTAATTCGTTCAAGGTACTCTGCAAATATTTTTAATAATACAAATTGAAAGAATGCTATAAACACAAAAAGGTGAGAACTCCTGGTTTAGCCTTCTAAGCAAATAGATTTAACCAGTCATTAACATCCCCTTTTGAATGTGTTGAGGTTGATGGTTATTTGCTGATCAAAAAAGCCAGGTGAACATTCTAATTACAGAATGTCTGTGACTTATAGTCACTGCAGGACTGTTTTTGCCTAAGAGTAAGCAGAAAAGATACTGGTTCTGCAAAGTTTTTATTCAGTGCTATAGGGAAGGTTTCTTTCACTGTTTAAAGTTTAGAGGGGCAGTGGGAGACTTAAAAAAGAGTTGTTATGATTATTTCACAACTCATGTTATTTTGACATATTGATGATATAAATATAATAGCAGATTGCATTGTTAATAAGAAAATTAAAATTAAAAACAAAAGAGCCTAGATAAAGCAGAAATAATTTACACTGAATCTGTTAAAAGGGATAACACTTCACTTCCTATGAAAAATCGTATTATTTAGGGCCCCCGTCTACACCTAATCAAGTTACTTAAAACCTCAGTACATCACTAATGAACAAAGAGAGACAGAGAGCAATAGAAAAACTTGAATGGTAGCTCGAGGCTTTCATGAAATTTAAAAGATGATGGTGAGTGGAAATTTTAAAAATTTGGATGTGTTCAAGTAAAATCCCTGTGTAATTGCCTAGATATAGAAATAGTGCCAGATCTCTGCAACATAGGCACACAGATTAGAATTTCTTTCTGGACCTTTAAAATAAGCATTAAAAGCAAAACCATGTACCTTTCACAATATGGAAATAAAAACTAGTACTCTCACAAAATGTCCCTTCTCTGAGTTGCACTTTAATGTTATGGCACCCTCTTTTATTGGGAGTCATTGTAGGAGACAGTGATATGAAAACCACATCTGCATTTGCTGGAAAGGGCTGTCAAAGGAATTATCCATTATCTATAGAAAATCACACATAAGAAACTCCTTTTGCTATCTGGTGCCAGGAAAATCTTTATCTCTAGAAACTAATCTGTTTCCTCCTTTCTAATAACAAGAATGATACAACTTTTATCCTGTTTCCCTTTTTGCTCTGGCTGCCAGGGAGTTCAGGGCCAAACTTGATGATCAGTCATAGTAATTATAATGGACTTTGTGGCTAGAGGAATTATTTCCTCAGGTTTTCATGGCTTTTATTTTCCATTTTTAGTTGTATTAATCATGTTTTATGTGTCCATGTGTGCACACATGTGAAGACTTGGTTTTAATTGTAACTTACTTCAAGTCCTTTTTGGAAAACAATGAATTATGTTTATCTCATAAAAGTAAAAAATACAAGAGATGTATGTCAAAATATGCTTTTTCTTGGTACAAATAGCTTTCATACCTGTGTGAAAGCATACGCATTTTGTCTTTCTCTTTGGGGATAACTACTTCTAAACAAGTTATATGTTAGTCAACATTATACCCAGACAAGCTTTCTTCTGCTTATGGATCATTTCTTTGACAAAATAATACATCCTTATTTATAGTTGATACCTTCCAGAAAATTAACACCATAATTTTGCAAAACTTTGTTAAACTCACAGTTATCATGAGGTCCTTAAAGTTGGTTCTGATGGTTTGGCTGAATTCACAGAATCACTGTACAGGATTCATTTACATTACATTTACCAAATGTTTGAAATGGACCATCATGTCATTTTCACTTTGCTTCAATGTTTTCTTTTTTCTTAGGTAATACATAGGAAATAAATGGTTGATTTGCTTCAAATGGTCTATTTTCCTTCCCTGAGCCTGTTACATTAGCCAGCTTACATTTAAACATATTTTAGTCATATAGATTTTCCACTGACTAATAAGCAAAACACAGCTTTTTTTAAATCCTAAAAAAAAGTACATTAACGTTCTTTCAAATTATTGTTTTAAAATAATGTTCCACATTAAATTCCCAAGCTTGGGACAAACCGGAAAGATCCCCTGAGTTTTTAAACCATATTCATTTCCCTGAGCACAGGGGCTCTGCATCCTGGATGGTACAATGCCTTCAGTGCCCCTGTCAGTTGGAATTTAGGAAGTCATTTCTCTTTAATGGTTGCCAGACCTCCTGGATAAGCTGGGGCACCTTGCTTTGCCCCAGATCTCCATTGAGAATGGAACCTTCCTACTTACTTTCCCTTCACCGTCATAAGAACACTGGGATCCTGCTGTCATAAAACCGTTTTGACCCCTGAATCATAAAGCTGTACATTAACAGTGGGATTGTTTGCAATTAGGTAACTGATCCTTTTCCCCGTTTAACTTGAGTCAGCTCATTTGATACTAACATAGTGCTTCTGTAACTCCACCTCTCCACCCGCTGCCTTTCACTCCCGACAGGTCTCCAAGAATAGCTGGGTGGCTTTGTTCTTCAACTCTGTACGTAACCAAGAAACCAAAACCATAGAGGGACTGGATATCAGCTCAGGGCCTAGAATCAGACAAAGCCCCCTCAGATTGAATCTGGGGACTGCCACTTCCTAGCTGCATGACCTTGGATAAGTGACTTCATTCTGTGAAACCTGAGTCTCCTCATCTGTAAAATGTGGACACCAATAACAGTACCTGCCTTATAGGGTTGCTTCATCATTCAGCAAATAATTACCCAGAGTACCTACTATTGGCCAGGAACTGTGCCAGGGACCAGAATACAGTCAGAGCACACAGGGTTCTACCTCATGGAGCTCTCATTATAGTTGAGGAGTCACAAACTAAGCAAACAAATGAAAAATGCATAGTTACATATTTTGAGAAGGGCTCCAAGTGAGACAGAATTCTTTGGTGAGCAACAGTGAGAAGTTGTGGTGGTTGAGGGGGGAGGGTAGAAAGAAATCAAGGCAGGCCTCTTAGGCAAGAAGCATTTAAATTATACCGGCAAGGCTATAGCAGAGGAAGCCAGACACAGGACACATGGAAGGGAATTTCAGGAAGGCGGAACAGCACGTGCAAAAGGTTCGAAGCAGGCAAGGCCTGGCTTTGTTTGAGAAGAAAAGTGAACTATTGGGCCTTCGGTGGACTGCATGAGAAGCAGAAATCTCAAAAGTGAGGTTGGTGAAGCTCATCAGCGATCCAAGACACAAAAAGACTTGATCCAGAGTTTAGAACAGATCAGAAGTCGAGGAATTACAGAACTGCAGTCCATGGGCCCATTGCCTGTTTCTTTTTCTTTCTTTTTTTAGATGGAGTCTCACTCTTTCGCCCAGGCTGGAGTGCAGCAGTGTGATCTTGGCTCACTGCAACCTCTGCCCCCTGGGTTCAAGCGATTCTCCTGCCTCAGCCTCCCAAGTAGCTAGGATTATAGGCTTGTGTCACTACGCCCAGCTAACTTTTGTATTTTTAGTAGAGATGGGGTTTCACCATGTTGGCCAGGCTGGTCTTGACTCCTGACCTCAAGTGATCTTCCTGCCTCGGCCTCCCGAAGTGCTGGGATTACAGGCATGAGCCACTGGGCCCAGCCCCACTGCCTGTTTCTATGATAAAAATTGTACTGGAACACAGCCACACCCATTTGTTTATAAATTGTCTCTGGCTGAGTTCACACTACTCGCAAGCCTAATATATTTACTATCTGGCCTTTTAAGAAAAAGCTTGTCAACTCCGAAACAGTAAACTTCAATAACTGTTTAAATAAAACAACAACCAAAAGGGGAAACAAAAAGGCCATTTTTTTTCCCACATATGTGAGAGCAAGTAACAGGCTTTAATTCAAACACCTTTGAGAAATGGTGTAAATGAAAATCCTGAAAACATCTAGAATGTAAGACTATTGGAAAATTAAGATGAACAAACTTAAAATATTTTAAGACTTTTCAGAAATTATTTCTATTCATAGTGTGTACACATTAAGCATATGAAATAAGACACTTCCAGCATTGTGTCTGACTAGATGCTAGGAAAGGCCCTCTCAAAACATTTTTTATTGCATTGCTGGGCTCATAGGAAATAGGAAAACCCTCAAATGAACTAAAACAAACAAATAAACAAAATTCCAAAACTGAGCTGAAACAAGAATGGTATGCTGAAAGCCCACATAAATAGCAGAGGTTGCTCTGAGCACAAACACCATGGTCATTTGTACAACCGAGAGACTCAGCCAGTGGCAAGTTGAAAGGGCTTAACATGAAAGCCCTGATAAACCAGGATTCTTAAAGGAGCTAGGTGATCCTAGATTGATAGCAGCTCCCTGCTCCCAGAAGAAGCAAAAGTAAATTTTCTCTGCAGAAAAATATCTCCATTTCAGTCACTTGCGGTTCCCACTAAGATTTGTCAAATATAAATTCCCCCAGATCACCAAGCATATAAGGAAACCAGTCACCAGTGAGGGAAAGATAGTGGAACAGACGAGAATAAGTGCAAATTTAGATATACATCCCCAATGGCTTTGGATATTAGAATTATTAATTAACTACAGAATATAAAATGGCTATGTTCAAACATGCATATTATGCATATATATATTACATACATATACATAATAAGTGTGTATTGCATATTGAAATTTTGCTAAGAGAGTAGATTTTAGGTGCTCTTTCTACAAAAAGGATTAGAAATAAAATAATTAAATGAAAAATGAGCACGCAACAACAGACTATCAAAAGTTACTAGAAAGATTTGAAGAATCCAAATTAAACTTTGGGGAATGAAAAAATATAATTGTTAACCTAAAATAATAAATGGGTTTAGCCACATAGTAGACACAGGTGAAGAGAGAATGAGTGAACTAGAAGATAAAACTAGAGAAACTAGCCAGAATGCAGCTCACAGAGATCAGGGGAGGGAAAATGTGAATAGGACATCAAGCAATATGGAGGACAGAAAAGGAAAGTCTAGCACATTCATAATTAGAGCCCATAAAGAGAGACTGAAGACACAGAAAGAAGGTAATAGATATTTGCAAAGATAATGGCTAATAATTAAACAGAACTGGTGAAAGATATAAATTTATACATGTGTGAAGCAGGATAAAATAAAATTAATACCAATACATTGCAGTAAGACCACAGAGCATTAAAGAAAAAAGATCTTAGAAATAATCACAGAGGGGCTGGGTGCAGTGGCTCATGCCTGTAATCCCAGCACCCAGCACTTTCGGAGGCCGAGGCGGGCAGATCACGAGGTCAGGAGATCGAGACCATCCTGGCTAACATGGTGAAACCCCGTCTCTACTAAAAATACAAAAAATTAGCCAGGCGTGGTGGCACGTGCCTGTAGTCCCAGCTACTCGGGCAGCTGAGGCAGGATAATCACTTGAACTTGGGAGGCGGAGGTTGCAGTGAGCCAAGACCATGCCACTGCACTATAGTATGGGTGACAGAGCAAGACTTCGTTTCAAAAAAAAAAAAAAAGAAAGAAAGAATCACAGAGGAAAGATAGCCACTTAAAATTAGCCCAACAGCCAAGTTTTCCACAGCAACAGTGGAAGCCAGACATTAGTGGAATAACATGTTACTGAGAGAAAATAACTATCAGCCCCAAATTGGGTGAATCAAGGATGAGGGTAAAAGAAGGACATTTTCAGAGAAACGAAAATTGAAATGGTTTATCACCAATAGACCTACACTAAAAGAATTTGTAAACGCATAAAGAATTATAAGCCAAGAAGAAAGAAGGTATGGTAAACCAAGAACATTATTTTTAAAAAATAATTTTATAAATGCTTTAGAATTAACTATACATTTTTAAAAATAATGTCCAATTTATTGCTAAAAAAATAAATAATAAAGTACTAGACAAGAAGCGCATGTACGTAAGAGGGTGGTACACAGAGTTAATGTGTGTTCTCATCTCTATATAATATGGAAGGGGGATTCATCGGTCACAGTAGCAGGGCTAGTAGGGGCCATGTACAGCTCAGTCACACAGCTTTTTACTCACCAAAGCTGATCCAGCAACCACCATGGCTCAATGTATAAAGTGCTACTGCAAAGGCCAATGCTGAGTTCCTGTGTGGACTAACTGGCTACCTAGTGACACATTGATGACACTTGACTTCTCTGACTTTGAAGAGGGCAGTACCTTGATTTACATAGGATAGAAACATTGTGTGTGTAGATTTTCCTTCTTTTCCTTCGGTATTCTTCCAGGACCACAATTCTTATATATATATATATGCCTTATATATATATATGCATATATATATATGCCTTATATATATGCATATATATATGCCTTATATATATATGCATATATATATATATATATATATATGCCTTATCTATCACACGGCATCCTACACAACATCACCTCCAATCATGGGACACATTTTACCACATGCAGTGCATCAAAGGATCCACTCCACAGAAGTTCTGGTTTAGTAACAGCTGAGTGACAACACACAAAGAGGTTAGGATACTTTCCTATAGGAATGGAGGATGTGCCTTAAATCAGAGGCCACTGTATGGTGCCATCTCTCCCATAGTAAGGATGCATGACTGGAAAAACTGAGGAGGATGTGGGAGTGGCCCCTCTCACGAAAACACCTAATATCTTGTTGGAATAATGTTTGCTTCCACCAGAGAACATTATCATGATGTGATGAATTAGAAACCGAGACTGTCCTTTGGCCATTTTGGGCTCTTCGTTCCATTGACCCAACAGTCAGAGTAGGGGTCACCATTACTGCTATATAATAGGGATAAGGAAGGCAATATGCATAACCCAGGGATTCACTGGGGTGCCCTTAAACAAAAGTCCTGGTCAGTGAAAACAGTGGTAATCCAATCAAGTTAAAGCCATCAAGGACCGAGATGACTTCCATTATTGAAACAAGATGGAAGATGGAAATGTGATTACTAGTGAGAGCTTGTAGTCAGTTATAGAGACAGGGGCTATAGCAGCTTTCTTTCTTTCTCTTTCTTACTCTTTTTTCTCTTTCTCTCTTTCTTTCTTTGTTTCGTGGAGTCTTGCTCTGTTGCCCAGGCTGGAGTGCAATGGCGTGATGTCGGCTCACTGCAACCTCCGCCTCCTGGGTTCAAGCAATTCTCCTGCCTCAGCCTCCTACCGAGTAGCTGGGATTACAGGCACGTGCTACCACGCCCGGCTAATTTTTGTATTTTTAGTAGAAATGGGGTTTCACCTTGTTGGTCAGGCTGGTCTCGAACTCCTGACCTCATGATCCACCTGCCTCGGCCTACCAAAGTGCTGGGATTACAGGTGTGAGCCACCGCGCCTAGCCGGAAGTTATGTTTTAAGTCACCACTAAGTGACTTTTTTCTCCCCTTCTGCCCAACTTCTACCATATAAAAAAAGACAATGCTCATGATAGCTCGTGTTTTAGATGTATGGCCAAACTGACATTATCTCACAATGACACAAGACCTAAGGTGACTCCACACCTCCCTCGTGTTGGAAGCACCAACTTTTCATCTTGATGAAAAACAAGAGTAGAGGCCAAGAGGCAAATGAGTGAACGGCACTAGATATTGTCCATTTGCCCTTCTAGATCCATCTCCACTTTTCTCTCCTTGCTTTCTTCCCCACAGGGTGACATATACAAATGGCAGCAGAGAGCTCTGCACCCTCAGGCTTCCAGCAGAGTTGAGCTAATAGCAGGAGATAGATGTAGGAAGGAAAGTGGGGTCAGCACATTTATTTCCCTGGTTCCCTCCCAGTAAGTTCACCTCAGACTGGCTGTGTCCCTCAAAAGAGGGTTACTATCCTTCCTAATGCAGCTCTAGGGGACTCTCTCTTCTTCAAGGGTCTGAAAACCTCTCCTTCTTTTGTCCTTTTGGGCCTAGAAGCAGTGACATTTCTGCTGCTGTAGCACTAGGTTCTTGAACAACCCATAACATTCCCCTATATTGTGCCCACACCTTTGGAATTAATCCCTTTGTACAAAATTGCTTCTTGAATTATCTCAAGTTGAAATATCTGTTTCTATTGGGACCTGACTGACCCATTCACTGTGATTACATATTACTTAATACAATGTCTATGAACCAACACCCATACAAAGAGATTTTCTTAAGACGCCCATAAACTGAGAGACCTGGGTAATTCCCGGACCTGGGTAAAGTCCCAGGAAATTCCCTGTGGACTCAAAACCGGTTAACTGTTTGGAAGCACCTGAAGGGCTCAGAAAAACTGTTTATAAGAATATTTTCTGGTAACCAGGGAGAAAGAGGTCCAAGAGGGATGTGAAAAGTCAGGTGCATGCTTCTTCTGGTTGTAACTCTTGAACAATTTCTATGGAAAACCAAGAGAGAGCCAAAGGTTTGTCTAAAAACCAGGTTACTGAGTTAAGAGAAATATTAATCCAGCTTAGTGTTACCTTCTTGCAGGACCAATTTCCTTAAAACAATTTGAATCATTTGAATGGGTATGAATTTATAATCAAATGACCAACTGACCAGATACCCAGAGGGAATCCTAATATTTCTGGAAGAAAGAGGTTCTCGAAGTGAGCACAGGAGCATCACCTGGAAGTAGGACTGGCTATAATTTGGCAGGGCCCAGGGCAAAATGAAAATGTGGGACCCTTGTTAAGAAATTATTAAGAATTCCAAGACGGTGATAGCAGAACCATTAAACCAAGTACAAGGCTCTTCTAAGTGCAGGGCCCTGTGTGACCACACAAGTAGCCCACCCATGAAGCCTGCCCTGCCTGGAGGGTTTGTTACAACACAGACTGGGAGCCCTGCTCCCAGAACTTCCGATCCAGTGGGTCTGGGGCAAGGCCCAAAAATTTACATTCCTAACAATTTCCTGGGTGCTACTGATGCTGCTGTTTCAGGGACCACACTCTGAGAACTACCACCCTAGATAATATAGAATACAGGGAAAAAGAAAACCTCAGAATAAAATGAACACATGACCAATGTATTTAGAGCTTAAGCTGACCAATCTATATGGATTTTGTACTGAATATCACAGTGTATATCTACAATTCATAAAAAGGTAAATGTACTCAATTACAAATTTATAGATACAAATTTAATATCCTGAACGTTATTAACTGCCTGTATCACATTTAATTATTCCTTTTCCCAACAAATGCTTTTTGTCTACTTTATGCCAGGGTACTGTGCTTGCTCACGCATTATGTATTGAATAGGTCATAAATAAATGAGGATATTATTTAGAATAGTTATCTTGAGTATAGGGGACGGGGAGGTATGAAGTTCAGATAGGGAGAACACCCAGATAGGGAAATTAAAATGTGGGAATGCTATGTCATTTTTTATAAGCACAAACCTATTAGAAGCCTATTAAGAAAATATACCTTGACAAATATTTTGATTTTGATAAAATTGATACATAAAATAGAACAAGCATCATATCTCAGTGCTTTTTAAATGGTAGACAACTCATTTCAAGTAAGGAAGAAATATTTGGTTTTCATGGTTACCTACAAAAGTTTATTGAGAATTTTAAACTCCTGTCCTATATTGAAATACTCAGTATATAAACACACAGACAAAATCTTCAGAAGGTTTCAAATACTCCACTTGGAATAACCCAAGTTAGTTGTTAAGGAAATCAGCAAGTTTAGGGGGAATTTTTTTTTTCTGAAGGATTAACAGAAAGTTAGATATCCTTCTATGAAGATGACACTACCCCACTGTCACTTACAAGGTCTTACAAAGACACTGACTGTTTTCACAAACATCTCCAGCATCACAGCCTGCAAGAGTCCATGCCAGCTTCAGTGTTCTGGTTTCTCTTCCTGAATATACGGTGTAGTTAGCTATTGACCGTATATCATTACGATTTCAAAGAATGAAAAGTTCGCTCATGTGGAATGTAGGTATTCTTGACCTCTGAACTCCATTGTTCTGAAGCTGGGGAAAAATATGAGTATGGTGGTGATACTAAACAAATCTGATAAGGTCATGCTTGGCTTCAAAGGAAGACCAGTAACCAAGTGCACAATAGCCTGCAATTTCCAGTATATTCTTCTCTCTAAGCCTTGAGTGTTGATAATTAACTTCCTACTATTCTAAACTGAATTTATTGCTTTTTCAATTGCAATTTTAGTAAAATTACATAATTAAAATTTTAAAACTTATTATATGATATTCAAAAAATTAAATAAGTGATATTTTTCTCCCATGGCCTCCCTACCTCACACTTAAACATAACGATGAAAATTTATGTACCATATTACAAGGGTTTACTGGGAAGAACATTAATGAAGAATACCAAGAAAACTTTATGCTAGACTTCTAAAACATAAAAATAAACACAGGAACTCCAATTTCCAATAAAAATGCTCAAATCAAGGGCATTTCAACTGATGAATATTTACTATGAGTTTCTGGTAATTTTTTTTTTTTGTAAAGGCATCATTTTTTTTTCAAGCAAAGATCAAAGAATATTTTGTATCTGGTCCCCTGTTGATTTATATCAGTTTAACTGCCAATATTTCTTAATTCAGAATGAAATTGCACAGAGCTCAATTTATAAATATTTATGTATAAAGTTAACAACTGTGAACTGTAGTGGTGTGTCAAACTGTAAACACAGTCATGGAATATTGGTTCATTTTGAGAACAGATGTTATGCTATCTCCATCATGGGACTGATTGCAGGAGAAACAAGTCATGATTTAGTCTCTTGCTTTTTAGCAACTTTCAAAACAACAGGTAAATCTAGGGAGAGCAAAACCTGACACTTCAGTCCCCACTTTCCATGCCTGCCATAGTGACAGACATCACTAATTTATCCTAGAACTTCCTCAGAGCTCAGATTACCCTTGGTATAATT
Organism: Homo sapiens; assembly: GCF_000001405.40. Lineage (NCBI taxonomy): Eukaryota > Metazoa > Chordata > Mammalia > Primates > Hominidae > Homo > Homo sapiens. Next base: position 55,803,972 of record NC_000003.12, read on the forward strand.
TTCAACATGTGCTCCGGCAGTCACTGTCTATTGACTGGAAGTTATACAAGATTCAAGCTATTTTCTCTGTATTTAATTCTCGTATCTTGCAGTGGTTCTCAAAATTTTTTTATGTGTAGTATATTTTCAAATATTAGAAAGTCTGTAGCATTCTCAAAGGGATTAAGAGATTGAAAACAATTATAAATAAATTTCACCAACAATAATAATCGAATCCCTCTCACATCCTCTTGGTCTAGTAAAGTGGCCACAATTATCTGGTTCATTTTGTATCCAAGTTACCCTCAAAGGGTAACTTTACAGCTTGGCTACAGGCCTGCATTTACTCACAGAGTAAAGCTCCCATGTACCCATTAAACACATTCCTTTGGGTCCTCCTGGTGGTCTGCTTAGGAGAGTAAACTCTACTGTTAAGAGAATGGGGTGAGATGCGTCGGTTTGCCTTAGAAAGAACATTTTGGCCAATGAGTGTTAGCCTAACCCCAGAGACAGGATGATTAGGAGTCTACTGGTTGTTTGCTGTGAAAAACAACTAGGTATCCCTGTTTTATTTGCATTATTTCCTTTAATCCTCTCAGCACTGCTGTGAGAGAACTGAGGTTCAGCGAAGTGAGTTCCTTGCCTTGTGACCCTAAGAAGAACTGACAGAGCCAGGACTCTAATCAGGAGATATGGCTGACTTCAAAGCCAGTGTGCTAAGCCTGTCTGTAACTCCGCCCTCCGGTGACTAACAGAATCCAGGGACCTTCCATAGCAGGAATGGATCTTAAAAACCAACAGCCATACCCCAAAATGAAATAGCCACCATCATTCTTTTCACTGCTTCAGTCCGAGTTGGTTTTATTGAGGGCAGGGAATCCACTTCCTGCTTGGACCAGGTACCTGAAAGCAACTGTTCTTCTGCTTGCTTCAGGAAGTCTTTCTGAATCACTGGTCTTCCACTTGAAGTGTGGCAACTCATAGGAGATAAAGCAGATGAGAGGGCTTTGTAAACATTAAAAGCCACAGTGCCACACAATATGAATTAGTGTCAGAATTACTTAAATTTAGCCCTCCACCTTCAAACAGGAGCTATATTTTTATTCTCACTTTATAGGTGAAGCAATGGAGGAAGGAAGACAGGGACCCTACTAACCTTTATTGAGTACTTACTGCCAATGCTCCTCTAGACACGACATACATGAGATCATTTAATTCTCACAACAGGCACCAAGTGTATGTTTTTAATTCCTTCTGTTTAATTTTTATTACCTTGTCACCTACTATATGTTTTCCTTATTTAATTTACTTATCATCTGTGCCCTCCCCATCCCATTAGACTCTTCCTTAAGTGATTCAGATTTTGGTCTGTTTCATTTACTGCTCTATCTCTAATAGTGCCTGACATAGAGCAGATGTTCAATAAATATTAGTTGAGTAACTAAATGGAGGCTCAGAGAGATTCAGTACCTTCCCTGAGGTCACACACTTGGAACTGAGCCCTGTGTCATCTGTATCCAATCACCATGTGAACACTCCCAGCTCTGAACCTGGGGTTGCTCGAATGATTGACGAGTCCCACCAGCAAGCAGAAGACTGAGGACAGTACAGCCACATTTGGATATCACTTGGCATTGCATTTCACAGGAAAAAATTGTGACATTTGTCACAGGTAGGGAGGGGTGCTACCAGATGTGCTCTGAAATTATTGCTTATTCACAACAACAACAAAGATAGAAGTTTAGCCCAGAGATAGCAGACAGATTCTAGATTTGGAAAACCCTAAAATAAATGGTCCTGATCGGATTACACACCCAGAAACCCAGCTCACAATTCTTCCTTGATACTTTCCTCCTAGTCTTTGGCCCCTGTCTGGTTCAGATGCCTGTAATTAAACTCAACAGAAACTGACCAAGGGCCTACTCACGGCCACTTTTTGTCACCCACAGGTGGGAACTGGGGAAAATGTTCTGAAATATTGTCTACTATGAGGAGAAAGGCAATGAGACACTAAAGTTCATATGAAGCATTACAAAAATGATAGAGCATACAATAGAGTGCTGAGGAAGGAAAGCCTGTTATCTAAAAGCTTAAAGAAGATATGAGGGGCTGGGTATAGTGGTTCAATAATCCCAGCACTTTGGGATGCCAAGGTGCGCAGATCAATTGAGGTCAGGAGTTCGACACCAGCCTGACCAACATGGTGAAACCCTGTCTCTACTAAAAACACAAAAATTAGCTGGGCATGGTGGCATGTGCCTGTAATCCCAGCTACTCAGGAGGCTGAAGCAGAAGAATTGCTTGAACCCAGGAGGCAGAGGTTGCAGTGAGCTGAGATCATGCCACTGCACTCCAGTCTGGGAGCAAAACTCCTTCTCAAAAAAAAAAAAAGCAAAGAAGAAAAAAGAAGGAAGAAGAAGAAAGAAGAAGAAGAAATGAGAGAGGAGGGAGCTTGTGATCTGGGCTAGGAAGAGAGTCACTGTCCAAAGGAAGGAAGAATCACAAGGTCACCACCAAGCTGAAGCAGAGGAATCATAGATTCCAGAGGTCTAAGCAAAACTCAGAAGCAATAGAATTGAGCCCCGGGATTCTCACCCAGGGGTGATTTTGCTACACAGGTGACATTTGGCAATGTCTGGAGACATTTTTCACAACTAGGGAGGGGTGCTACTGGCATCCAATGGGCAGAGGCCAGGGATGCTACTAAGCATCCTACAAGACAAAGGACAGACCCTACAACAAAGAATTGTCCAGCCCAAAATGCCAATAGTGGCAAGGCTGAGAAAGCTTGACTCGAAAATCATAAGCTTTGAAGGCCAACACACCTGAGTTGGGGTCCCAGCTCTACCCCTAAGTAGCCAACTGACGTTGGGCAAATGACTTATCCTCACTCAGCTTCAGTGTGTTTATCTGTTAAATGGCAAATGCTAGTGGTAACTACTCCACAATGATCACTCCTTCATTCAGCAGGTATGCCTAAGGGGTCTCCTAAGTGTGGAGCTAAACGTGGAATTTGGGCATAAAAGCAATCAATGATACTAAAGAGGTAGAGGTGCTACTGAAGAGATACATGATGGCTAAAGAAGCTCCAAGAAGGATCATCTACCCTACACAAGAGAGATCAAAGACTTCCTGGAAGAAGTAGCATTTAATTCAACATGTGAAGGACGGTGAAGGATGACTCAGATAAAGAAGAGTGGATTAAATGAGATAACAAACGATACTCATCATGAGATGTATACATTGCACCAGGCACTAGAGTAAAAGTTTCTCTTCTTCCTAGGTACTTGGCTCCTTGTTTAGACATTTTCTAAACTTCATTACAGTTGATATGGCTGTGAGACTATGTTCGTGCCAATATAATTGAGAAGTGATGTGTTGATTTCTGGGCCTGGGATTTTAAGTCATTGATTTCCCAATGACTTCTTTTTGTTCCTTCCTGAATGCAAAATAGGGAAGTGGCCCAGACCCAACTTCAACCATGCTAGGGCAGGGGTAAGCAGAGTTCTTCTGTAAGGGGTTATATAGTAAATATTTTCAGCTTTGTGGGTCATATGAACACTGTTGCAATTACTCAGCTCTGCTACTGTAGCACAAAAGTATCTACAGTATACAAGTGGGTGTGGCTGAGTTCCAATAAAACTTTATTTGTAAAAATAAAATTAAAGGACTGGATTTGGCCAGCCGCAGTTTTCTAATCCATCTGCTCGAGATGGAGGAGCAATAAGATGGAAGGAACCTGGATTTATGATGGATAACGTGGTCTAGAACTTCCTTATCAACCTAGACTCCTTCCTTTGGAATTGTTAGGAGAGAAAGAAGTAAATATATGCTTTAAGCCTTATAACTTAGCCTTGCCTTAACTAACACATGGGCTTTTCAGGCTTCTTTGGGCTTATTTAGACTGTCCTTGGAACCCAATAATTATGTACATATAATAGAGTCTTCCGCTAAAATGACCTCTGAGCATGAGGCTTTTGGAAGTAAGGCTGCCTTCAGGCTGGAGGGAGCTCATGCTTTAGCATCAAGGGTTGAGGGTTAAATTCTCAGCACTCATTCCCCATCCAGCTGAGTGAAGTAAATTGGAGACATCGTCATCATTTCAAAATTCAAGGTTTATAGAAAACCTAATAAATCATCTAAGTCTGGCTTCCTGACACCTACTGGTGTCCTCCTGGAAACTCCCCTCTAAGTAAGTGGATGGTGAGTGCACCAAATGAGATGAAAGAGCAGACAAACTCTGGGTGCTTGCCGGCAGGTCATGCTGGCTCAATGGGGCCTAGTGACCTAAAATAAGATGAAAGTAGAATTTCTTGTGGGCCTCTGGACCAAACTCAATGACGGCGTTAATTATTTCTGGTTTGCCTATGGCTGTTTTTGTTGGGAAAGTAGGAATGCAAAAGTATCCCAGGCAGATCTTTTTCCAAAAGAGTTTGAAACAAAGTGATCACAATTCTTTTTACAGTCACAAACCATTTACATCTGTAACTATTTTAGGTAACCCCACCTTCAACAGAAAGTAATCATTGCCAATTCTAAATCTCTAGACTATGACAAAAGAGAGCTAAACCAGTCAGAGGCACTGGGAGAGGAGGGAGGGTTGGCAGTGCCAAGATGTTTCCATTAGAGGGAACTTAAAAAGCATCCAGTTTAGTTTGATTCTCCCATTTCACAGATGAAAAAATTTTGACTCAGAGAGGGTAAATGTTCAAGGTCAAAAAACAAAATAATATATTATTATACCATAATTTTATATATATATATATATATATATATATATATATATATATATAACGTATAACTAAACATATATATATATATATATAATTGTGAGAGAATATGACTCTACTAGTCCTTTTCCCCTTTTGTTTTCTATATTGAAAAGATCCAGAGGTAAATGTGGATCTCAACTTTTTAATCAATTTTTGTGACCAAATCACAAACTCTTATAAAACTTGGAGTTAATAAAACCTCCAGAATATTGATTTATTTATTAACTTCACTTAGTTGTCTACTAAGAAAAATGGTATGAACAAGTAAGATATTTATACCTGGTCTGGTCAAATAGCAGCTATGTCCCCCAGTGCAGTCTTTTTAAAAAAATCCTACAGAATTCTATGGCTTTCAGAAATAAGATGGAAAAGAAAGGAAGTACTAGTTACATTTAGAGTCAGATGTAAAGATGCATCATAAACAAAATTCACTTTTCTGTTTCAAATATCCCTGTACCTTTTAAAATTGATATATAATATATGTACAGTGTTTTGGAATACATGTGGTGTTTTGTGGCATGCATAGAATGTGTAACGATCCAGTCACAGCATTTAGGGTATCTATCACCTGGGAATTTATCATTTGAGGACATCAGTCTAGGCAAGGATTATATGGCTAGTATCTGAAAAACACAGGCAACAAAAACAAAAGTAGACAAATGGGACTACATTAAACTAAAAAGCTTATGCATAGCAAAGGAAACAATCAACAGAGCGAAGAGACAACCTGTTGAATGATTATCTCAATAATAATACTATCTCAGTAGTATTTGCAAACTATTCATCTGACAAGGGACTGATATCCAGAGCATATAAGGAACTCAAACAACTCAATAGCATAAAAATTTTAACTTGATTACCTCCGTAAAACAATAAGAAATAAAATAAAATAATAACCCCATTAAAAAGTGGACAAAGAACATAAAAGGATATTCCCCAGCACTTTTGCAGGGCCATTTGTCTATCAACACAACCAAAGTATCAAAGTCCCCACTGGGCTTCCCTACAAGCTGGTTGGCATCCGTGCCTCAAATCACAGAGGTTTGTGGTAAGAAATTAGCTGGAACAACTGCTGGCCACATTTTTGATCCCCCAAACTGCAGGGAAAATGCATGTATCAAGTGTTTTCAACACATTTTCAGATACACCAAATATGTTACAATAAAGAGCATCTCAGGTAGAGGAAAACAGTTTTGTTAGTTCTTGAGTCTAGTGTCAAAGGGGCAGGGAAGGCTTACACATGAAAAGCAAAGATGTACTTCACATTAAATAATCCACGATGACAAGATTTTAAGGAGATAAGTCCTTTTCTTCACAAGATATGTTTAACTCACTGGCATGTCTACAAATCATCAGGCAACTACTGTACATTTTAAAAATCCATCTTAGTCCTCCATTCATGAAAACATTTTCATATTCTGACATGTGCAAATATCCCTGCTCCTTTTTTTTCTTTTTTGGTTACACACAGAAATCATATCATAGAAGAAAATCCAAAATATAAAGATAAGGAAAAATAAAAACAACAAACTATAATGTCATCAACCCAAAATAAATAATTTTCAGACACTGGTAAATATCCCTCCAAATATTTCTATCTTTTTCTCTCATGTCTTATTCCCCTCTTCTCTCCTCCAAGTATATAACACACAGACATACACATCCTAAAATGAATGCACACTCTACATAGTAACCTGAGTTTTTTTCACTCAGTGATATATGTAGAAGGTCTCTCTCTCCCTCTTTTTTTTTTTGTTTGAGACGGAGTTTTGGTCTTGTTGCCCAGCCGAAATGCAATGGCATGATCTCAGCTCACTGCAACCTCCGCCTCCCAGGTTCAAGCGATTTTCCTGCTTCAGCCTCCCAAGTAGCTGGGATCACAGGCATGTTCCACCACACTGAAAGTTTTGAACTTTCAGTAGAGACAGGGTTTCACCATGTTGGCCAGGCTGGTCTCAAACTCCTGACCTTAGGTGATCCACCTGCCTTGGCCTCCCTAAGTGGTGAGATTACAGGCGTGAGCCACCACACTTGGCCTAGAATATCTCTTAATGAAAATAAATGCATATCTATATGATACCTTAATGGGTATATTGTTGTTGAACAAATAAGAGATGTCTCTCCTTCCCTCTAGTATCATAAATGATTCTTTAATAGATGTGGATATCCATGTACCTAGATCTTTATGTATCTGTCTAGTAGTTTCCACAGGCTAAATTCATAAAAGAATAGTCACACCAAAGAATATAAATATTTTAACGTTTCAGAAACCTACAATTCCCATGTTAGGAGGAGTGCTGTTCAGAGCTGTCAGAAAGAACTTGGTGATACGGAAAGGTTCTATATCTGCACTATCTGATACAGGAGCCACTATCCACATGTGGCTAACATGCATTTAAAATGCCATTAGGATTAACTTTTAATTTGCTTTAATTTTAATTTAAATAGCAATACATGGCTAGGGGCCACCATATTAACATCACAGATTCTAGATCAAGTCAGTATTACTTGAACTTTTAAGAGTAAATGTGCCATATCAAGCATGCCTTTTCTTAATTAATCCCAAACGCAACCTTGACATTAAAGAACATCATCTTTCCTATCAAAGAGCTTTTAGGTACTCTCTCTCTCAAGTGGTCTTCACAGTACCTTCTGAGAAAACAAGGGCAGGCGTTATTTTTTTCCATTTCATACATGATGAAAACTGGAGATCACAGAGGCAAAGTAATTCAGAGTAAGTTAAAAGAGGCAAATGGCACACAGTCCATGTTTTCAGCTCTTTGTCCAATGTTCTTTGCTTATAAAATTAGTCTACATTACCTGAGCCTTACACAGATGGAGTTCTGCCAAAACTGAGCTCAATTTCTTGCCACCTAGCCTTTGCCTATGTGGTTCCCACTGCCAGGGATACTGGTCTTGTTCCTACTCCTTTGCCTACCTACCTGCTCTTTATCTTCCAGAAATCAGCTTAGATATCACCTTGCTTCCTCCAGCAACCTTTCTCTGACTATGCACCCCCAAGGCCTGTGTTACGTATCCCATTCTCAAAATTCTGTAGCATTCTATTCTCACCCTAGGCATAATACATTTCTTCCTTCCTCACAATTGCCTATTTGTCTTTTTTAAATTTAATGTTATTTTATTTTAAGTTCCAGGATACATACACAGGATGTGAAGCTTTGTTACATAGGTAAACGTTACATAGGCCATGGTGGTTTGCTGCAACTATCAGCCCATCACCTAGGTATTCAGCTCCACATGCATCAGCTGCTCATCCTGATGCTCTCCTTCCCCTGCCCACCCCACAGGCCCCAGTGTATGTTGCTCCCTTCCCTGTGTCCATGTGTTCTCATTGTTCAGCACCCACTTATAAGTGAGAACATGTGGTGTTTGGTTTTCTGTTTCTGAGTTAGTTTGCTGAGGATAATAATTGCCTATTTCTTTATCTGAAATCGGAAGCTGTGCTAAAGCAGGGGCCATGCCATTCTTGTTTACTTCAAGACCTTCAGCAGCTAGCAAGGTACCTTCTCCCATAGAGGGGACCTCGACAACCACTTGCTGAAGCAGTAAATAAAAGTATAATAGAAGAAGGGACCCCCACAGCATGTTTGTTATCAAAGAGCAAGTATTCTGAGGTTGGAAAAATAACTTCAAATAATCCATTAATGTGATACTCAAAAGAATACATAATCAATTATAAATATAAACTAATCCATCACGCAAATACTTGTTGTGTATCCATGATGTTCCAGACATTGGATTCCAGATTCCAAAGATACAATAGAGAATAAGAGAGTCACAATTACTGCTATAATCTGATGAAACAGGCAATCCACAGGGCACCCAACTACAAGTGGGAGGAGGTATGATGAATGAGCTTGAGAGGGCAATCAAAGAGAACAGGAGGGAGGATCTACTTAAAAGCGGGGGAAGGGAGCATTCCAAGCACAGAGAGTTTGACTATTTTATTAAAAGCTTGGTAATAATAAACACAAAACCCAGGGTCATGGGTGTATCTCAGGGCAAGGCACACAATAGGAGAGGGGGAAACCCCACACAGACATAATGTTATAATTAATCTGCTGACTCTTGGTGTGATGGTCAGTTTGTGTTTGTGTGTACGTGTGTGCATGCATGTGTGTGCATGTGCACGTGTCTTGCATGCTGCCTGGACCAATGATGACAGTATGGCATGAATCAAGTATCATGGTGAAATTAACTCCATAACCTAAGGTCCATTTGAAAGACGAATGAGTGCCAGGCACTGTGTTAAGCACTGTACACTTTCTTATTTCAATTCTCATAAAAGTCCAATGAGAAAATACTGTCATTATCCCTATTTTGCCTATTAAGAAACCGAAGCACAGAAAAACCAAGTACCTTGCTAATGTCCTATGGAAAGCAAATGTTAGGAGTTGTACCAAGGCAGCTTGACTCCAGAGCCACAGTCTTCTAAACCACTGCTATACAAACCTTCTCAGGCTATACTAGTTCGGTTACCTATGCGTCCAATACAGTATAGCTAGGTTCCTCCTAGCCACACTGGGCTATTTAAATTTGAATTAATTAAAATTGAATAAAATTTAAAATTCAGTTGCACCAGCCATATTGCAAGCACTCAGAGGCCACGTGGAGCAAGTGGTTACCCTCCTGGTGAGTGCAGATGGAGAACTCATCACCACAGAAAGTTCTACTGGACAGCCCTGGCCTACATGATTGCAGAATCAAGAACATAGCTCAGGTCAGCTCATTCCTTGGTTCTGTGCTCGTTCCCTTACTCCACACTGCTTCTCAGTGATCTTCACAGTCCTTACAGAATCTGTGCTCAGGAAGGTCCTTTGAAAATCTGCCCTGCACTGAGCTGGAAAGGTACAAGGTGACTGGGAACTGTCTGACCAGGTAGCCAGCTTTCTATGCTAGCCTTCTTCTCAGTACTGGCTATTTTTTCCCTAACAAATGAAGAAATAAAAATTATGTAACACAAAAATGTTCAGCATGTGTAAATAGTTACACAAGAGAAAATAAAAGGCTTGCCACAACACCTTCAAAGAGCCAGCCTTAATATGAATGCCAAATTTTTATCATTCCTTCAAAATTATTTCTCCTATTAAATGCAAGTCCCTCCATTAAAGCCACATTGGCTCATTTAGTCAACCACTCTCCTAGCCTTAGGCAGCACACACTTTTCAACTTCTTCTCATGTAACCCTCTTGGCTACTGGGAATGCTACAAAACCCACTTCAAAGCATGTGAAAGGCGGGAACAGGATCTACATGGCCAAAAGGAAAAGATTCCAGGGATGAAGTAAGATATGAAGTTTGGAGAGGAAGATGAAAGCATTTATAAACATTTTTGCAAATGCATTAGTACCAGCAAATTGAAGATGAAACAGAATGAAAAACAAAAATCTAAGTGTATCTCTGGCATTCCAATCAAAAACTCTTTCCAGGAACCTGATTATTCAAGGGTCCCAAAATTCAGGAAGATTTAAATTAGAAGATTTTGGTTCCTAGACATGCATAATCCAACCTTCAGGGTTATTTCATGTACATTTTCTCCTTTTGATTTTCATGACAATCCTATACGATACACAAAGCCAGTGGTAATATACTCATTTTGCAGGTAAGAAAACCAAGACGAGTCAAGTTTATAAATTGCTGGAGAATCCACATATGATCTAGGATCAAACCAAGATTTCCTGCTGCCAACTCGGAAGAGTTTTTGCTCTGCTGTACTGCATTTTAACTTTATTTTTACATTTTGAAGTATGAATCACATTCTCTACTCTTCCCTTTCTGTTCAAATAGGGCTTATGTAAAGAAAGCCTTTGAAAACCATAGCTCAGGCATGAAATAACTAGGGAAACAGAAATGTTGGCTGAGGTGGTCAATCTTTCTATAGAAGTAGTTACATGACAGATGACAAGTTGTAAGATATATGTGGGGTGGTAAATGTGGGCTATTTATTTACAAGCCTGCATGAAACCTGGATTAATATATGGCTCTAGTCACTCTTCTCCATGTTCCACATGAAAGCATTTTTCCTGACCCTCTACTCCTTGTCAAACTCACAATCGTGTGGCACATGCTGGAACTCAATGGATACCATGCAATGACAAAGTCATCTAAAATAGGCATGGTGTTTGGCAAGAAGTCTGCTCTTTACCCCTCTGTCTGGTTAAATCTTTCTCATCCTTTAAGTCTATGGTCTAGACAAGATACCCCATCCAGAATCCTCCCTTGATTCCTTAGCACTCTGACCCCTATTGTAGCAGCTGCCCATCCCATCTTACTGGGGCAGTCCACTTGTTGTAATCCCCTGTTTAGTCTGTCTCCACCAACAGACTCTCAGCTCCAAAAGGCAAACTCTTTAAATACTGGAATGGGGCCTAACATAGAGCAGCCACCAGTAATGCTTATTGAACAATTACTTCAATAACTTCAATTAGGGTTCAAATATACCAAAGATGCCCATTTAGAAATGCACTGAGACATCTACTCTTAGTGGGGTGTCATAGGCAGAATCTTGGCCCCTGTCATTTTGTTCCCTACTGTTACACCCATTAATATATTATGTTACCTGGCAAAAGGGACTTTGCAAACATAATTAAGGTCACTGACGAGCTTTGCCTTTAAAACAGGCAAATTATCCTGGATTATTCTGGCGGGACTAACATAATCATCTGAGTTCTTAAAAGCAGAAAAGGAAGTGAGAGCGATGTGAAGCATAAGAATGCAGTCTGCCATTGCTGAGTTGAAAATGGAGCGGCCACGTGGAAAACACAAGAAGGCAATCAATTCTGCCAACAACCAGGAGCTTGGAAGGGGAGCCTGAGTCCTGGATAAGGACTGCAGCCTCAGCTGCTTAACCGAATTTCAACCTGTGAGACCCTGAGCAGAGAATCTAGCTAGAATTCTAACCTACAGAAACTGAGATAATAAACATGTGATATTTTAAGCTGCCACCTCTGTGTAATTCGTTATGGCGGCAATAGAAAACTAACGCGGGGGATTCCCCAGATGTAGCGGACTCTAACCCAGGATTTGACTGTAAGACTTCAATTGGAAAGTTGACAGCCTTGTCAAAACTGGTAAGGGGGTAAAGAAGTGAGCCAGAAAAGGAAAGGAAGCCAATGCAAAATGCCTTCGTGAGTAAGCAGGTTACCACTCTAAGAAACGGAGCTCAGTCCCACTGGGAGCCTCTGGAAAACCTACCAGACTGCCTCAGGTATCTTCTTAGAGGGTAGGCAGCTGGGATTCTGCTCCACCAGTTCTCACCTGGCATTGGTGGAGGACTGCTCCCAGGGACTTTAACTCTGCAGCACTCTAGCCTTTTTATATTTTCTTCTCCCTTGCAGTCTTTCAGACTTTCAGAGGAAAGCAATCTGATAACATAATTCCTCAGAAAGTATTAATATGACTTAGAGAAAATGTGCAATGGTTAACCTTCTCAACAGTGAATCCCAAATGGGGGAATTTTAAGCGTGTATCGGATGGGAGAGGCTTTCCTAGTCTCCCTACTACATCTCCCTACTCCCAAGCCTCCATCCCTACTTGCTGCTGCATCTGCTGGCAAGGCTTGTCTGTCCTGAAAGCTGCTGAAAGTTAGCATTTACTAGTGACATCACTTAGTGAATATGAGTGTGAGCCTTATCAAAACTGTGACCCATGTGGCCCCACTCCATACCAATGTGCACATCTTTAACCACTTTGGGCATCTTGAATGAAAGCCACATAGATACAAAGCATTATTCCCATTTACTAGTAATGATGGTAATAAATCCAAAGAACAAGAACAAAACCTGATGCTTGGGGACATTCTGAGTATGTAGCAGACTCCTTGAAGGAACTCATTTCTTAGCACAAGCATAACTGCACTTATGCCAGATGCAATCTCATTTCCGCACATAATTCCCATTGTTTTAAGACAATTCAAATCCCATCTTTCCTCAGAGGAAAGGCTGTGATTGCAAAACAGGAGTTTTTTACAGCAGGGATAAATTGGGTTATTCTACAGAACTATTTTATCTGGGGAAAACAAAAACAAAAACAAAAAAAAACGAAAAACACCCCAAGCAGGCAAAGCAGGCCTAAAGGAGACTCCTGTAGGTTGCTATGGACAATCAGACCTGGCCAGGTAGAAATTCCTTACATAAATCCTGAAAGAGACTTGAAAAGATTTTCTGCTGTCTGGCATGTGCAGCAGTGCAGAGAAAGTGACGAGTGAGCTACCTGACTGTCAAATGTGTCAAGATTCCTCAGAATATTCACATCAGAGGCTAGTCTCAGGCTCCACTGAGCACACGATGCTTCAAATAACCACTTTCAAAGGTAAGGCTTGTAGGACAGGAGGGGGTTTCTACCCGTCTCCAATAATGTGGGTTATTCACTACTTGCTAGACCCTGGTTTAAGCACCATTCACGCAATAACTCACAACCACCTTCTACTATTATTCTTATCCCCATTTTGCTCCCAAGTGAGGCTCTTGATCAGGTCACTTTCCCAAGGTCAAAACAACTGAGATCTGAACCCAGCTCTGACTTGCTACTCTGGTCCCTGTTGCAATCATTTCCAAGCTTTTAGTGTTTCACATCTAACGTGCACAGGTTCAGGAAACAAATGGCTGAGCCTTTCCAGCAGTGAGGTGGGCAGCCCTCTGCTGCCTCTCAGCCTTGACTTGTGCCACAGCATCCCCAATTGGACACTCCTGAGAGTTCACCCAAGGGATGGGCGGCCTTCAGCTCATCACGTCTAACCTCTCCTCTTTCATTCTAGAAAGCATTTCAGGTTGCAAATAAGCGATATTTATATTGTCATAAGAATAACCCTGAATTGACTCATATATTTATTAGAAAGTCAACTACTCCCAAACCTCGGTTGAGGCACTAATGTGTAGGGGTTATCTCCTTGGGCTCAGGGGCCAAAAGAACTTCTGAATTCACCTGCTTTATTCACAAGTCACTTGCAAGGCAAAGCAGTTAAGTTATCTGAGTCTCAGTTTCTTCATCTGTCAGGTAGACCATTTTATAGTATCCGTTCATGGTGAGGATCAAATGAAATAACGCACGTAAAGAGCTCTGAACAATATCTGGAACACAAACAGCCTTCAGTAAATGTTAGTCTCATTATCACCATTATCATCTTATTATTTTCTGTAGTGGCAAACCTCCAGCTGATGAGGACAGAGCAGCTCCAGGTGAGTTAAAGGAACAGCCTTCCAGTTCTCTGACTGGATGAAGTCTCAAACTTGGCCTCTCCTTATTGACCTTTCGAGCCAGCCATTTGACTGCTTGTCAGCACCTCTTTCACGAGGCACCTCACTTCTGGGGGATCATAAGTAAGATTTAAGGTCTGAACGATGGGACTGTCAAGTGAAATTCCTCCTTTCTTTTGGCAAAACAGCCAAGACCTTCCAGAGCTGTCCTGGAAGGAGACCATACCCTGAATGTTTCAATACATTATGGTGACATTTATGCAACACGGATTCTGTGTGCCAAGCTCCACACTCAGAGCTGGGGCCTCACAGCCAAATCAGCCTAGTCCCTGCCCTGGGTAAAAGCATAGTGAAGTGCCTCTCATTTCATCAGAATAGAGTAGGAGTCTGAAATAGTCAATAAATCCTAAAAGTCAGAATTAAAAAACAGTACAGTACTACTAACTTTTATACCTCGATGAATGATATCAATGTATATCTCACTCCAGATCAAATATTCAGCAATTATCAAATGCTATTACACTGATAAGATTTCTATGAAACACACAGTACAACAGTATAAGAATGTTTCTTCTTTCAAAAGAAAAACAGAAACACAGAAGCTGACCTTCTGCTCAGATGAATCTAGGTGTGAACTCTCACTGGCTACTTGCAAGCTGGGATACTTAGCAAGTGACCTAACTATCTTGACTTTGTTCTCCACTTCTGCAAGATGGAGGCATTGACACCACCAACCACAGAGGGGTGCTACGTGTGTGCAATGTGACAAGGCAGCTGAAGCACTTAGCACAATGCCTAGCATTCACCAATTGTTAGAAATGCTTCTTATTTTTAAAGTGCCTCCAAACTCACTACATAGATTCACTGGCAACAATTCAGCAAAGAAACTTCTAATGGATTCAGAGAAGGAATACGTTTAATATTTTCTAATGGAAAGCATTTCAGAGTTAATGTATATAACTTGTTTCCGCAAGTCCACAAGTATCTTTATGTCTACTTGGGCACATAGGAAGGAACAAGCTTTTACAGATACCAGAGTACCTTGCAAGATTGGCTGGCACTGGTGCAAGCTAGTGTGGGTCACTCCATAGAAATTCATTTTTCTGCACTAGCTCTTAATGGTCCTTCTCTGCTGGGCATTTTCGGCTATGGTTTAAAGTAAATGCATTCAAATAAACATCTTTTGGTGCCAGAAATGCCATGGGCACATACTTTTCTTTCAATGGTCCTGGGAAGTGGTTTGTTAAACTATTGTTCTCGATTAAAAACTCGTGTGTTTGTTCAGTCCAATATGGGTCACCGCTTTGAGTGAAAGATCCCTTGACATGGCAAAACCTCGACTTGTGACAAGCCAGTGCCAAGTATGTCTTAACCAGATGCAGGCCAGGGTTTGATTAGCAGCCACTGAATTCCATGTAAAATCAGATAATGATGGTTTTTCGCCTTTCTGTTGAGCAAATATCCTCAGCTTTTAATCAAGTCTATACATGAAAACTCCTCTATAAATAACTTTATGCAGTACAATGGTTTTAAAACTATGGTTCATCTCAACTTTCCTGACCTTTGACTGCTTAATCTGAGAAGAACCTGTGCAATACCAACTAAAAATAAAGGAACTACACTATTTATTTTGGCAGATTCCATAAAGATATAATAGAGGGACATGTGGTGAGTGGAAATTCTCTACCACACACAGAGAGAAAAGAAAGGAAAGGCTCTGGAGCCCATTTTTGTTCTCCCACTTGTGGGATAGCATCTATTAGACAATGATGATATTAGGACGGCAGAGACAAGTGCCGCTTTGGAATGCTGCACCAGACTCCATGGCCATGCACAGAAGCCTTCTCTGCCCCGTTTGATGTCCAAAGGGTCCAACTCAAACCTGGGAAACATGAACCTTTTCAGAGAGGCTGGGGTCTCAGCCTGGGCTTCCTCTCCTTTCTTGTGGGTACAATTTGGGCATCTGAAGTTAATTACTTGCAGGTGCATTTTGGCTGCGTGCAATGGAGGGGGGTTCCCAATTAGCCTCTTGCAGGTGTAATTAGCAATTTCACCTCACTTTGAGGGGGCAAGTGGATAATTGTGCCCATGAGGTTGTTCCTAAAGGGGTCTAGCAGAATGCCCATTGCAGACTGCTGTCTGGAGAATAAGCTCCATGAAATGGGATGCTGAGCATTCAGGAGTAAGTGTCAGGTGTCCACGTGGGGTCTAGAAGTGGAGCCCCACATGGAGGGTGGGGTTAGGAGTTCCTTCTGGTTCTTCACATCCATAAAAGAGAGTGGAGCCACAAAACAGCATTGAGAAACAAGGACCTCAGGCAGACTCTCTGAGGCATAAGGGAGTAAATACTTTGGCCTGATGACATTGAGTAATGCAAGAAAAACTAGCTCAGAACGGGAGTGGACCAGAACTACAGAATTAACATTTTGTAGAACAAAAAAAGCAAAGCAACTCAGTGAAAATAAATTATTATTAACTTTGCCATAAGCCTTACACTTAAAGTGTTGTCACAGAAATCAACTCACGTGAGCTCATAAACTTAGTTATAATATTCAAAATTTTAATAACAACACTTACTGAGCACTTATGGTGTCTGACCTTATTCTGAAAGCGTGTGTGTATTCAACCGATGCTCTTAACAGACTGCTTTAAAGACTCGCTCTACCCATTTTAAAGAAGATAAATTGAGGCACAGGGAGATCAGGTAGCATACCCAAGGTTACACAGCGAGTAAGTAGTGGAGCCAGATCTCCAAGCCGGGCAGGGCACCAGATAGGTCACTACTCTGGGTGAGAAAATGTTCAAACAAGAAGATGGAATCAGGGAGTTGAGGCTTGCTCTGCAGGATGCATCTATACAAAATCATTAATTGCTTCATTCATTTGTTCAACCATCTGATCACTCAAGGAACATTTAGTGAGCCCTGGGCCAAGCTACTGCGCTGGCATAAGTGTAACGGAGAGGGAGACAGCCTTCTTAGCCCCAGTGTCAGGCTAATGTTTTATAACTTGAAGGTTTCCTTGGCTGCTTGTTCAGTGTTGGGAAGAAAAATGGGAGAGAGCAAGAGAAGAAGGAAGGAAACAGAATGAGGAAAAGAGACAGGTATGAAGGGTGCTAGAGCGTGTGAAGAAGGGGTAAAAAAAAGAAACCTTCAAAATGAGTTTTTCTTCTGAAAATGAATCCTTTTATGAGGGGGAGAGGAGAAACCACATCAACTGAACAGTGAGATTAGACTGATGAATGTGGAGGAGAAACCCTACTGTTCCTCCAGATGATTGCTTGCTTTAACAAGAATAGGTGTGCAATAGGACTGCCAAAAGTTATTCCCCATGTTAAAATCTGAAAACCAAAATGACCCCATCTCTGGCTCGCCGGCCACTGTGGTCTGTAGAGGGGCTAATTCTGAGCACTTGAGTTCTGGGAAACCCATCAAACACGTGGAAATGAGCTTGATGAGAATCGCTAGATGTGAAGGGGCTGAGTGCTACTAAGACAAATTCCACTGCCCCATTCCCTTACTGACCAACCACCTATATTTTATCATTTTTATTGAAGCACACTTTACCAGCGTCATTACATATTAACCTGTGTTGAGATTGAAACAGAAGATTCACAGTGATGCACCCTAAAGGATGTGCAAAACTTGAGAGAACACCAGGACCAAAAGAAACCTAACTTGTTTTCTGACAAAGCTGATGGTCATTCTAACAAGAGCTGATGTAGCATGCATGCAAATGTCTCACAGGGACCACCATTCAGTCCTCATGATGAACTTATGAACAGCTATGACTCCATTAACCTAATAACACCTAATACATACATATTGAGAGCTTCTGTGTGTCCCACACTGTGCAAGGCCCTTTATGGAGACTATCTGATGATGGAGAATATCTCTCAATAATCAGTAGATTACCATAGGCTGGGGCTCAGAGAAGTCCCACACCTTGCCTAAGGTCACACAGCTGGCAGGTGTCAGGACAGAGAGAGAATGTGTACATTCAGGTGTGTTCATGCTATGCTCCCAGCATTCACATGGAGTTGGTTAAAAAATGATCTTTCCTTTGATGTTTCCTAAGACTTCATTTAAAACTTCAGATTTTTTTTTCTTTTTCTGAGAGGGTGTAAAGGATATTTTCACTGTAAAAGTCCCCTTTGCTTTACTGGTTTCATTAAGTAGCTGGGCATTTATTCTATTGGCTTATTAAAGCCTTGCAAGTGTACATTTTTAAATGTTCTGAGATTTGAAATTGACATGGTGCAGTTGTTCAAGAGATTGTGAACTTGGCATAGCGTTAGTCATCAAAGAAGTTTTGACTTTGGCATGGTGATAGTCTTCCAAAATATTTCCTTTTAAGATCCTCACTTATTCTAAAAAGACTTAAAATCAACTAACACATGGGGCCTGTTTCTGAAATTTATGTTGCTACAATATAATCTTCAAGTTAGTCCTTTAGGGCTAAGACCTGTTACACCCCTTAATTAAATTATCTTGTTTTATTATGTACAGCAATGAAAGTAGGGACTCGGTGACCCACTCAGTGAGCATGCTTAATTGGTTTTTTCATCCTCATCATGGTTCTTATCACCAGCTGGACTGTTCTGACTTACAAGAATTTTTTTTTCTTTTTTTTCTTTTTTTTTTTTTTGAGACGGAGTCTCGCTCTGTCGCCCAGGCTGGAGTGCAGTGGCGCAATCTTGGCTCACTGCAAGCTCCGCCTCCTGGGTTCACGCCATTCTCCTACCTCAGCCTCCCCGAGTAGCTGGGACTACAGGCACCCGCCACTCTCCTACCTCAGCCTCCCGAGTAGCTGGGACTACAGGCACCCGCCACTATGCCCGGCTAATTTTTTGTATTTTTGGTAGAGACGGGGTTTCACCGCGTTAGCCAGGATGGTCGCGATCTCCTGACCTCGTGATCCACCCGCCTCGGCCTCCCAAAGTGCTGTGATTACAGGCGTGAGCCGCCGCACCGAGCCCCAAGAATTTTTAATAGCCATCATGCTGCCTAGACTCGTCATGGCAAACCCCTTCTTCTTTTTCTTCATTCGCCAATCACACATGGCTTTGCCAATATCATCTGGGCTAAACTAATGAGGTCAGGAATTGTGCAGTGCCTTTCATTTCTATTTTAAAAGACATGAAGGAGTCATTTGGCCTCTTTGTGCTGAGTTAGTAGAGCAAAACTGGGTCCACTCAATTACATTTTAAGTCCATTGTAATTGAGCTGGCTTCATGAGAGAGCTGGCCTCATGAGAAAGCTGGCCATGGGCACTCACCCATCTGAGTGATTTGAAGTGACCTCAGAGAGTTCACTTGCTCCAAGGCTTTAAATTCCCATCATTCAAGCTGGACCACATGCAATGTTCTTTTAAAATCCCAATATCCTCCCAGAGGGAGTACATTTTCTGCCTTCATAGTGTTCACCTCTTGTCTTTGTTATCCCAGTACCCTTCATACTTTGGCAAATGGCCTTCCTACCATACCCTGCTGTCCTGGTAAACATCTTAGGCATGGGTCCCCCTCCTCCCTGTCTCAGGGTGGGCATTTTACCCAGCCTGAGTCATTCATAGTGCATGCCCCTCCTCCTCCTCACCCCCACAACAAATGATTGGTTTAGACATGGGCTTTGAGAGGGACGGAGAAGGAAGTCAATGACCTGGCCTACTGGAATTGAGAAGCTTTCTCTAAATCCATAGATGAGTAGCCCAAATGCAAAAGAGGGGACACAGGGTATGGCAGATACTATAACATACTACTTACTAAACTCATTTTTTCTTCTTCCTGGTTTCATTTTCCAGATCCCATCGCTCCCATAGGGAGCCATATGACTGACTTCTGTTTAATGAAGAGTGAGTGAAAATGACGTGCCCCACTTCCAGTACAGCCCTCAAATTCCCAATTGTATTAGTTTACTTGGGCTGCCATAACAAGATACCACAGACTAGGGGACTTGAACAACAGAAACTTATTTCTTCACAGTCTGGAGGCTAGACATCCAAGATCAAGGTGTCGGCAGATTCAGTTTCTCCTGAGGCCTCTCTCCTTTGGCTTGCAGATGGCCACCTTCTTGCTGTGTCCTCACATGGTCTTTTCTCTGTGCACATGTAACCCTGCTACCTCTATGCATGTCCCATTTTCTTCTTCTTCTAAGGATGTCAGTCATATTGGATTAGGGCCCTCCTGAACAAGCTAATTTTAACTTAATTTTCTCTTTAAAGACCTAACCTCTAAACACAGTCATAGTCTGAGAGACCAGGATTTGGGCCTACAACATAGAATTGAGGGGGTGGCCAAAATTTTGCCTCTAATACTATTCGTGATTCTCCAGGCTCTCTCCATTTCTACCATCTGGATATCAACACACAAGTGGAACTGGAAGCTGTGAGTTGAAGATGGCCAACCTTCCATCATCCAGGCCCCCATAACACCCATGTCAGAACAGAGACTCCTGTTAACCTGGACCTTCCTTGGACTGTTTATATGAGCAAAAATAAACTCCCATATGAGTAAGAAAAAAACTCCTGTATGTTTTAGCATTTATACATTTTTGGGTCTATGTGTTAAAGCAGTTAGTTGACTCCAACTAATATACAGGGCAAAGCATTTTTTGACATTTTGCCAAAAGTCAGCCTGGGTGGAATGATTATTTATGTTGAGGATTCTGAGAGTTCCCACAACACTTTATCACTTCTAGTGTTATCACATGGTTTACATCAGTGTTTCTCAAAGTGTTGTAAAAGTATGGATTCCTGAGCCTCAACCCACATCTGCTAATCAAAATTTCAGTGCCTTTTGGGGGCCCTGCATTTTTAATAAGCCTATATGTCACTCAGATGCACATTAAACTTTAAGAAGCATTGGCTTACACTGTGGATCCCGTTCTAAATTTAAATGAACATTGAATGGGTATAGCAAAGCTTCTCCTGCCCAAACGTGGTTAGCCGTTGAGATAAGTGTTTAGATTTTCTCCACAAATTACAGAACATGTTCATTCATTTTTGTTTCCTCTCTATTTTAGATAAGCCAAATAACTCATTTTTCCCCTTAATCATCACTATTTTATGATGATTTACCACCAAATTGAGGTCTCAGGTAGAGTCACCATTTTTTTTATCATGATGTATTTTAGTAACTTTCAATTAAAACTAGATTTACAATTGACACAGAAGTTCACCCAGGGAGTACCACAGGGCAAGAACCTGGAATTCTTCCTTGTGTCTTCATTTCAAACTGTGAGCAGGGTTGCTTAGTTCTCAGTGTTAACAATTTCAGATCCAGGCTGAGGAAGAGCAGTCAATTACCCTGAAAAATACTCCTCCTCCATTTTATACCTGAGTCTTGGGCTGGCATTTTCCAACATGTGACAGTAACTCCTTAGGGTTTTAATTACTAACAAATAAAACGGTTATATGGTCAAAGTAATTGAAAAATACAATATACAGTTTAACAGATTTCTTTATCTAATGATTATGATCTGAACCTCCAAGGGTACAACACAATGTCCAAATTTTCCAGACTTGCCACAAAGAGTTTGTGTGTGCATATGTTTGTATATCTGGATGTCTGCATAACTATTTAAAATATCACTATTCTTCAGTACACAAATATCCATCTAAAAGTCACTAATAATTTTTATTTGAGATAATATCATGGCTGTTTTTTTCAATGGACATAGTTACTTCTGAATTTTTTCTAACATTAGAACCATTATTAATGTATAATCATCCTTTAAGTCCTGTGATAATTTCAGCCATCTCTCAAAAGTATTTTACCCTCTGCTGAGAAATTAATATTTCATCTGTGGTGATATTACACTAAAGTTAATATAAAGTTATGAAAACTGAAAAACTACTATATTTGCTAGTATTAGTATCATTATTGTGTTTGTTGTTTTTGTTTTAATTATTATTATTTATAACATCATTATTCCTATCTCTACACCTCTTTTACATGTTGGATTCTGAACATTTTTCTTTCTGGGGAAGTTGAAGTTAAAAAAAATTAAAAACAAAACAAAACAAAAGAAGGAAGGAGAAAGGAAGGAAGGAAAGACAGAGGGAGGGAAGGAGGGAGGGAGGGAAGGAAGGAGGAAGAGAGGAAGGAAGGGAGGAAGGGAGGGAGGGAGGACATATTGCTACAAAAACCGCAGAGCTTCACAGAGTCCTTGGTATCTCATGAGTATAAAGGTGGTTGTGAACAGCAATAAAAGCTACTTTAACTGAAGCAATACTGGCAAATTACAAAGTTGGGTGGATGGCAAACACCAGCACACTTGTCTTCATTCTGTCCTCTTGTGCCATAGCAGGAAAGAACAATCAATCCAGGACAGCTCTAGTGTACTTGGCCTCAAAATGACTGTGAATGCAGTGCTCCAGGAAGCCACTACAGAACAGTCAGAATTAGGGCTCCAGCTGACCTCTATTACTGAGTAGTTGTAATTTCCAGGAGTCTACCAGAATCTGGACTCAGAATACCTTAAGTTGAAGCCTATTTGACACTGGCAAATGAAGTAACTTCCCTAAGCCTGAATTGCCCATCTAACAAAAAGGAATGTTAACAGCGTATATATTATAGGTTGTTGTGAGGTTAAAACGTGAACTAGTTCTTGTAATGCACATAATGCAAAGCCTGACAATAATCATTGTTTAACAATTTCCATTCATTGTTTACTGTATCAGATATACCACCCTCCCCATTTTACAAAAGGCTAAAACAGACCCAGAGAGTGTCTTAAACCATGCCAAACTAATGAAGTCTAAATTCCTGATTTCCACTTCAGTTTTTTCTCCTCCATATTCATTCGGTAGAAAGTCTGTTTTACACTTATTTATCTATTTAGAAGTGTATTTGTTGTCTTACTTTGTCATAACTATTTGGATAATTCCAAAAAGATTTAAAATAGCTTTCAAATGGAAGACTGGCGAGGCACATTGTGCTCTGGGAGGGGTTCCAACTCTCCTGCCCAATTCTCCTGGAGGGCAGTGGTTATCACTGAAGAGCCGGCTGAAGTGAGAGGCCACCAAGCAGAGCACAGCCTGTTTCATTTTAATAGCAGCCTCACTTTACTTCTTACTGACAATGCCCTCCTTTACATTAGCTATAACCTCAGATGGCTGCCTTAACAAAAGGAAGTAACACGGTCTAATTGTTCTGGATTTATCTGTAACAACTCCCTCTTGAGTAAGGAGCATTCTTTCGGTATTCCTGCTGCATGTGATTCCTGGCCTTTTTCCAGTATATTTAGTCATTCCCTCATTGTAAGGAAAGAAAATAAAGGAAGAAGAAAAGAAAAGAAAGAAAGAGGGAGAAAGAGAAAGAAACAGAGAGAAAGAAAGAAAGAGAGGAGAAAAAGAAAAAAGGAAGAGAAAGAAAGAAAGAAAGAAGAAAGAGAAAAAGAAAGAGGGACGGAGGAGGAGATGAAAGTAAGAAGAAAGAGACAGAAAGAAAGAAAAAGATAAAGAGAGAAAAAGAGAGAAAGAGGGAAGAAAAGAGAGGGAGGGAGGGAGGAAGAAAGGAAGAGAAGGGGGAAAAAGAGGAAATGATAGTCACATGGTCATAATCAACCCCTACCTTGCTTCTACAAATGCTATATCTGATAATTCATAAATGCCACTGCACATGTGGGTAAAGATGTTGATTGAATAATCACTACACAAATTTAATCAGTCTGTTTTTCATGGGGAAAACTTGGGCACAATGTAAATCAAGTTGTTGTTTGTTGTTTTAATATGTCTATTTCCCATATAATGAGCAGAAATCTTCCCTGAAACCATGATCCTACCTTTCCCATGGTACCTGGGTCCCTGTGAATTCTACATCTCTTCATCCTCCACACTGACAAACGCTTGGACTTAAGCCTTCAAAAATGCCAGTAACTGTATGACTAGTAAACCAGACATAGAAAAGTACTACAACCCATGATAAATACAAAGCCCCTCATGAGAGACTGTCATTTGGGATATTCACAAAACTGTTCCACTCAGCAGCAACGTTGAGAAGCCAGACAACATCGCCTGTGTTCAGCACGTCCATCGCCACTGCGGCCAAGCCGATGGAAACCAGCTGGAAAGTTGTCAGCCATTTTAAACACTCAGCTAGAGTCACTGTCGTGCTACCAACTGTGACCGTCTGGAAAAATCACGTAAGTACAAAGAGGCACGAAAGAATAAATTCTGAACTCCACTTTTAAAGAACACAGGGAAAGCTGCACAATGGCAGGCAGCATTTAACTCTTTAGGCCCTGAGACTTCCATTGCTGGCCATGGTGGAGTGGCCCACCACAGACCAGCTCTCTTACTCATTACAGCTAAACATTCCGGACAAAATACAAACGCAAATTCCTGAAGGCTCCAAAAGTGATGTGCCAGGAGCAACCACAAAATAAAAATTCCTGGGGAAACCTGTCTTTCTGGCCATAGACCTGGGGAAAGAGACCCCTGAGGTCCAAAGAGTAGGGGAGAAAATCCCTATTTTGTTCTTCCTTTTTTCTCCTCCAGCTTTGCCTAAAGGCGGAGTGTAGCTGGCAGCAGGGGCAGCAGGGGCAGCAGGGGCAGCAGGGGCAGCAGGCAGTTAAACCCCCAAGAAAAATCCCGTCCTTCTATTAGAGGACTGCAAAAGAGGGCCCTGTGGGCTGCAGACTGTGAAGTGAATCCTGGAGGGAAAAGAGCTGAAGATGAAAATTTCATAAGTTCATGTATGAGCTTGCAAAATGATCAGTCTCATCCCTAAGCTGTGCATGTGTACAATAGATCTAAAGACTTGAAAACTTAATGGACACTGAGACAACTACCACCAAAGGTAAGACAGACTTGTGGTAGGAACCTAACCAGGTTGACTGCTAAGAAAAAAAAAAAATTCAATATTCTCTACAGGATTTTAGCAGGACCAAGAGTCTAAACTACACAATGTTCAAAATATTCAGGCCTGGTGAGGTGGCTCATGCCTATAATCCCAGCACTTTGGGAGGCTGACGTAGGCAAATGACTTGAGCCAAGAATTCCAGACCAGCTTGGTCAACATAGTGAGATCCTGTCTCTATAAAAAAATTAGCTGAGTGTGATGGGACATGCCTGCAGTCCCAGCTACTCAGGAGGCTAATGTGGGAGGATCGATTGAGCCCAGGAAGTTGAGGCTGCACTGAGGCATGATTGTGTCACTGTACTCCAGCCTGGGCAACAGAGCAAGACCCTCTCTCAAAAAAAATTTAGAATCCTTGACATATAAAAAATAGGAAAGTGTAACCAATTTTGAAAGGAAAAGATGATCAACAGATGCCAACCCCAAGATTACTCAGATATTGACAATATCAGACAAAGACTTTAAAGCAACTATTATAACTATGCTCCTAAGATAAAGATTGATACATTTCAAATAAATGGAAAGATCGATCTCAGAAGAGAAATAAAAAGAAAATATACAAATTTTTAAAAATTGTTGGATATCTCAATAGCAGAATGGAAACGGTCATGAAGTCATGAAACTTGAAGACAGATCAACAGAAATCATCCAATCCAAAAAATAAAAGTGGAGAAAAAAATTAACAAAACATAAATAGAGCCTCAGAAACCTGTAGAACAATATCAAAATATATTTTTTCTTTAATGAGATGGGGTCTCCCTCTGTCACCTAGAGTGCAGTGCATAATT
The DNA here is from genome assembly GCF_000001405.40 of Homo sapiens. Lineage (NCBI taxonomy): Eukaryota > Metazoa > Chordata > Mammalia > Primates > Hominidae > Homo > Homo sapiens. The sequence continues at coordinate 55,829,582 of NC_000003.12, forward strand.
ACGTCTTACTGAAGTTTCAACCTCCTGGACTCAAGCTATCCTCCCATTTCAGCTATCAAAGTGGCTGGGACCACAGGTGTGCACCACCACATCCAGTTAATTGCTTTTTAAAATTTTTTGTAAAGATGGTGTCTCACTATATTGCCCAGGCTGGTCTCATCTCAAACTCCTGGGCTCAAGTGATCCTCCTGCCTCAGCCTCCCAAAGTACTGAGATTACAGGTATAATACACCACACCTGCCCCAAAATATCGAACATTTGTGTCATTGGAATCACAGAAGAAGAAAAAGAGTGCAGTGCTGAAAAAATATTTGAAGAAAAAATAATAACTGAAACTTCTGAAATTTGGTAATAGACATAAATATACAACTCAAAAAGTAGAGCCAACTTCAAACAGGAGAAACAAACAAACAAACAAAAAAACCCACCTGCAGCTACATCCAAATCAAACTGCTAAAAACAAAAGGTCAAACAAACAAATAACAAACAAAAATAGGCTTCAAAGCAGTTACAGAAAAATGACGTTACACAGAAGAAAACAATGACTGAAATGACTGTGTACCTCTCTCAGAAATCACTGAAGACAGAAAACAATGGAACAATTTTTTTAAATCCTGACATAAAGAAACTGTCAACTGAGAATTCTACAGCCAGCAAAAATATGCTTCAGGACTGAAGATGAAACATGATAAAGGCAAATTCAGAGAATTTATCAATGGCAGACCTACTCTAAAAAAATGATGTTAAAAAGTTGCTCAGACTAAAGAGAAATGCAGAAATTCAGAAACGAAGGACATTCAACAGCAACTGCAAATATCTTGGAAATATAATGGACTATTTTTCTCCTTTTAGGGCCTTCAAACTACGTATGATTGCTAAATGTAAAAATGATAATATTGTCTTGGGAGGGGGTTTCAATGTACATATATAATACATTTGACAAATAGGAAAGTGAGGATAATTATAAGGTTGTGAGGTTTCTCAATTTACTTGAAGTAGTAAAATATTAACTCTAAGTAGACTATGAAAGGTTAGGTACCTGTATAGTAATCTCTAAAATAATCACTAAAAATGCAAAGAGGCTGGGTACAGTGACTCACACCTATAATCCCAGAACTTTGGAAGTCTGAGGTGGGAGGATGACTTGAACCCAGGAGTCTGAGATCAGCTTGGGCAACATAGCAAGACCCCATTTCTAAAAAATTATAAAAAACTAACCAGGTATGATGCTATGTGCCTGTAGCCTCAGCTACCTGAGAGGCTGAGGCAGTAGGATCCCTTGACCCCAGGAATTTGAGGCTGCAGTGAGCTAGGATTGCACCACTGAACTCCAGTCTGAGTGGCAGAGTGACACCCCATTTCTTTAAAAACTAAAATAAAACAAATAGATATAGTCAAAAGTCAATAGATAAATTAAAATAGAATATTAAAAATATTAAAATAAGGTAGCTGCAGTGGTTCACACTTGTAATCCCAGTACTTTGGGAGGCCAAGACAGGAAGGTTGTTTGAAGCCAGGAGTTCAAGACCAGCCTAGGCAACATGACAAGACCCCTCTCTACAAAAAAAAAAAAAAATTTAATTAGCCAGGCAGGGTGGCACAATGCTGGAGTCCTAGCTACTTAGGAGGCTAAGGTGGGAGAACTGGTCAAGCCCAGAAGTGTAAGACTACAGTGAGTTGTGATGGTGCCACTGTACTTCAGACTGGGTGACAGAGCAAGATCTGAACTTCGAAGGAAAGAAGAGGGGAGGGGAAGGAAGGGGAGGGGAGGGGAGAGAAGGGGAGGGGAAGGGAAGGGAAGGGAAGGAAGGGGAGGGGAGGGGAGGGAAGGGGAGGGGAAGGGAAGGGAAGGGAGGGAAGGGGAGGGGAGAGGAGGGAAGGGCAGGAAATCCAAATAATCTAAAATAAGTCTCAAAGGGGAGAAAGAGGAACAAAATTAAAGGAGGCAGGGGAAAACACATAATAAAATGGTAAACCTAAATAAAATCATATCAAGGATTATAATAGTCTAAACATATCAATTAAAAGACAGAACCTGGTCGGGCAGCCAAGATGGCCGAATAGGAACAACTCCGGTCTACAGCTCCCAGCATGAGTGACACAGAAGATGGGTGATTTCTGCATTTCCATCTGAGGTACCGCGTTCATCCCACTAGGGCCAGAGAGTGGGTGCAGGACAGTGGGTACAACGCACCGTGTGTGAGTCGAAGCAGGGCGAGGCATTGCCTCACTCGGGAAGTGCAAGGGGCCAAGGAGTTCACTTTCCTAGTCAAAGAAAGGGGTGACAGACGGCACCTGGAAAATCGGGTCACTCCCACCCGAATACTGTGCTTTTCCAACGGGCTTAAAAAACGGCACACCAGGAGATTACATCCCGCACATGGCTCAGAGGGTCCTACGTCCACGGAGTTTCACTGATTGCTGGCACAGCAGTCTGAGATCAAACTGCACGTCAGCAGCGAGGCTGGGGGAGGGGCGCCCGCCATTGCCCAGGCTTACTTAGGTAAACAAAGCAGCCTGGAGGCTCGAACTGGGTGGAGCCCACCACAACTCAAGGAGGCCTGCCTGCCTCTATAGGCTCCAACTCTGGGGGCAGGGCACGGACAAACAAAAAGACAGCAGTAACCTCTGCAGACTTAAATGTCCCTGTCTGACAGCTTTGAAGAAAGCAGTGGTTCTCCCAGCACACAGCTGGAGATCTGAGAACAGGCAGACTGCCTCCTCAAGTGGGTCCCTGACCCCTGACCCCTGAGCAGCCTAACTGGAAGGCATCCCCCAGTAGGGGCAGACTGACACTTCACACGGCCGGGTACTCCTCTGAGACAAAACTTCCAGAGGAACGATCAGACAGCAGCATTCACGGTTCACGAAAATCCGCTGTTCTGCAGCCACTGCTGCGGATACCCAGGCAAACAGGGTCTGGAGTGGACCTCTAGCAAACTCCAACAGACCTGCAGCTGAGGGTCCTGTGTGTTAGAAGGAAAACTAACAAACAGAAAGAATATCCACACCAAAAACCTATCTGTACATCACCATCATCAAAGACCAAAAATAGATAAAACCACAAAGATGGGGAGAAAACAGAGCAGAAAAACTGGAAACTCTAAAAAGCAGAGCGCCTCTCCTCCTTCAAAGGAACGCAGTTCCTCACCAGCAACGGAACAAAGCTGGACGGAGAATAACTTTGACGAGTTGAGAGAAGAAGGCCTCAGACGATCAAACTACTCTGAGCTACAGGAGGAAATTCAAACCAAAGGCAAAGAAGTTAAAAACTTTGAAAACAATTTAGACGAATGTATAACTAGAATAACCAATACAGAGAAGTGCTTAAAGGAGCTGATGGAGCTGAAAGCCAAGGCTCGAGAACTACATGAAGAATGTAAAGGCCTCAGGAGCCAATGCGATCAACTGGAAGAAAGGGTATCAGTGATGGAAGATGAAATGAATGAAATGAAGCAAGAAGGGAAGTTTAGAGAAAAAAAGAATAAAAAGAAATGAACAAAGCCTCCAAGAAATATGGGACTATGTGAAAAGACCAAATCTACGTCTGATTGGTGTACCTGAAAGTGACGGGGAGAATGGAACCAAGTTGGAAAACACTCTGCAGGATATTATCCAGGAGAACTTCCCTAATCTAGCAAGGCAGACCAACATTCAGATTCAGGAAATACAGAGAACACCACAAAGATACTCCTCGAGAAGAGCAACTCCAAGACACATAATTGTCAGATTCAACAAAGTGGAAATGAAGGAAAAAATATTAAGGGCAGCCAGAGAGAAAGGTCGGGTTACCCACAAAGGGAATCCCATCAGACTAACAGCGGATCTCTCGGCAGAAACTCTACAAGCCAGAAGAGAGTGGGGGCCAATATTCAACATTCTTAAAGAAAAGAATTTTCAACCCAGAATTTCATATCCAGCCAAACTAAGCTTCAGAAGTGAAGGAGAAATAAACTCCTTTACAGACAAGCAAATGCTGAGAGATTTTGTCATCACCAGGCCTGCCCTAAAAGAGCTCCTGAAGGAAGCACTAAACATGGAAAGGAACAACTGGTACCAACCACTGCAAAATCATGCCAAATTGTAAAGACCATCGAGGCTAGGAAGAAACTGCATCAACTAACGAGCAAAATCACCAGCTAACATCATAATGACAGGATCAAATTCACACATAACAATATTAACTTTAAATGTAAATGGACAAAATGCTCCAATTAAAAGACACAGACTGGCAAACTGGATAAAGAGTCAAGACCCATCTGTCTGCTGTATTCAGGAAATCCATCTCATGTGCAGAGACACACATAGGCTCAAAATAAAAGGATGGAGGAAGATCTACCAAGCAAATGGAAAACAAAAAAAGGCAGGGGTTGCAATCCTAGTCTCTGATAAAACAGACTTTAAACCAACAAAGATCAAAAGAGACAAAGAAGGCCATTACATAATGGTAAAGGGATCAATTCAACAAGAAGAGCTAACTATCCTAAATATATATGCACCCAATACAGGAGCACCCAGATTCATAAAGCAAGTCCTGAGTGACCTACAAAGAGACTTAGACTCCCACACATTAATAATGGGAGACTTTAACACCCCACTGTCAACGTTAGACAGATGAACAAGACAGAAAGTTAACAAGGATACCCAGGAATTGAACTCAGCTCTGCACCAAGTGGACCTAATAGACATCTACAGAACTCTCCACCCCAAATCAACAGAATATACATTTTTTTCAGCACCACACCACACCTATTCCAAAATTGACCACACAGTTGGAAGTAAAGCTCTCCTCAGCAAATGTAAAAGAACAGAAGTTATAACAAATGGTCTCTCAGACCACAGTGCAATCAAACTAGAACTCAGGATTAAGAAACTCACTCAAAACCACTCAACTACATGGAAACTCAAAAACCTGCTCCTGAATGACTACTGGGTACATAATGAAATGAAGGCAGAAATAAAGATGTTCTTTGAAACCAACGAGAACAAAGACACAACATACAAGAATCTCTGGGACACATTCAAAGCAGTGTGTAGAGGGAAATTTATAGCACTAAATGCCCACAAGAGAAAGCAGGAAAGATCCAAAATTGACACCCTAACATCACAATTAAAAGAACTAGAAAAGCAAGAGCAAACACATTCAAAAGCTAGCAGAAGGCAAGAAATAACTAAACTCACAGCAGAACTGAAGGAAATAGAGACACAAAAAACCCTTCAAAACCAGGAGCTGGTTTTTTGAAAGGATCAACAAAACTGATAGACCACTAGCAAGACTAATAAAGAAGAAAAGAGAGAAGAATCAAATAGACGCAATAAAAAATGATCAAGGGGATATCACCACCGATCCCACAGAAATACAAACTACCATCAGAGAATACTACAAACACCTCTACGCAAATAAACTAGAAAATCTAGAAGAAATGGATAAATTCCTCGACACATACACCCTCCCAAGACTAAACCAGGAAGAAGTTGAATCTCTGAATAGACCAATAACAGGCTCTGAAATTGTGACCATAATCAATAGCTTACCAACAAAAAAAAGAGTCCAGGACCAGATGGATTCACAGCCGAATTCTACCAGAGGTACAAGGAGGAACTGGTACCATTCCTTCTGAAACTATTCCAACGAACAGAAAAAGAGGGAATCCTCCCTAACTCATTTTATGAGGCCAGCATCATCCTGATACCAAACCTGGGCAGAGACACAACCAAAAAAGGGAATTTTAGACCAATATCCTTGATGAACATTGATGCAAAAATCCTCAATGAAATACTGGCAAACTGAATCCAGCAACACATCAAAAAGCTTATCCACCATGATCAAGTGGGCTTCATTCCTGGGATGCAAGGCTGGTTCAATATACTCAAATCAATAAATGTAATCCAGCATATAAACAGAACCAAAGACAAAAACCACATGATTATCTCAATAGATGCAGAAAAGGCCTTTGACAAAATTCAACAATGCTTCATGCTAAAAACTCTCAATAAATTAGGTATTGGTGGGATGTATCTCAAAATAATAAGAGCTATCTATGAAAAACACACAGCCAATATCATACTGAAGGGGCAAAAACTGGAAGCATTCCCTTTGAAAACTGGCACAAGACAGGGATGCCCTCTCTCACCACTCCTATTCAGTATAGTGTTGGAAGTTCTGGCCAGGGCGATTAGGCAGGAGAAGGAAATAAAGGGTATTCAATTAGGAAAAGAGGAAGTCAGATTGTCCCTGTTTGCAGATGACATGATTGTATATCTAGAAAACCCCATTGTCTCAGCCCAAAATCTCCTTAAGCTGATAAGCAACTTCAGCAAAGTCTCAGGATACAAAATCAATGTACAAAAATCACAAGCATTCTTATACACCAATAACAGACAAACAGAGAGCCAAATCATGAGTGAACTCCCATTCACAATTGTTTCAAAGAGAATAAAATACCTAGGACTCCAACTTACAAGGGATGTGAAGGACCTCTTCAAGGAGAACTACAAACCACTGCTCAATGAAATAAAAGAGGATACAAACAAATGGAAGAACATTCCATGCTCCTGGGTAGAAAGAATCAATATCGTGAAAATGGCCATACTGCCCAAGGTAATTTATAGATTCAATGCCATCCCCATCAAGTTAACAATGACTTTCTTCACAGAATTGGAAAAAACTACTTTAAAGTTCACATGGAACCAAAAAACAGCCCGCATTGCCAAGTCAATCCTAAGCCAAAAGAACAAAGCTGGAGGCATCACACTACCTGACTTCAAACTATACTACAAGGCTACAGTAACCAAAACAGCATGGTACTGGTACCAAAACAGAGATATAGATCAATGGAACAGAACAGAACCCTCAGAAATAATGCCGCTTATCTACAATTATATGATCTTTGACAAACCTGAGAAAAACAAGCAATGGGGAAAGGATTCTCTATTTAATAAATGGTGCTGGGAAAACTGGCTAGCCATATGTAGAAAGCTGAAACTGGATCCCTTCCTTACACCTTATACCAAAATTAATTCAAGATGGATTAAAGACTTAAACGTTAGACCTAAAACCATAAAAACCCTAGAAGAAAACCTAGGCATTACCATTCAGGACATAGGCGTGGGCAAGGACTTCATGTCTAAAACACCAAAAGCAATGGCAACAAAAGCCAAAATTGACAAATGGGATCTAATTAAACTAAAGAGCTTCTGCACAGCAAAAGAAACTACGATGAGAGTGAACAGGCAACCTATAAAATGGGAGAAAATTTTCCCAACCTACTCATCTGACAAAGGGCTGATATCCAGAATCTACAATGAACTCAAACAAATTTACAAGAAAAAAACTAACAACCCCATCAAAAAGTGGGCGAAGGATATGAACAGACATTTCTCAAAAGAAGAGATTTATGCAGCCAAAACACACATGAAAAAATGCTCACCATCACTGGCCATCAGAGAAATGCAAATCAAAACCACAATGAGATACCATCTCACACCAGTTAGAATGGCAATCATTAAAAAGCCAGGAAACAACAGGTGCTGGAGAGGATGTGGAGAAATAGGAACACTTTTACACTGTTGGTGGGACTGTAAACTAGTTCAACCATTGTGGAAGTCAGTGTGGTGTTCCTCAGGGATCTAGAAATAGAAATACCATTTGATCCAGCCATCCCATTACTGGGTATATACCCAAAGGATTATAAATCATGCCACTATAAAGACACGTGCACATGTATGTTTATTGCAGCACTATTCACAATAGCAAAGACTTGGAACCAACCCAAATGTCCAACAATGATAGACTGGATTAAGAAAATGTGGCACATATACACCATGGAATACTATGCAGCCATAAAAAATGATGAGTTCATGTCCTTTGCAGGGACATGGATGAAACTGGAAATCATCATTCTCAGCAAACTGTCGCAAGGACAAAAAACCAAATACCACATGTTCTCACTCATAGGTGGGAAATGAACAATGAGATCACATGGACACAGGAAGGGGAACATCACACTCTGGGGACTGTTGTGGGGTGGGGGGAGGGGTAGGGATAGCATTAGGAGATATACCTAATTCTAAATGACGAGTTAATGGGTACAGCACACCAGCATGGCACATGCATACCTATGTAAAAAGCCTGCACGTTGTGCACATGTACCCTATAACTTAAAGTGTAATAAAAAAAAAGACAGAACCCGCCAGAGTAAATTAAAAAAACAAAACCCTACTGTGTGCTGTCTATGAGAAACCCACTTCAAATATAAAGATATACACAGATTAAATGTAATAAAAATGGGAAACATATACCATACAAAAACTAAAGGGAAAAAAAGCTGCAGTGGCTACATTAATATCAGACAAAGTCAATTTCAGAACAAACAGTATTACCAGGAATTAAAAAAAAAGAGTCCCTAGTAATAAAAGATAATCATTACATAATTATGAGGTTACAACAATATTACACATTTATGTACTTAATAATAGAGCTTCAGGAAACATCAAGCAGAAACAGAATTGAAAAAAAAACATTATTTTACTTTGGACTTTAACACTTCTCTCTCAATAAGCAACAGAATAAGTAGAAAGAAAATCAACAACGGGATAGAAGATCTGTGCATTATTAACCACTTTGACTTAATTGACATTTTAGAACACTCCACTCAACAACAGCAGAATACACATTCTTTTCTAGTGCACATGGAACACTGACAAAACAGACAAATTCTGTGTCATAGAGCAAACCTCAAGAAATTTAAAAGAATAAAGATTATAAAAAGTATGTTTTCTGACCATAATAGAATAAAACTAAACATCTATACCAAGAATATATCAAGGAAAATCCCCAAATATTTGAAAATTAAATAACACACTTTTATATAATCCACAGGCTAAAAAGGAAGTCACAAGGGAAATTAGAAAATATTTTGAACTGAATGAAAACACAACATATTAAAGCATACAGAATGTAGATAAAACAGCAATTAGAGAGAAATTAATAGCACTAAATGTTTTATTAGGAAACAAGAAAGGTCTATCAATCAAATTGAAATTAGAAAAATACTAAAATCAAGGAAACAAAAAGTTTGTTCTTTGAAAAGATCACTTAAGTTGATAAATCTCTAGGCATACTGACCAAGAAAAAAAGGAAGGAAGACAGAAATTACTTGTATCAGAAAGGAAAAGACACCATCATCATTAGAAACCCTCAGACATAAATAGGGAATATTACCTACAATTCTATGTTCATAAATCTGACATTGATGAAATAAACCAGTTTCTTAAAAGAAACAAACTACAAAAGCTCACTCAAAAAGAAATAGATAACCAGAATAATGTATTAAATAATACCCTGCTACTCATGAAGGTACCATAAAATGGCAGCAACAGAAATTATAAACCCACAGATCCAAGAACTACAATAAACACCAAGCTCAAGAAACATGTGAAAAATTAAGGCAAGGAACATCATAACCAAATTACTTAAAACTAATGATAAAGAGAAATTTTAAAAGGAGTCAGAAAAAAACTTATAAAGAAACAAAGATAAGGATAACAGAAGATTTCCCACCAGACACAATAAAAGTTACAACACAGTGGAGCAACATTTTTAATATACCAAAAGAAAAAAGAATCAGCCAAACTAGGATACTCTTACTACAAAAAATTACCTTCAAACTGAAGATGAAATAAAGACTTCTTCAGCTAAAAAAAAGCTTATAGAATTCTTCACTAGTAGATCTGCACCACAAAAAAATGTTAAAGTCTTTAAGCACAAGGAATGTAATACCAAACGGATATTTTGATCCACAAAAAGGAATAAAGAGCACCAAAAATATTAACTACATGAGTAAACATAAAGATATTTTATCTCATCATTTAAACTTCTAATTAGCCATTTAAAACAAACCTAATAAAAATGTATTGTGGGGTTAATAACAAAAATTAAAATACAATATATTACAGCAAAAGCACAAAAGACAGAAAGAAAAAAATGGAAATATAATAAGATTCTTATGCTCTACATGAAATGGTATAATATTATTTGAAGATAGAGTTTAATAAGTTAAAGATACATATTATAAATCCTAAAGCAACCACCAAAATAACAAAACAAAGAGCTATGGTGAATAAATTGCCAAGATAAAGGTGAATCAATTAAAAATCCTCAATTAATCCAAATCAAGACAGTAAAAAGAGGAATTAACGAAAAGATGGGGCAAATAAAAACAAATAGCAAGATGACAGATTTAAATCTGGCCATAACAAGGAATCACATTAAATGTATTTGGTCTAAGTACCTCAATTAAAATGCAAAGATTTTCATACTGGATAAAAAAGCAAGACTCAAATATATGCAGTCTACAAGTTATCTATTGTAAATATAAAGACAGAAATAGGAAAAAAAGTAAAAAGCTGGAAAAATAAATATACTAACACTAATTAATCAAAAGAAAACTGGAGTGGCTCTATTAGTATCAAAGTTGATTTCCAAATAAAGAATATTAGCAGGGATAGGGAGGATCATTTTATATTGATAAAGGAATCATTTAACCAAGAGGACATAACAATCCTAAATGTTTATGCTCCTATTAAAAGAGCTTCAAAATAAGTAAAGCAGTCCCCACACTAGGTGAAAAGATTTATAAATCACATGTGTAATAAAGGAATCAAATATTGACTATATAAAGACCTCTCAAAACTCCAAAACAAGTAAACAAACAATACAAAATGGGCAAAATATATGAACAAACATTTCACCAAAGAATCTAACACAGGTGACAATTAGGCACATGAAAAAATGTTCAAGTTCATTAGTCTTTAGGGAAAGGCAAAATAAAACCACAATTAGATACTTCAAATCTTCACCAACACTTGGTATGGCTAAATTAAAAGGATTGACCATACCAAGTGTTGGTTAAGATTTGAAGAAACTGGAACTCTCATACACTAATGGTGGGAAAGTAAAATGGTACAACTACTTTGGAAAACAGTCAACGATTTCTTGAAAAGTCCAGCATACCCTACCATATGACTCAGTTATTCCTCTCTCAGGTATTTACACAAAAGTAAAGAAAACATTTGTGCATAAAAAGGCTTATAGAGGAATGGTCATAGTTATTTTATTTAAAATAGCCCTGAACCGGAAACAATCCAAATGTGCGGCAACAAATGAACAGACAAATGATATGCCAAACCTACTGGCATACTAGTAGGCAATAAAAAGGTATAACTATTGATTCATGTAACATGGATGAGTGAAAATAAGCAAGTCAAAAAAGAGTACATTGACGATTCCATTTACGTAAAATTCTAGGAATTGCAAACTACTATATAGCAGAGTGACATAAAGCAGATCAGTGCTTGCCTAAAGATAGAGATAGAGGGGTCATGGAGAGGTAGGAGGAATGGATTACAAAGAGGCATTAGGAAATTTGGGGTAGTAATGGATATGTTCATTAACCTGACTGCTTTACACCTGCATCCATATGTCAAAATATATCAAGTTGTATGCATGAAATATGTATAATTTATTGTATGTCAATCATACCTAAATAAATTTGTTAAAACTTCAAATAATAAACTTAAATAAAACAAATCTGGCTGACACGGTTTGGCTGTGTTCCAACCCAAATGTCATCTTGAATTGTAGCTCCCATAATTCCCATGCGTTCCATGTGAGGGACCTGGTGGGAGGTAATTGAATCATGGGGGTGGATCTTTCCTATGCTGTTCTCATGACAGTGAATAAGTCTCACGAGATCTGATGGTTTTATAAATGGGACTTCCCCTGCACACACTCTCTTGCCTGCTGCCATGTATGACATGCCTTTGCTTCTCGTTTGCCTTCTGCCATGATTGTGAGGCCTCCCCAGCCATGTAGAACTGTGAGTCCATTAAATGTCTTTCCTTTATAAATTACCCAGTCTCGGGTATGTCTTTATTAGCAGAGTGACAATAGAGTAATACACTGGCAACAACCAAAACAATACAGAAGGTACCTTTTACTAGGCATTTGCTATGTTCTAGGTGCCATACTAAATGCTTTTCATATCATCTAATTCTTTCAAAAAACATAAGGCAAGTGCTATTATGGTTTCTACATTTAAAGAGAAAGACTAAGGTAGAGAAAGGTTAAATAATTTGCCTAAGGTCACAACATTAGAAAGGGGTAAAGCTGGAATTTGATTCTAGAGTCAACAATCTTAACAAAAACACCATGAGGAAACTGAAACTCAAGGAAGGCCGCATAGTGTTGGGGATCCATCCTAGATTTGTCCAACTTCAGAGCCCAACCTCTTAATTGCTTCATTGTACTACATCTCGTCTTGAAAACATCCTGCCAAAAACCTAATAGTCAGCCTAGCCTGAACACACCTGTGCTAATTAAATGTGTATTTCCTGGTTCCCATATTCAGGAAAAAGGGGACTCACACTCAGCCTTTCTCAGTTTTCATGTAACCAACAACTGTTGCGTGAATGAATGAAGTGAAGTAACTTAAGTTAACTAGCAAAATGTCCTCACATTAAAAAAAATTAAATAAAACTGGAGGAATTTGAAGCTCAGAAAAATATTAAGAATCTGCCTAAAGCCAAACAGTGAGTTAGTAGTGGTGAAAGTGGAAGTCAAACTCAGGTTGGCTAATTCCAGAGCTAGATGACTCTGTCTCTCCAAAAAAAAGATGATCAAAATCTGCCTGCCAAAAAATTGCACCCTTTTAGACAACCATGAGTGGCTCAGAAGTGTTGAAGGGCTGCAGATGAGCTGAGACAAGCTTACAAAGGAATGTGGGTGTCCCGTTCCAGGGACACACAATGAACGTTCAGCTCTCCTTGTCTCTGAAGACAATGCATTCCAGGCTCCCAGCCCTATTTAAGAGTGGAGGGGTTCTGCTATTCAGCTGTCCGGCACCCCTGCTATCTCAAGTTTAACTAGTTATTTTCCTTTATAATTCACTGTAGACTGATAACTATTATTTCCCTGTCTAACACATACTGACAAGTGCTCTGGTTAAATATAGGTTGCTAGGAATTGGGGTGGAAATTTTTTTTTTTTAGCTCAACTTTATCAAGGGTCTGTAGACTCAGAATTCCAGAACCATCCCATTACCTCAGTGAAATTAACACATAGACTCAGTTAAAAAAAAAGAACAATTTTTGTTTTCCCAGATCTCAAGAAAGATATGGAAAGGACTGCTTGGCTTTCTGTCCTCCTATTTCTTGGTTTTAACCAAGAAACGATCAAACGTTAGAGGTTCTAACCTCTAACGATCAAAAGTGAGTTGAGGAGCTTTAAGAGATTAGTTCTATGCAGAAGGAAAGCAGGTAAGAAGGACAAGGAGTGTGTGAGAGAGAGAGAGAGAAGGAGAGATCAGAGTCCATGAATAAAAATATGCAATGTATTTATCAAGGCTCCAAACCCACATAGGACTGCTGGTTATTGTCCAATCTTCCCTTCTATAATTACGGACATTTAGCTGGCCTGTGGTATACAACAAAACACTAAATTTTCCATTTCCCCACAACACAGGATGTAGCCATGTGACTAAGTTTGGGCCAAGGTATGAGCACAGCAGTGATATACAAAGCATCCAGCCTGTGCCTTTGAAGGAGAGGAATATGGTCTCCATTACTTCTTTCTCTTCTCATGGTTGGAGCACAGACTGGATAGAGGGAGCTGGAAGAGCCATTTTGGACCAAGAGATGGAAACTGTCATGTTTTTAGGGTGGCAGAGGGATAAGATAGAAGGAACCTGGTTTCCTGTCAAACCATTTAGTCTGTCCTAGATGGCCTACACAGACTTTGATGTAGGAAGAAACTAATACATCAGATCATATGAGACTGATAATGAGGATAAAAATATTGAATGATATTGATAGAAAGGAGAATTTTATTTCATTGCCACAAACTCTTCTGGAACACTCTTCCCCAACCACCCAATGGTGCAAGTTCAAGAAGAGATCAAAAGTGTGATTTATTGTCATGGACTTAAAATCTAGAAAATATAGTCAAGTTGTTGAGCTATTTCAATTTTCCTTTGCAGCTTCTTTCTGAAGGCTTGAAATATTTTACTTTAAATGTGGAATGTTTGCAGGGAGGACTTTCCAATGCTGAAAAGCACAAGTTCTCCCATTCCTTAATCCCACTGCAAAAATGTGTGGCCCCAATGTTTCATGTCAGACCTGTTGGCTCCTTCCTTTGCAAAGGCTCCAGTTGTTACACTAAAATCACACTGGATCATATTAGCTCTCTCCTCCCAATTTCCTGTTCATAAAGCTTGGAGCCTCATCACAATGAATGTATTGTAAAAATATAGGGTAACAAATGTTTTCTGCTGGGCTTCGTAAATTGGAATGAGACAAGGATTGGGCATTTACACCCAATTTACTTCAGACTGTATTACCTATAGAATAACTTGTGAGTTCTCAGATAAAAGCAAATAATGGAAACCATGCCAAAGTAAACGAACATTTTTGAATTCCTTTCAAATATTAAATACTGATATTTTCCTCCAGAAATACAAAAATGCATAGCTGTGAGGTCCACTTTCATGCAATATGTGGCATATGCTGTCTACCACTACTGTTGAAAGGTTGAACATATGCATTCTACATATGCCTTTCTACTCCTTGGTATATCTGCAATAGAAATGTAGGCAAATGTTCATCAAAACACAGTTAGTAGAATGTCACAGCAACACTATTCATAATAGTCCCCAAATGGAAACATACATGAAAAACAGAATGGTTTAAAAGAAACATTATATAATTGAAGAATGGAATACAACAATGAGAATGAATTGACTAGAAGTACACACAACCAGATGGATGAATCTCACAAACATAATGTGTAAAATAATCCAGAAGGGAAAGAATGTTTGCTGTATGATTTCATTAACATCCAGTTCAAAGCCAGGCAAAATTAATCTATGGTGTGAGAAATCATAATAATTATTATCTTTGAGAGAAAAAATGACTAGGAAGGCAAGACTTCTACAGTGCTCAAGATGTTCTGTTTTTTAATCTAGACATTAGTTACATGGGTGTGTTCACTTTGTGAAAATGTACAAAGGTGAAGTCATATGATTTGTACACTTTCATGCATGCATGCTATATCTCAATTTAAAAAAATTAAAGGGATACATGAATTCAAAATGTCACAATTGTTATAACACCAAAATAAAAGTGTGAAAAGATTGCTACTACCCTTCATCTAAGACATTTACACTAAAAAATACTATGGACATATCTATGAAAATGAATAAGCTACATCAGAGGATAAAAAGAGACCCTATAGGGCAGCAGTCCCCAGCTTTTTTTGGCACCAGGGACTGGTTTCAAGGAAGACAAGTTTTCCACAGACCAGTGAGGGGGTAGTTTCAGAATGAAAGTGTTCTACCTCAGATCATCAGGCATTAGATTCTCATAAGGAGCACTCAACCCAGGTTCCTCATGAGACACAATAGGGCTCACACTCCTATGAGAATCTAATGCCACCACTGATCTGATAGGAGGCGGAGCTCAGGCAGTAATGCTCGCTCACCTGCCACTCATCTCCTGCTGTGCAACCTGGTTCCTAACAGGACATGGATCAGTATTGATCCAGCCCAGGGCTTGGGGACTCCTGTTATTAAAAATAGGCAAAAATGGGCCAGGCGCGGTGGCTCACGCCTGTAATCCCAGCACTTTGGGAGGCCGAGGCGGGCGGATCACGAGGTCAGGAGATCGAGACCATCCCGGCTAAAACGGTGAAACCCCGTCTCTGCTAATAATACAAAAAATTAGCCGGGCGTAGTGGCGGGCGCCTGTAGTCCCAGCTGCTTGGGAGGCTGAGGCAGGAGAATGCCGTGAACCCGGGAGGCGGAGCTTGCAGTGAGCCGAGATCCCGCCACTGCACTCCAGCCTGGGCGACAGAGCGAGACTCCGTCTCAAAAAAAAAAAAAAAAAAAAAAAGGCAAAAATGGAAAAGTAGGACTTCTTTTTTTAGGAAAATCTGCCAACAACATTTGGGTCTAATTCTAAAAACATAATTCAACCCCAACTGTTTTACTTACAAGTAGCAATTTTCACTCTTAAACCTTGCCATTTGAATTACTTAGAATCCATTTTTTGCAATGAGTCTGAATCTATAAGCCAGAGTCCATTGGCGTATAATGAATGCCTGGAACACCAGATTCAAGAAGCTACTTGCCTGTAAAGGCAAGACAATAACTCAGCTCACAGGAGACCAACTAAATTTTTCAATAAGGCAGCCATGTACACCAAAGGTTGTGCAAATAGAGCAAGCAACTGATGAAGTTCAGACTAAACACAAATATATTAGCAAACACCACTGGGGACAGAAAGTTATAAGGAATATCCCAGAAAGAAGGGCAGCCTCTGAGTTGGAAATGACTTCTTACAAGGATTGATATTATATCATTCTTTTTTTAACTTTTAAGTTGGGCGGTACATGTGCAGTTTCGTTATATAGGTAACCTCATGTCACAGGGATTTATTGTACAGATTATTTCATCACCCAAGTGCTAAGCCTAATACCCAATAGTTATTTTTTCTGCTCCTCTCCCTCATCCTACACTTTACCTTCAAGTAGGTTCCAGAGTCTGTTGTTTCCTTCTTTGTATCAATGTGTTCTCATCATTTGGCTCCCTCTTATAAATGAGAACATATGGTATTTGGTTTTCTCTTCCTGCCTTAGTTTGCTAAGAATAATGGCCTCTAGCTCTATCCATGTTCCTGCAAAGGATATGATCTCATTCTTTTTTATGGCTACATAGTATTCTATGGTGAATATTTACTACATTCTCTTTATCCAGTCTACCACTGATGGGCATCTAGGTTGATTCCATGTCTTTGCTATTGTGTACAGTGCTGGAATGAACATTTGTGTGCACATGCCTCTATGGTAGAAAGATTCATATTCTTTTGGATATATACCCAGTAATGAGATTGCTGGGTCAAATGGTAGTTCTGTTTTTAGCTCTTTGAGGAGTTGCCATACTGCTTTCCACAATGATTGAACTAATTTATACTCCCACCAACAGCGTATAAGTGTTCCCCTTTCTCTGATATAAGTGTTATTTCATCCTTATTCATTCTCTCTCTCTCTCTCTCTCTCTTTCTCTCTCTCTCTCTCTCTCTCTCTCTGCATTGGTTCTGATTTCAGGTTACGTCTGCATTATGTGTTTTGTCAGGAGAAGGGATTTCAGAGAGATGTCAGGTTTCCATTTCAAGATATTCAAAGCCCTTAATGAGATATTTGCCTGCCCTGCCACTGGGAAACTCAGCAGAAAGCTTGCACAGTTTGTAGGGTAAATGGCAAAGCACAAGTGAGCAAGTTCCAGACCCACTGCTTCATACATCTGCCTGTTATTTGTGGAGGTAATAGAAGGTCTTCTTAGGCCTGACCTGGAAACCAGAAACCATGAAGAAATGATTGGCAGATGGGAAAACATAAATGTCAAAAAGGCAAATGTACATAACACCCACAACACAAACACGCTGGGAAAATATTTTCAATGTTTCTAACAAAGGATATATATCTTTAATATACAAATAGATTTATCAGATGTGCCATTGGATCAAAGATCAAAGGGGAAAATGAGGCAATTCACAAAGGAAAAAGTATAAATGGGAGAACTTTACAGGCTTATAAGTTATAAACCTATAAAGCTTTTCCCATTGGACATAAATTAATTAAATGAGGATTTTCACCCTCCTTTTTATTGAGAGGGAGGGGAGCCTTCCACATTAAAATGATTTTGAAAATTGCCAAAGTCACTATTGGCAAAATGTTTAGGAATGGACTACCTCATATGAATTCATAGTCATATGCGAGGGCTTGAAATGTGTGATCTCTAACAGCAAGACCGGGAGATACACTTGACATCCATTCACAGGGAGTAGTTGAATAAATCACGATGCCACAGATAAAAGTAGAGTGCTCCACAGCTATTAAAAACAATGAGGTAAAGCTGTGCATCATCACCAGCATTGAAACTAATGCTATGCTGGGAACCAAGCTGACTGTAGTAGCAAGTACTATTTTACCACTTTCATATAAAATTATATACATATGGTGCCGGGAGGACAGATGAAAAAAAGAAGGAAGAAAGGAAAGAGAAAAAGAAAGGAAGTTTCAATTATTAAAATGTTAACAATGATTATCTCTGCATGGTGGCAATTTGGGTGATTCTCACTTCATTGCTTATACATTTCTGAATTACTACTATTATTATTATTTTTGAGACAGAGTCTCACTGTAGCACAGGCTGGAGTGCGGTGGTGCGATCACAGCTCACTGCAGCCTTGACCTCCTGGGCTCAAATGATCCTCCTGCCTCAGCCTCCCAATCAGCTGTAACCACAGATGTGCCACCACGCCTGGCTAATTATTTTATTTTTTGTAGAGATAGGGTCTCGCTATGTTGCCCAGGCTGGTCTCCAACCTCTGGGCTCAAGCATTTTTGCCACCTCGGCCTCCCAAAGTGCTGGGATTACAGGCATGAGCCACCAAGCCCCAGCTAGGATATTATCACTTTGAAAAAAAACAAAACGTAACCAAAAATAACAAAACTAAGTAACTGAAAAAACTTCAGACTCCCTAGGAGCTCATATTTATGCATCATCTGAAGCCGTCTTGTCCTCCTTCTGCCTTTTCTTCCAAAGTCAATCTGTTTCCATATCCTATTAATTTTACTCACTCAATAGGTATTTTATGAAGCTCCTGTGTTCTCTCTCCTCCCTCTTTTTCCTAATTATTCTTCTCCACCAGGATCTATCTCCACCACTGCCCACTTGGGCCATCGCCTAAGCCTCTTAACTTATGCCTGTGTTTTCTACTGACTTCTGCTCCCATTCATCCTTCACACCGCAGAGGCATCCTCGCATTACACTTTTAAAAGCCTTCCATGTTTCCCTGTGGCTCCAAATTCCTTATGGTGGCATTCCAACTTGCTGGCCCATACTGGCACCTCCGCCGTCATCTCCCCTGCATTCACTCCTATCCATTCTCAACTCCCAATAATTGCTTGCTCCGAGGATGACTCACCATTCTCTAAGCTCACCACATATGTTTTTATATTTCTATATAGTTGGTCATCTTGTCCTCTAAGAAGCTAATGCCTGATTTCCCTGATTATGGAAGGGAAGTTTCCTGATTGTGGAAACTGATTATTTTCCAAGATTCAGATCAAACTGAATCTCCTCTAATAGCCCTTGCTCAATCTTTTTGTTTTTGTTTGGGGAAACAAAACAAAACAAAAAACAATCACCTTTCTTAGTCACTATTTCATTCTTCTAAGTGTGCCCACATCTTCTTCACTACAGTGTGGAGCTTTTGTGAGTGGAGGCAGTTTTTTTGTTGTTGTTGTTCAACTTTTTGATACCCTAACATGCCTAGTACCAGTTTTTCACATCTTAGGCACTTAAATATTTTTTTTCAAAAAACAGAGACAGTGCCTGCCATCTGCCAGGCTCTATGGTAGGTGAGTCCACAGTCAACTGTTCTCAAAACATGGTCTGCATTCTGGGCACAGTCACTCTCATTTTCTATGTGGACAAAACTGAGGCCAAGAGATTCAGTAACTTGCCACAGACCACACAGTAATGGCAGATCTGAGATAAGAGTCCCGGACCACCATATGAATCCAGATTCTTTTGACTGATCTGTGCTTCTTCTGCACATATGTATATGGAGCTGGACTGATCTGGACATGTAGGAAGTGCTGACTCCTAAAATCCATTTTTCTAACTAAGAAGTGTTCAATGTATTCCCAGGTTTTAAAATGTCTATTTGCTTTAGGCCAGCTGAAGCATCATCTATACCCTGGACCTGTGGTTTCTCTAAGCTTCTATCACCCCAAGAACGTCAGTGCTTGGGGGTCTGTCTCCAGGTTAACATCCTCTTTGCACATTTTAAGATTTTTTCCCAGAGCTCACTTTTTCTAGAATTCAACTCCCTGCCTTCTCTCAAATTTGGATGTAATAGCTGGCACCGACGCAGGAGGATGCCTTGTCCATTCTACTGTCAGCCATTCTATTTCCATATCAACAAATGCCCATGCCCCTCTTCAATTTTTACATTCTAATGATTTCAAATTTAAATCTTCCAAGGACTAAGTTGAGGGAAAAATAGTCCAAAGAACAAGCCACTTGCCACCATCAGAGGTAACAGTGCTTCTGGGTAGCCTGAGATTCTGTTTGACTTCATCAAAGTCCACAAATTCCAGGACTGCCCAAATTAGGAGACAGCCAAGGAATTGATCTTCACCTTAAAAACAACAACAATAATAATGCCAATACCCAACTGTATTAGTTTCCTAGGATTGCCATAATAAATTACCGCTATGGTAACTTAAAACAACAAAAGTTTATCATCTTACAGTTCTGGAGGCCAGAAGTCCAAAATCAAGATGTCAGCAGAGTTGGTTCCTTCTGGAGGCCCTGATGGAGAAACCATTCCATGCTTTTTCCTAATTTCTGGTGATGGCCAGCAATCCTTGACATTGTTTGACTTACAGATGCATTACTTCTCTGCCTCCACAATCTCTGCCTCCAACTTCATGCGAACTTCTGGTCTGTGTCTCTGTGTATCTTCTTCTTTTCTGTCTCATAAGAACATCTGTCATTGGATTTAGGGCCCATCCAAATATAGGATGTTCTCATCTTGAGATACTTACATTAATTACATCTGAAAAGACCCTTATTCTGAATAAAGTCCATTCTGAGGTTCCAGGTGGACATATCTTTTAAAGGCTTTCATTCAACTCACAAACCAACACTGGTTGAAAGTTCACTGTGTAACAGGCACCATTCTAAATAATGTGTATTAAGTCATTTTATCTTTACAATAACTGGAAGAAGTAAGTAACTATTTATAGAGGAAGAAGATAAAGACATAGGAAGGCCTCCCAATCTTCCTAAGACCTCATGGGTGGTAAAAGACAGAGCTAGTACTTAGGTGTTCATCTTCTTCATACCAGGGTCAACTGTTTTAGATGCATTTACCAGAATCAAAGTGTCTAAATAACAGCCAAGACCACTCCTAGAGAGTCACACTGTTAATCTAAAATCCCTGAACTAGAGAATGTTGGAAAATATATAACATATGGGCCATTGCAGCTTCTACCCAATGATGTCAGACATCACTAATTGATCACAGAGTTGTTCCCTATGGCACCTTAAATGTTTACAACATTCATTATCCATCAGTTCAAGGTAGCACTCTGAATGAAACCTCCTGACCATCCTGTTTCTAGATACTCTTTTTCAAACACACACACACACACACACACACACACACACACACACACACACACGAGAGAACCAAAGGGCAACATTTGGTCTCTTCCTGTCAAGTTCCTGTCCTGCCTTCTAGCCTGACTTCCCCTGGGACTTGTATTTGCCTTCCAAGTCTGATTGACAGAGCAAGACTGGATCCCATCAAATAGCCTGGAGAGCCAGACAGAAGTCCATGCTCAAAATCCAGACCCCATCAGATGTTGTTTGAAATTCAGAGACTGCAGAGACTGCTGGCACATTCTTGGAAAAGCTCTGACCTTGGGAAGAAAACTTACTTCCATCTCTAAGAAAAAATACTAGATAATGATTTTTTTAAGCCCATGCTGGGAGTTGGTGGCAGGATGAGAATGCACATGGTAACAGGACAACAGTGGGTACTGGCCTGGAGCAGGCTCCTACGTGGCCTCCCCAGAGTCCAGGCTTTATTCTCAGCATTCTCTATGGTCCAGCCTCTCTCCACTTAAACTACACTTCAGATAATGGTGTTTGCTACAACTCTTTACAATCAATTATTTTGTCATTGTCTTTATTTAAACATGTACACACACACACAACTAGAGGGAATGCACTGGAGAATGACACACAACGCATTCCAAGGAAATAACAAAATTTTTTCTGGCTTGCGTGCCCAACCCACAAACTTGAAGATCACCAGGGCTTTATTTAGTTTGGTTCCCATTATCATTATGTGAGGCATGTTAATAACTGGACTCCAGAGCTTTGGTTTTAGATACTTGTTCCTCACCTCTCTCATCTAGAGTTTTAAAAAATAGTTTTTATTATAAATACATATTTTTTGCTTTTCCTGCCCACCTAACTTTTAAAAAATCCAAAAATCCCATCTACTCTCATTAGAGTTGACCACAACAAAACTGCATGAGAAAAAAAAAAAAAGAATCCTTTGGATCACATGGGTGTCACACCATTGTTGGCCATGGGAGCTCAGCCTAATAAGGAGAAGATATGACAACAGAGAGAGCCCAGGGTCTTGGGCCCTTTGCACAGAACATGGTGTCCTTACTGGCAGTTTGTTTTAGGCTTAACATATTAATTTATTGCTAAAACAGGCCGGGTACAGCGGCTCACGCCTGTTACCCCAGCACTTTGGGAGGCCAGGCGGGTGGATCACTTGAGGTCAGGAGTTTGAGACCAGCCTGACCAACATGGTGAAACCTCATCTCTACTAAAAATACAAAATTAGCTGGCGTGGTGGCGCATTCTTCTAATCCCAGCTACTCAGGAGGCTGAGGCAGGAGAATTGCTTGTACCCGGGAGGCGGAGGTGGCAGTGAACTGAGATCGCACCACTACACTCCAGCCTGGGTGACAGGGTGAGTCTCTGTCTCGAAAACAAAACAAAACAAAAAAACTGATGTAGTAAAATGTGCTTTACAGTAATTACACCACAAGAATAAACTACTAGCTTAGAATTATTTGTTGTATTTCACTAATGCCAAAGACATAGATTTTTATATGTAATACAAATCCCTTATTTTATAGGTAAGATAAATATGGCCCAGAGGGATAATCAGAACTACCAAATGTCACATAGCCACTTAGTAACAGAAGAGGCACAACAGCAAGTTCTCCTAGTTACAGCTCTACACCTCATGACCTCCATGGAGCCATCCAACCTGACCACCGGGTTATCTACAAGGGAATTTTTTAAATTAAAAAAAAATTCCCTTGTAGATAATCTAGTGATCGGGTTAAAAATTCCTTTAAAAAAATCTTGCAGCAGAATTAATGAGGGTAAAGGTACATGGATTCTTTTCTTTTGACTCCTTCCATTTTTATACCTGAAGTTACTCCATGAGAGGAGGAACTCAGTCTGCATTTACTCATAACTGAACTCTCAACATTTAAGACATTTCACTAAATTAGTAATAAATTGATGGCAGCATAGAAATTTGTTTCAAAATTACTCAATAAAAATACATACTGCATTTTTCTCCAGATATTCCCCCCTAAATTATTGGCATAGTCATTAGCCCTTTATAGGAGTTTTTGAATTTGGCACCTTGACATTTGGATGGGCTAATACTCTGTTGCAGGAGGCTGTCCTGTGCACTACAGAATGTTTAGTAGCATCGCTGGCCTCTGCCCTATACATGCCAGTAGCATACCTTCTGGTTCCTCCCCATCCCACTGTCCAGTTTTAACAACGAAAAATGTCTCCAGTTGTCAAATATTCCTGGGTCAGGGTTGGGGTGGGTTGTGGAGCACAATCGCCCCTGGTTGAGAACTCCTGATCTAAGGTGACAGCATATCCACCCACCCTCGACCGTCCAACCATGTGATTCATGGGACATGGAAGCTTGATGAATCAACCAACTGAAAATTAAAAGATACACATAGAAAGCACTCAGGAGGCTGGGTGTGGTGGCTCATGCCTGTAATCCCAACACTTTGAGAGGCTGAGGTGGGAAGAACACTTGAGCTCAGGACTTCAAGACCCACCTGGGTAATATAGTGAGACCCTGTCTCTACAAAACATTAAAAATTAACCAGGCATAGTGGTAGCATCTACAATCCCAGCTACTTGGGAGGCTGAGAGGGGAGGATGACTTGAGCCCAGGAGGTTGAGGCTGCCATGAGTGTCATGATTGTGCCACTGCACTCCAGCCTGGGAGACAGAGTGAGACCCTGTCTCAAATAAACAAAGAAAAAAAAAGAAAGCACTAGCACTCAGGAAATATAAGTATGAATTGAATTAGATATACTCTAATCTGCTTATTTCAAACATCATCACTTTTGAAGACATTATGCTAAGTGAAATAAGCTGGTCACAAAAGGTCAAATATTGTATGATTCCACTTACTTGAAATACTTAGAGGAGTCAAATTCACAGACAAAGTATAATGTCGGCTGCCAGGGGCCAGGGAGAGGAGGAACGTGCAGTTATTATAGAATGAGTGCAGAGTTTCAGTTTGGGAACATGAAAAGAATTACAGAAGTGGGTGGTGGTGATGGCTGCACAACAATGTGAATGTACTTAACACTACTAAGCTGGACACTTGAAAACAGTGAAAATGATAAATTTTATGTTACATGCTTTGACCACAAGGCCTAAATTAGACCAAATTATCACAAGGCCTAATTCCACAAAGCACGAAGCAGGCCCAGCGCGGCGGCTCACACCTGTAATCCCAGCACTTTGGGAGACCGAGGAGGGCCGATCACCTGAGGTAAGGAGTTTGAAACCAGTCTGGCCAATATGGTAAAAACCCGTCGCTACTAAAAATACAAAAATTAGCTGGGCATGGTGGCAGGCGCCTGTAGTCCCAGCTACTTGGGAAGCTGAGGCACGAGAATCGCTTGAATCCGGGAGGCGGAGGTTGCAGTGAGCTGAGATTGCGCCACTGCACTCCAGCCCAGGTGTCAGAGTGAGACTCCATCCCAGGGGAAAACAAAATAAAGCACAAAGCACCTAGATAAGATTTAAAATCCCCACATTCTCCCATAAACTTGAGTTTTTGCTTTTGTAGTTGTTTTGTTTTGTTTTGTTTTGGTTTTGGTTTGGTTTGGTTTGGTTTGGTTTGACAATAAATTCCTTAGCTAAGGAATCCAAAAGCTAAGAAAATCTTCCTCTTCATTTGTGGCTGAGAGCACAGGAGCAGCAGAGACAACCGCGGCTCTGGGGCCTGCTGCAGAGCAGCACAGGCACACACCAGGACATGGGCCCTCAGGGAGGCCCCCTGATTTAAGAGTCTTCTCGTGTGAAATGCATCCAGCCCAGATCCCCTAAGGACCTGGCCTGTGGGTCATGTCAGCCCAGAGCCCTTCCTATTGCCAGGATGCTCTTGACAAAAGACAGTCTGGCACGGAGCAGCAGGGCCATTATTTTCATTTAAACCATACATGTCATGTCCTGTTTGTGAGAAACATGTTAAACAATTCAGAAACACATTCACAATGGGCTCTGGAGTGGGATTCGCATTCCTATGGGCCTGCATACTGTAAACTGGGGATGGGGAAGGAGGCTGGTGGGGAGGGTGGGATGGTGCCTCTGCTCTTGTTTTAACAGAGAGCTCCTCCCCGGAAGCTCAGCTGTAAATAGAGACCCTCACATCCTTGTTTGATGTGGGTCTTAAAGTTTTCCTATGGCCAAAAGCACGATGCTCAAAGTATGATAAGCCCCCCATTATCCATGGCAGCCCAGTAACTTGAATTCCTTTAAGATTCTCTCTTACCAATGTTTATTTTAATTTTGAGAAGGAAAACAATTCCACTAAGGAAACACTCAAAAGGAGGTGAACTGCCCCATTTCCACCTAGATTGCCACAGCAGATGATCCACCTGCAATGACTAAAAGGCATCTCAGAGGTGTAAACCATACCAATATGACTGAAATCTGCGATCCTGAGCCACCCCATCACAAGAGTGTCTCAGATGGAAATGTACACACCTATAACACACAAGATGAGAAATTCCTCATTCACTGATGAAAGGAATAAATAATAAACATGGAGAAAATCACATTCAGTCAAGTGTAATTTGATTTACAACGCTGTTCACTTACCAAACATACAGTATTTATATGCAAACTTCCAAGAAAAGTACATTCTAATATATTAAAATTAGACCCCAAATCCAGGCCTTTGGCCAAGTCAAATAATAAACAGTGTGATAACTACGTCTGCTTTCTTGCCATGACATTTCTTTGGTAGGGGGGGATGATTTACCATTTAAACCATACATATCACATCCTGTGGAAGTTTTTGAAAAATTGAACAATTTCCTCTAAATGCTTAAAGGCAGATTAACTATAAAGAAAAACAGAATCAAACAGAATAAAAGTACTGTAGAACCCATTAAAACATTAAAGGAAACTATATAGCTTATTAGAACAAATGTGGAGCTAGCAGATTTAAACAATACCTGCAAGGATTTGTCAGAGATATAAAAGCAAATGCTAGAATGCCTTATTTCCCTTCCCATGGGACTCATACTTTCTTTGTTGAAATATACAAAAATTCTGCAGTAATTTAAATTTTACTTTGGCTTTACATAAAAAGGTGTCCCTGGCCTCTTAAATGTAACTGGTGAATAATAATATATTTGGCCATCGACCTCCAGGCTGCAGCAGTCCATTCTTTCCTCTCTTGCCCCTGTCTGTCAAAGTAGAGATGAACACTGAGCCTCTGAGAAAGATGGAGCTCAGGCTCTTCTTGGCACCACTAAAAAGAACTTCATCTTTGCCTTGACTACAAATGCAAGAGGATTCCTGTCACAGACAGAACGGATTCTCTTGATAACAATAATCAGCATTAAAACTAAACTCAGGCCTGTGGTTGGTTAAGTCACCCCAGTTTTGTGTCTTTAGACATTAGCCAGGCAGCAGGCTTGGTAGGGCCCACCAATGCTCCAGTGATACTAAGGAACAGCTCTCTTGCTTGAGTGATCGATCTGCTAGGGCATATTCCACCCAGAGAAGGGTTTGAAAGAGAGAAAGACCAAACGATAAACTATAGATCAGGAAGAATTTTGTGACTCGTCCAATGCAGAACAGAACACCATTCATTCTTCATCAACTAATTCATTCAATCGGCGCTGTTCTGAGCACCGGAGATATAGCCCAGGCTCTCCCAGAGCTTTGATTACATAAAGAAGACTACAGACAATGAAAAAATAAACAAAACATATATATACACACACATATACACATATATGTATAAAGACACACATGTATATGTCTCTGCGTGTATATATACATACACATACAATATAATGCATATATACACAATATGATACACACACATACGGTGATGGTAAATGTTAAAAAGAAAAATATCTATACCCAAGAGAAATGAAAACACATATCCACATAAAAACTTGCACATGAATGTTCATAGTAGTATTATTCATAATAGCTAAAGAGCGGAAAAAATCCAAATGCCCATCAGCTAGTGAATAAACAAAATGTGATATATCTGTTCAATAGAATATTATTTGGCAATAAAAAGAAATGAAGCATTAATACATGCTACAACATGCAGAAACCTTGAAAACATTATGCTCTATGAAACAAGACAAACACAAAAGGCCACATATTGTATGATTCCATTTATATGGAATGTCCAGTATAGGAAAACCATACAGACAGAAAGTAGATTAGTAGTTGCCAGAGACTAAGGAAAAGGGGTAATAGACAGTAATTGCTTAATGAGTATGAGTATTTTTTTGGGGGTGGGGGTGGTTCTAGAATTAGATAGTGGTGATGGGTTGTACTGCAAAATAAATGTACCAAAAATCACTGAATTGTATACTTTATATTGGTTACAAGGGTGAATTTTATTTCAATTTTATAAATGTTAAAAAAGAAAAATAAAACAGAGAGGGTACGAGGACAGAGGGTGACAGGGAAGACACTATTTAGCTAATGTGGTCAGAAAGTGTCTTGGATAAGCTGACAGTGAAGCAAAGACCAGAATGTAATAAGGTTATGAGCCAGAAAGATACCCGCATCTTTGTTCTCTGCCATTTCTGTCTTTGTCTCTCCCTCTCCCTCTCCCTGTATCATTTTTTTTAATTGTGGCAAATAGATGTAACACAAAAGTTGTCACTTTAACCATTTTTAAATATACAATTCAGTGGCATCAATCACATTCATAGTGTTGTACAACCACCACTATTATCTAAAACTTTTTATCACCTCCAAGAAAATTGCTATTCTTCTTTTAATGCTACTGTCAGGCCACTAATACAGAAAACAAAACAAAACAAAAACCATGACTAATAACTAGCAAGAAAAAAGGTGAGCTGGGAGCATACTTTCATTGCTGTTCAGTAAAGGGTAAATGATGATGATTACAATTGTTTTACATAGGCTACTCAGGCTCCTTGGAGAGAGAGAAAGCTGGGTATGGTGGAAAAAGAGATGTCTGGCAAGATCAGCCTTGTAGTGAGAAGGTCCTTCCCTCATCATGAAACACTCGATTTTCAATGATTTGCTGACTCATCAAGTGTGGACCCTCATCTCTGAAATGGTTGGGTACCTCTTCACATCCCATCTATTCTACGGAATGGACAGCCATCCAACCAAATCTAGGTCTACAAACTCCCAGCCTCTCCTTCACCTGCTCCCCAAATGGTACATAACCTCAAAAAATACAACAGAACTATTTTGCTATAACTTGGCATTAAGCCTTAATAATTTATAGAAAGAGCAGTAATTTTTTTCTCCTGAAACTTGTGACATATAAATATATGTATATACATATACATGCATACACACATAGACACATATGCCATAACTAAACCTCTATTTTAAAAAGGAGACATACGCTACTTAAAGATAAAAACAAGTAAAGATGGCTAACATTTTATTAGTTTGAACTAATATGAGTTGGTTCCTATTAAACACAGCATTCTCAGCTTTATTTTCTCATAATGTCATTCTTACTCTGAGCTATAACCCTGTTTATATATTACATGTCTTTGTTACATGTAAGAAGGAATTTAAATTTACAATGCTGGCAGGAGAAATGGATATATTAACTCTAAAATAAAAGCTCTTATTCAACATACTTAAAAGTACTTAAAACACTACTGATAGTAAGCTGCCACGAGGCAATGTGTGATCTACATGACTCTGAGCAAAAATATTTAAAGGAGGCTCTGATGCCTATCACAAAAGCACACTGCTGCTCACAATGAAACAGAAGATAGGTATCACAGCCCTCTGAGAAGCATCCAAGTGCAAGCAGTAGGTGTGTCCTATCTTAAAGTGCTCTGATTTACAAAGTCAGAAGAAACATTTTGATTCAAAATACAAGTCTCTATATTGTAGAGCAAGACAAAAATACTCTGCAACACACCTAGGCTGAAAATACCACAAATGTAATTCCTAGGTGATCTCCTTTACAGCAGGCGCATCACATAGCTGACAGAGTAGGCAGGGTCCGGGCCAGCCTCAACACCACTCTCTGCTTTAGAGCTGGGCAGCTGGATTCTGTTTTCCTGGCATGCTAGGCCTATGTTCTCAATCTACTCACTTGCTGAGGTTGCACCCTGCCAGCCTTCCCTTAGCCGTTCTGCTCCCTCTGCCCAGCACCAGATGTCCTCCTGACCCCTGCACTCTATCCCTAATTTTGCAAAGAACTGACCTGGCTCCTTTACAGCCCCAGTGCACCCTCAGCACCTTCCCATTTTGCATCCAGCAATTCTATTAGTTGGACATGGCCATGTACTTCTCCCAGCAAGCCCTCAAATACTCACCCCTCTCCAATAGCGTCCAGCTCTCATACTCCATCTCTTCTGACTGTCCCTAGTCCAGATGGAGAGACATACAGCTCTTTTGGGGTCACTTCCTGGGCTGCTGGGGGAGGCTACTGGACTTCCTGGATGGGGGCTCACAGTGCTTAGCTCCATGGGGAAACTTTGCCCACAAAATCGTTTCTTATTTTTTTCCCCTTTCTTCTTCGCTTCCACCCACCCCTTCCCTCACCCCCTCGCAGTAACTCTAAACTGTTTACTGTTTTTGAACACCTTCATTCCTGCAGGGCTTCAACAGCAGTGTGGCCAAGTCAGTGGAGGGGCTGCTAAAGCTGTCTTCGTGTTTGTCTGTGCCACTGGGGCAGGGGTGTAGGATGACCTTAAGTCTCCAGGCTCCCTACCAGCCAGCCTGGCCAGGCTGCTCCTAATGAATAACAAATGGGCCTTCATGATGCATTGGCTCAGGAAAAGCTGTCATTACAAACCATTTTGTTTTTTTAGCATGTGGTAATGTATCATCTTGCTTGGCTGGATGTCATCTTCAAGAAGGTCACCAAAGGTATGTGTGCCTTTGCCCAAGACTCTCCTCCCACCCACCCACATCCCCACCACCACCCCTTCTTTAAAGGAACGAAGTGTTTGACACCCTTGTTTGGACCTATGGAGCCAGAACATCTAGGTCTCTGCTTGTGGCCTTGCTAGTCAGCTATAAACACTCCCCGTTTTGTAAGATGGAAGATCTTTAGTACAGACAGAAGACAAACCAGGGGGATGACACTGTGCTTTCAAAATTGATTTTGAGGAGGAAAATGCCCTCTGTCCTAAATTAAAAACTCAGATCTCAATTCAGAGAGTAGAAAAGGTTTTTTATCCCAAGCCTCCTACTATTCATCTTCATTTCACAGATATTTAAAGCACGTATTATGTTGCTATGGACAATTAGCCTTTTATCCAATTTTACTTGAGAGTTTAACTCTCCCACCCGAAGGTTTTAATTATACCCTCAGCCCCATACTTAGGCCTCGGTTCCTGCAGCTGGAAATCTGCCCCAGTGATGTTATAACCTTGTTAATGTAACAAAAGAGGAGTTTACTTAAAACTGGACTGACTATGGATTTAAGCCAAATTTACTTGAAAGAGGAAAGAGTCTGTCAAAAATCCTATAGTAAACACGGCAAAGCAGTTCTTTCATAGCCTTCCCTTAATTCATAGCGACAAGCAATTTACATGTAAGTGGATTCATATGCTCTACCAAGAGGCCATCTCTCCAAGCTGGGGCGATGTGCACCCCCCGCCTCATCCGCCTCCTTTTTTTCTTTTCTGTCCTCCCTTTTAGTGTTTTTTTCTCTTTTCTTTTTTGGTATGTAGAGTAGGCCATTCTCCTTGGTGAAACAGCATAAATCCACAATGTTTTGATCGCCCCAAAGCATAATTAGGGCCCTCTAAACATTTACCAAGCCAGTCACTCTGAATAAAGGCAGCTGAATTTTCAGAAAGCCACTCTCAGATCTGACTGTTGTCCTGTCAACGACGCACTTTATTTTCTGCTGAAGCCTGCTTAAAAAGCTCGAAAAACTCCCCTGCTAATGAGGTAAGAGTTGTGAGCTTTGAGTAGGAATTGCTGATCAAATACCAGAGCCCAAGTTTTTCTCTGTTGCCAAAATCCTGAGGGCTTCTTACCTTCTGTTAATTAGATTACCTTTTTTAGTCCACACACTAACAAAAAGCATACATGAGACTAAACACAGTATGACAGCAAGGAAGGGACTGAAGAGAGAGCCTTCTGAGAAGACATTAAAGAAAAATATCACTCTTAATATCCCTGGATAAACGGGGGTAAAAGAGACTACACGGGTTATTTCAGTCTGCAACGGGGGAAATCCCTGACATTTTAGAAGCAAAAACCAAAAAACTAATTTCCCCCAAATAGAAAGGTAGGGGTTTGCTGTAGCTACGCTATTTTCAACTGTGCTCGTTGACAAAACCCATCCATAGCAAACAACTGGCCAGCACTCAAGTTTCTTTCATGCATTTTGAAAGTTTAATTAGTTCTAACTAGATCAAAAGTTGCTTTTCCCCCTTTTGGCATGTATCTGTATCATTTCTGTGCTATTTGGAAACTGCTAGACATCAAAGGCAGATCCATCATTCTTGAGGAACCTCCACTCCTCGGATGAGATTCAGATCTACCTTGCCTTCCTTACTACGGATCTCATGGAAGCCAGCGCAGCTGGTTGCACCCCAAGATATGCACATAGCTCATTGTCACTCCTCCTGAAGAGCTCCTGGTGCCAAGTAGCAGAAATGCTCCTTAGAATGCCCCTAGACAACCCCAAAGCAAACATAACATGTGGAAACATGGCAAATCCTCCAAAACAGAGAACCTGTGAAAAATATTCTAAGATGGAGAAAGTCCAGAACTTAGCATCATTTAAGCCTTTAACAGCCCATGATATAGGGACCTGTTTTAATTACTCTAAAGTTATCCTAATTTTTTTTTCATTTCTCTCTCTCTCTTTTATCCTTTTTGCTATTCATTCTAAGGTCTTTTGTTCAAAACTTTGAACTGGATTAGCAAATTACTAGGCAAATCGACTATGTACCCAAAGCCTTCTAGTTAGGAGAGCTTAGAGGTTATAAAAGCCCCAGGCCTTGTTGGTAGAAGGCCAAGGTTGGCATCTCAGCCCTCCCCCACATTAGCTGTGTGCCTTGGGCAAATTTATCTAGCCTCTCTGGGCCTCAGTTTCCTTCCCTGTAACTTGGGGAGAATATTCTCTCTTTCATCAGGTTGTTCCAAAGAATTAGTAAGATGTAAAACACTGAGCCCTGTACTGTGTTTTATAGGCCGAATATGCCCATAGGCCATGCTCAGCCAGTGTTAAACATCACTCTAATCGAAGTAACCACTTCTACTTCTAGAGGATAGAGTTGCAGTGTTCTCTGCTATGGCCTTTTAACTACAAAAGTGAGGTTGTTTTAAGCTCCAATTTTTGATTACATACTATGTGCCAAGAACTGAGCTAGAAGCTATTTAAGCAAAACACACACAAACACACACACATACACATATATGTATTTTATGTATGTGTGTGTGTGTATATATATACATATATATTCACACATTTTTTTTGGTCAGAGTGGCAAGCTCTATGGGCTCCAAATTCTAGTTGCTTCTTCATCTATGCAGAGTCTCTGGCATCTGAGAGAAGCCATATGACCCACTTCAGGCCAACGACATAGCAAAGGTCCTTGGAAGGGGGTGTCCCTTCCTAAATATGGAAAGATGTCCTTTCCTACAGGTAAGGTCATTTGGCACTTATACTTCCTCCCGTTGGGACACAGATGTGATGGCTAGAGCTGTGGCAGAAATTTTGCAACATGAAGACAAAAGCTGGCTATAACAGGATAAACTAGGATGGCCTAGTTTATCCTGGACTGCCTGTCTCCAGACTTGACTGTTACGTGAGAAAACATATTATTCTATTTGTCAGGTTTTCTGTTAGAGCAGGCAAGTACATTCTTAGCTGATATCTACCCTGATTTCTCTTTGGCCTAGAAGAAGCTACAGAGAAAAGAGGATCTCTGGACACTTTGCAGATTTACTTGGACCTATTTAAGAAATAATTAGAGGCCAAATTGAGATGTCGAATTCTGCTGTTCAAACCTGTCACACTTCCCTTTCCAGCAGACCCACCACATGCAGCAGGATCACACAACACAATGACTGAATTATGGTTTTATCATTGTCTGCAATATTTTGACTTCCCTTGGGTTCCAAAATATTATGTTTTAAAATCTCCATACTTGCCGTTGGTTGGGTTCCAAAAAGAAAAGACATTACTGGAGAGCCTGTGCCTTCCTAAGAAGCACTGACAAGAGGACATCTTGAAGTGAGCACATTAATGGGTGTCCTTTAAACCCTCCACTTCCCATTTTCCCATTAGAGCCTCCTTAATTTGGCACCCCAGGATTCACTTAAATTACCTTCTTAGCTGGGATTAGGGGAGCAAAAGGAGACCACAGAGCCCTGACCCTGACAGTTCAAACTGTCAGCGCCAGGAGACTGACATTTTTCTCCTTGCTAATCCTGCACTGTATGGCATGGTCTCAATTTTGGAGAAATCTGAATGCTCATACACTTAGCCAATCCTCAAGTGATTCAGATAGACTCAGTACTGGATAAGTGAGGCACTTATGTATCTTGAATATCTCTGCTTGCTCGACGCCAGGGCCTCAATATTTTGATAAAGCGATGACAGGAAAAACACAGAGAACAAAAAGCAAAGGCAAAGAAAATACTATAAGTACATGGAAAAACTATGAACTGCTGGAATTTATTTTGTGTGTTAGAGAAGGAATATAGTTCCCTAATGCAATTTTCAAAATGTAGATTTTAGAGGCCAGATTGGTTTTCCTTCCTTTTTCAAGGAAACTGAAGCAGAGTTGGGCTCAGAAAATTCAAATTCAAGGGCCAATTTCTAAAAGCCACTTTGAATGGTTTTGCTCCAGAATGTGCCAAAAAAGTACACCAAAAAGAACTTTGAAAACCTTCTCTGTCTGTAGCAGCACTGTCAAATAGAAATACAGCACAAACCAGATTTTCTAATAGCCACATCATAAAAGTAAAAAGAAACAGGTGAAATTAATATTAATATTTTTATTCAACCCAAAGTATTAAACATGTAATTAATATATAAATTATTACTGAGATGCTTTCTATTCTTTTTTCACACTAAGTTTTTGAAACTGTGTGTGTTTTATACTCATAGCACATCTCAATTGTACTAGCCGTATCTCAAAATCTCAATAGCCACATATGGCTCATGGCTACAGTACTGGATAGCACTAGTCTATAGTACCTATCCTCTCTGTAACACACACACACACACACTCAGAGTTAACAGCATAAAGGTTGTCATTATAGCAGGATGATATGTAGCTCTTTTTCACCCCTTCTACCCATCCCATATACTCAGTAGACTGCAGAAGACATAAATCAGCAGCAGGTATATATATATATATATATATACACACACACATATATATATACATATATATATATATACACATATATATACACATATATATATACACATATATATATACACATATATATACACACATATATACACATATATATGTGTGTGTGTGTATATATGTATATATATGTGTGTGTGTATGTGTGTGTTTATATGTATATTATATATATATAATAGCTTAATCCAGATAAAGTTTTTGTTATTCACCATTTCTGACTCTAAAATAGCAGTTTCATATGGTACAAATAAATATTTTAACCCAAAGATTTCAAGAGAGGAGTTACTGTGAGATTCAGAACTAGGCATATAGTGGATCTTCCAAAAAGTTACTGACATGAGTGGCTGCTAATTGCAAAGATAACAACCACTGTGTATTTTACATCCATGTGCAGCAATTCATTAACTATTAACACACTTGGTTCCTTCTTTTTAAGCCAACATGCAGTTTCTATAAGTCTGACCAAAAGATAATATTTTATCAAAAAGCAAGGCACTGGCCAATGATAGGTGCTCCTGGCCACCATGTGCAGCTTAAGGTTTATGGCTGCAAATGCCTGAAAAGATATAACTTAAATGCCTCAGAAGCCCTTCAAACTCAGTCTTTGCCAAACTGTCACCATCATCACAATCACAGTCATCATCATCAGCAGTACCACCACCACAGCCATCATCATTGGGTCATCATCACCATTGTCATCACATCATTATTACTGTCATTATAACCATCATCACAACCATCATCATCATTATCACCATCACCGCCATAATCATTGTTGTCCATCACCACTACCAACACCATTATCACCATCATTACCATATCTCCTGTTTAGTAAGTCCTTACTTAGTCTCTTTTACCCACTTCTTCACCTGTTGAACTATTCAATCTTTAAGACCCAGTTAAATATCGACTTTAAGCCACCCCTGCAACCACGTCACAGGCCAAATGAATTTCTCTCTCATTTCTTGGGAACTACTGAAAAAGCCCTTTGTATATATCTAGGTTATAACATAATGACCCAATTATATAATCTTCTCTACCTACTTTCAGCTCCTACAACTAGGCCTGGTACTTACTACAAGACTCAAAATAAATATAAGTTGATTGAATTCAAATGAGTGAGTTTCACTTCAAGCACCAGTGCCTTTCACTTGGTAATACATTCCTTCGATGCTGAGCTAAAAAATGATTTTGAGGCTGTGATCTGATATTTCCAATCATTTTATATATATTCTCCTTTCAAACAGGCTGTATATAAACATAGGCATGGACTATAACTCGTATGTCTTTGCAGATTTCGGAGCACTCTGCAGAGACCCCCTTTAATAAATATTCACATACCATACAATTCACCTACAATTCACCATTGAACTACAGTTCAATGAGTTTTTGTACATTCACAGAATTGTGAAAACATCACCCACAATCAAATTTTAGGAATTTTTTTTCACCCCAAACAGAACCCTATACCCATTACCAGTCACCTCTCTCACTCTCCTTCCACCAGCCCTAGGCAACCACTAATCCATTTTCTGTCTCTATAGATTTGCCTATTTGTCATATAAATTAGATCATACAATGTGGCCTTTTTGACTGGCTTCTTTCACTTAGCATGATGTTTTCAAGGTTCTCTCATATTGCAGCATCTATCAATACTTCATTTCTTTTTATTATCAAGTAATAGTGCATTGTATGGATGTACCATCTTTTGTCTATCCATTCAACATCAATTCATCCATTTGACTTGTTTTCACTTTTTGGCTATTATACATAATGCTGCTATGACCCTTCATGTACAAGTTTCTGTGTGACAACATGTTTTCATTTCTTTTGGGTATATATCTAGAAGTTGAATTGCTGTGTCATATGGTAACTTTGTTTAACATTTTGAGGAACTGCCAAACTGTTTTCCAAAGTGGCCGCACCATTTTACAGTCCTACTGGCAAATGTATGAGGTTTACAGTTTCTCCACATCCTCACCAACACTTGTAATTGCCTGTCTTTTTTCTGATAACCATCCTAGTGGATGTAAAGTGGTATCTCATTGTGATTTTGATTTATATTTCCCTAAAGACTAATAACTTTAAGCATCTTTTCATATGCTTACTGGTCATTTGTATATCTTCTCTACAGAAATGTCTATTCAAATCCCTTGCCCATTATAAAATAAGGTTATTTGAGTTTTTATTGTTTAGTTATAAGAGTTCTTATAACTCTTATAGAGGATACATATCCCTTACAAGCCACATTTTGAAATATGACTTGCAAATATTTTCTCCCACATTGTAGTTTGTCTCTTCTTGATAGTATCGTTTGTAGCACAAAAGTTTTTAATTTTGATGAAGTCCAATTTATCACATTTTTCTTTAGTTATTTGTGCTTTTGGTGCCATATCTAAAGCAGCTTTATATAACCCAAGTTCACCAAGATTTATGCTGATGCTTTATTGTAGGAGTGTTACAGTTTTAACTCTTACATTTAGGTCTATGATCCATTTGAGTTCACCTTTGTGCATGATGTGAAAGAGCCCTGTACATAGCTTAGAGTTTTAAGAAATCATCCATTAAGTTTTTTGTGTATTTCACAGCCACATTACCAATAATGTCTTCCTTAATGGCAACAATATTTGAGTATGCTTTCTCTTGAGTATTTTAGAGAGAGATTTAGCATTCAAGATGTCCAGAGAAATTAATACAGGAAGAACCTGGGAAAGCTTCAAAGCTTGTTCATCATCAAGTCACTGTTAATGTTGGTAAAATTCCCCCAAAATTGATTTTACATCGTCTTGGATATCTTTTATGATATAAAAGATGGTTATATAATTTTATATAATATAAAAATGGTTATACAATGATATAATTGTCTTGAATGATTTATATATTCTGAAAATTGAAAATTCATTAGGAATTTATGTTTTGTTTTGTTTTGTTTTGTTGCTTTTTGGTGTTATTTATCCTTCCTTCCTCCCTCCCTTCCCTTCCTTCCTGTTTTCTTTCTCAACACACTCTCTTCCTTCCTTCCTAAGTCCCTTCCTTTCCTTCCTTCCCACCTGCCTTTTTCCCTTATTTACTTCCAAATTTCCTTTCCTAATTCCCCTCTCAAATCAAGTGTAAGCTGCCTGAAAACCTCCTCTATGTCTTGATCATCTTGGCAGGACTTTCCCACCCACCACACCCACCTCCCACACACAGTGCCTAGCACAGGGCCTGGCATGTGGTAGGTGTTCAATAAGTGTTTTAGGGTTTAACTCAAATAGTTAAGCCCTTTCCATGAGTTCTGAATCTAAGCTGTAAGGGTTCTAGTCATCCGTAGTGACCATACATACACAATGCCATCTGTATTCAGTTTGGGTGGTGGAGGGAGGGGAAGCATTTATTTTACAATGACTAGAGAATAATAAGCATTGCTTCATGTAGATGAAAAAAACAAGAGAAAAAATTGTAACAAAATGCAATCGCATCTATGTGAAATGTATGCATGAGAAAAGAGACTAAAGGAAAACAGAAATAAAATGTCAAGTCTTTTTCTTGAGTAAACTCGTTCTTCTTTTTGCTAGTCAATATTTCTCATAATATGTATGCATAATTTCTATTTTTTTAAAAAGATAAAACTATTTCAAAGTAAATATCATTTACTCTTGATTTTCAGATATTAAAAGAGATGTAATGTCACTGCTATTGGTCACTTTAAAATGTCAAATAAGAGAAAGCACTTTTATAGCTATAAAGTTTTATACAAATTTTTATTTTGTATAAGAATTATTCTTATCTTGAATGATATAATATTATTCTTATCTTGGATAATCATAAAACAATGATTCAACCTTATTCAGCCCATTATACTGTTAAAATACCTAGCACTACTAGAATTTCCGATCATCTAGCATAGATAATTTTGCATATTCATTTGGCCCTACCATGACGATAGCTTACCTCCTCCTCCTCCTCTCTCCTGCTTTCCTGACGATGTGTACGTTTCTACATATTAAAGAAGAATTTCCTGGTCCCTTAATCTTTAAGTGAAGTAAGCTCTACACTTTCAGGACTTATTAGAAAGCACCTAAGTGGGACGAGTGTGGTGTGTGGACCATGGAACTGTGCACAAACACAAGTGCACAGTCAAGTCCTGCATCTACAACAGGCAGGCTTTTCTCCAGATGTGGAGTGAGTGGGCCATGATATAATCCACATCTAAAAAGTGGGAAAATCCACTGGATTCCTGTAAACTGTTTGTTGACTGGATTTAGGAACCCTGGAGCCTGTAGTTAGTTATCATTTCTGTTCTGGTGCCATTGAGGCCGAAGTGAATGGTGCCAAGAGAGTTTCAGGAGACAAGGGCATAATTCAGACAGCTCACAAGAAAAAGAACAAAGACATCTCTGGTAGCAGAAGCTGGCTCTCCCTCCCTCCCGGCTGATTTGGTGAAGCCCCTGTTCTGTGGACTTCCACATCAGAGGCTGAAGCCGTCCTAGCCCTCTGCTGGCTGCTGCTCAGTAAAAACACCATACCATTCCATAATTTTGATCATTATTACTTCCTCAGTTAATGAAACTTAAAGCATGTTTTCAGAGATGCTAAGGGGCAGAGGCCCGTTTTGGCTGAGGTCAGCCTTGGCAGGAGTCAACTCTTCTTTTCCTAAGGTTTTATATTCTTTTTTAAAATCGTATTATTTCAAGTATTGAAATAAGAAAACATTAGATTATGCAATGGAAAGTGGCTCATGGTTGCTGCCACAGATTTTCATGTATATACTTTTAGTTGTATTAAAAAGCTTAACTCCAAGCTGGAGTTTTAAATAATATTTTCCAGGCTCAAGATCTCCCTGAAAAATTCCAAGCCAGTTCTGGGAGCCTCTTTCATTGTATATCTTATTTTTTTCTAAATCCTTCCTTATTATAAACATATAAATTATTCCTAATACCTTCATGAGGGAAAGGTAATGCCAAAAATTTTATATCCAGTTACAGTTGACCAATGTGAATGTAAACAATGTTGCTACGCATTTTGGAGATAGCCTCTCTAATGGCAGCTTGGGATAAATGACTTGGGTTAGTAGCCAGCTTTCAGTGGTAACATGTTAAGAAGAATGTGAAAATGGAGGAAAAAGGGGGTCTCTAGCCCTGCTTGGTGGGGAACCTATTTGTCTTAAGGCAAAGATAAGGTTAGGAGTCAAGGATGTTGTGGTAGAAGATTATCTATTATTGCCTACTTACGGAGATGACATTTTGGAACCTCCTCTCCTCCCCTCATACAAATGACAGCTTTCAGCAGAACCTTCCAGAACTGTTCTGAACTTTTAGCAAGACTCCATCTGTTTAATCATCAAATTCTTTTTATTCACCATTTGAATATTTTTTTGATTATGGGTTCCATATGAAACCATTCTTCTGTCCCCCCTTCTTTACCTCCCCAAATTCTTCCACCACACAGGTCGTAGTCTCAGTTGAAATGACCCTCCCTCCTGAAAGCATTCCTCAACCACATGACTCCTTCCCATCTGGAAAGCCCCATGATACCCAGGTCTTTGGTCTTTCCTTCCCAGAGCACTTACCACCCTGTATTATAATTACCAGCTTATCCCACCAACTTCCTTATTAGAGTGTGAGCTCGACTAGGCAGGGACCATGTCACTAGGGCCAGATGCAGCACCCTCCCAGAGAAGATGCCCAGTAACTATTTGTGGAATGCACAGAGAAAGAATGCACAATATCCAAAGGAGATGAATCTTCAAAACCCGTCACAAGAAGAGAAGGGGGAACCGACACTTTCACAGAGAGGCGAGAAGATTCTGCAGCATAGAGTGTATTGACAAGAGGAGAGGACAGAACTGTCCTAAACACTCAAGGGTTGTGAAAAACCGAATACATCAGTGGCCTCAAAAAGCAAATGTAAAAGAACCAAAGAACCAGGAGGTGAAATGATAAAGTTGTTATAGTATAAAAAAGAGTACAATTTTTTTTTTTTTGAGACAGGGTCTCACTCTGTCACCCAGGCTGGAGTGCAGTGGTATGATCTCAGCTCACTGCAACCTCTGCCTCCTGGGTTCAAGCAATTCTCCTGCCTCAGCCTCCTGAGTAGCTGGGACCACAGACGCCCGTCACCACGCCTGGCTAATTTTTAGATTTTTAGTAGAGATGGGGTTTCATCATGTTGGCCAGGTTGGTCTCAAACTCCTGACTTCAAGTGATCCTCCCGCCTCAGCCTCCCAAAGTGCTGGGATTACAGGCATGAGCCACCATACCCGGCAGGGTAGACTTTTCAAGAGACAGAGTTCTCTGAAGAAGGAATGAGTTCCCTCAATGTTAAGTAGATTTATTAAGACTTGCTACTTAGCAAGTCTTAGCAATCCATGCTAAGTGTTTTACATGTACCAACTCATTTAATGCTCAGAAGAATCCCACAGGGGAGGGAATGTGATTTACACACTTGGCCAAGGTCACAGAGCCAGCAGAGCAGGTGTAGGGCCAAGATTCAAATCCAAGTCATTTGATCCCCTGAAGCCTGGACACTTACCCTCGTGCTAATGCAACCCTCATCACCCAGGGGTCAAGCAGATACTAAGAGACCCATTCCCAGGGGGCTAAGGAGCCCAAGGAGTTAAGGAACACCAACGGATGAGATTACAGAGCAGAAACACTGTTTCCATGACGACATTTAATTGTCACCACTCAGTCTTCCTTGGCTCAAAGCCAACTCTCAACAGAACTGTGATGGACGCAAAGTCTGTTTTGGTGTGGGACTGTGGCCTTCACATTTCTCACCCCATTTCAGATACCTTCTCTCCCTAGCTTCCATTGCAGCCAGGGCTAGAATGCTGCTCAAGTTCCTGACCCAGCTGTTACGGCATTTTGAATCAATCCTCTCTAGAGCAAACAGATTTGAAAGTCAATTCAAGCCCAACACAAAAATCTAGCTCAACCCAGTGATATCCCTGGTTACCTAATTGAGGGATATTTGGATATGGAAACCACCCCACTGACCCCACAAATCACCAAAGTGGTGTCAAAGTTGGATGTACAATAGACATTCAAATAATCAATACTGGAGTAAGCTCCCAGAAAGCTGGGACTAAGCCATGACTGGATCAACATCTAGTACAGTGGGAGGTCCTCAGTTATTGCTCAATAAATGAGAGTTGAATTAATTAAT
Source organism: Homo sapiens (assembly GCF_000001405.40). Lineage (NCBI taxonomy): Eukaryota > Metazoa > Chordata > Mammalia > Primates > Hominidae > Homo > Homo sapiens. The sequence continues at coordinate 55,871,277 of NC_000003.12, forward strand.
GCTCCAGAGCAAGCAACCATGAAGAAGTGAATTTTTTCCCAATAAAACAGGTGGTTTTGGGGGTAAGCCAATGTGATGCTTAAGAAAAACAGTGCAAGAAGCTGAGTGGCTTATGTTCAGACCTCACCAGAGATTCAGGTGTTTAATTTCCCTACAAAGAAGGCTTAATCTCAGTTTCATTCTCTGCAGAAAAGCTACCATTAATCAGCATCCAAGAACCCTTAGGTGTAGATAATGTGACCAATGATCAGTTCAAGTTCACACTCTGAAAGTTGTTTCTTCAAAATCCGGAAGAGGCACCATTCGGCCAAGAAGTTGAAAAGAGACAGGAATTTATATGCAGAAATGTCAATAATCATAAAGAGATAACAAAACTCTAACGAAGATGTAATTATGTCAACCCTGGGACATCAAGACTTAAGCAAAATCCTCAAAGAATAGAGCCAAAATCAATTAAGGAATGTGTCAGTGGTGTAATCCTTCTGATTTCCCCATATAATACCACCAAATGGTCCATTTTGCTGTTTTACAGCAATATTTTTTAAAAAATTAAAATCTAAGCCTTTCATATTTGGGTGCCAGAGGGTTTCAACTCTAGGGGGAAAGGTCTTCATTAGAATTCACCTCTACTTTAAAGAGTTTGTAATTTGGTGTCAAGATGTTTATCTGAAAAAATAATGTTTATACTGAAATATTTACAGATGAAATGACATAATATCTTAGTTTTGCTTCAAAATAATCTAGGGATGAGGCAAGGAAGTGGGGAATAGAAAGGAAACAGACTGGCAATGAGCTGATAATCGCTGAAATTGGATGGAGGTCATGTGGGGGTTCACTTTACTTTAGTATATAATTGACATTTTAAAAATTAACAGTAATTTACCCAAGCCCATTGGCCCAACAGGGAAGAGATGGTGTTCCTAGGAATACTCCACTCCATTCTACAGAGGCATCTCCTGCCTTTGGAGGAAGAGAAACCACTACTCATCAACACCAGACTCATGGTCATACCTCATTTGAGGGCTTGTGTGTTTCTCTCCACATATCCGCATGGATGCCAGGCTTCCATGCAGGCTTCTCATGGCAATTTCTAAAAAAATAGGATTTACTAGGGGATTCTTAATTAACCAAAATTACTTAAAAGTCTGTTCTCCAAATATAGGCATTTGAGAAACTCAGCTTTGCAAATGCAGTTTACTTAACTTCAATAGAAAAGCCTTCTCAACAAATGAAAGCCTGCAAAGGAAAGCTTCGTAGCTATTTAGGAAATAGTTCTCCAGAAATTTGAGAGGCAATGCCCAGACATGACAGTAGATTATAAAAGGTTCATATTGGAATCAGTTGCATAGAACTGAAAAGGTTTATGTCCCCAGAGAAAAGAAAACGGCTCTGATTGATGGCCAAGTGTCCAGGATATACCACCAAAGGCTGAATAGTGGAAAACGCTCCTCTCTAAGCTTTCTGAATCTACCTGGTCTGGGCCCCTCTGCCTCCAGAGGTGCTGGGCATGAGCCAGTGTTAAAACTCTACTAGTGCCACTAATACACCGGCTCAAGGTCCATATTTCAGGAAAGAGCTGGGCCACAGGTCCAAGGTGAGAAACAACAGACAGATACAGGCTAGGACTAGACCAGCTGTTCTCAAACAGGGGTGATTTTGCCCTCTAGAAAACTTCTGGTGGTAATGTCTGGAGTCATTTCTGATTGTCACAACTGGGGGAGGGAAATTGACACTGTCATCTAATGAGCAGAGGCCAGGAATGCTACTAAACACAGGATAGGCCCCACAAGAAAGAATTATCCAGCTCAATCTCAACAGGGCTGCCCTGAGAAACCCTGGACTAGAGCAACATTTGCCAAAATAATTCCCCCACAGCTCTCCTGCATGGAATGATGGAAGTGTTGATGGGAGCCAATGCAGAGTGGGCAGGAAGAAAGGAAAAAGAGGGTCATGCTTCTAGTGTGCCCACATCCAAATGTATTCTCCTCACAAAAGCCAGAGGCAGGGTGGTGCCATTGTTAAACACATGGCCAAACCACAGGACAATCCTGAGAGGTTCAAATCCCACCTTTGCTGTATGACCTGGGACTAGTTACTTAACCTCTCTGAGCCTCTGTTGCCCGAAATGTAAAATAGAGATGATAACAGTACTTATCTTGGAAGGTTGTTGTGAAGATTAAATGAATTGATATATATAAAGATCTTTACACTGTAGTTATTTGTTATGATTTTCAAAACACAATCCAGTCATGTCATTTCCATTCAATGAGTTTCTGCTTTAGGATAAACATGAATAATCTGATGATGGCCCCAAGGCCCTGGGTGGTCTGGCCTCTGCCCACCTCTCCAGCCTCAACCAATCTAGTTTTCCCCTTTGATCTCTATGCTCCAGTCACACAGGCCTCCACTGAGCAAACAGAAGGCAAGTCAGTCCTTCTGCCACAGGGCCTTTGCATAGGCAGATCCTCTCTTATGGACAAACTCCCCTTGACCCCACCCACCATCCCCACCCCTTCACCTAATGTAGCTCCCAGACACATCTCAGGGTGCCTTCAGGAAGCATGGGTCCAGGGACCTCTCCTCTTTCATACACTTACCCAGCTGTCATTCTGCATTCTGATGTCTCATCCTTTGACTGGACATTAGACTGTTAACTAGGTAGTCAATAAATAAATATTTGTTTATTCTCTCAAGAAATAACTGACTTCCCAGCATGATTTGTTTTATGAATGAGTCAGTGACTAAACAAATGACTGAATCCATGAGAAGGAGCGCTTAGCTTGCCTGACCTCAGTCTAGTGTGTTGCATTAGAGCAGTTGCAACAAAAAGCTGCAATTGCCTTCAGCTTCCTGGAAACCAAAAATGCTCTGAGCTTGCCTCAAAGAATGCTACCCATACCTTGGAGGCAGTTGACTTGTACTTGGCCAGGGACTCCTAGAATGTTCTCTTTGCTTCTGTCTCAAGAAACTCAGTCAAACCAACTTTCTCTAGGCTGAAGAATAAGGCGGGGAGGCTTTTCTTTGTACATGGAAGGAGTATGGGGGTGTTTTCACTTGACCCAAAACTGAGACTGGCTCTGGCAACTCCAGCCCCACATCTTTCTAAGGTAGGAGCAGCAGCAGTCATTCATGTTGAAGGGTCATTTGAAAGCCATTCTTCTTTACAAAACCACAGAATGGTGGTTTTGTTTTGGTGCTTTGACTTTAGTATCAATCAGCTTATTTTCCTGGAATTACTTAATATGAGAAATGTAAACATTTTCTAGCAACATATTCTAACACTTGTTAGAATGATTTAACAATGATTTGTTAAGTCATTCTAACAAATCTTATGTATCTGACCGCGGCACCATGGCCTTCCCCACTGTACTGGTCTGAGTCCTGAAGAGAACAGAATTCGCCACAGATGATTCCAATGAGGAGACTTCCATGGAGAAGCTACAGAAGTAGGGGTGGGCAGGGTTAATGAAAGAAATGAGACCTTGAGGCATCCAGACGCTAGCAACACTGGACAGCCGTTACCACGTATCAGGCTGAAGGAGCAAAGGGAGAAATGAATCAATCCCAGCGACACTGGGAGCCATGAATGGGCACTGCTGAGAGGGAGCTACAGTCATGGAGAGAAGCTGCTATGGCCAGAGATGTGGCCCCAAAGCAAGAAGGGAAGAGGGAGAAAATCCTCTAGATTTTTTTCTCTTCCACCTCTCCCATCACCTGAAGTGCCTCTTACTGGCCCCAGACCCTCCCCAGAGTCAGCCAGCAAGGGATCCCCAGTGATGCTGCTCACAGCAGTCAGCTTCCAGGAAAAATGACCAGGAGAGGGGAAGCAGAGAATAACCACTGGGCCTACCCAATCCCACACTGCCTTATAATAAAGCATTAGTTGACAGGAGCCTTGAAAATACATTGAAGGGAACATTTTCCAAGAAAACTTCCAGAGGCAGAGCCAGGAAGAGAAAGAAGCTCCAAGCTCAGGGCTCAGTGAACTGAACACAAAAACACCAATTTCAAAATAGAGTGGAATGACAGCAATTGAACTGTTATCATAACTGCATGCTGGCACTGGCTGCAGTGCACTCTGCAAATGTCTTCAAGTAAGTGAAGCATCAGGGGTGAGGTAATAGCAGACTCTCAGAGTTGGCCTCAGCTTCCTGCAGGTTCGAATTAAGATCCCAGGGAACTGGCTTAACCAAAAGATCAAGTCAAACACTGCATTTCAATTTTCACAATCTGTTGGTTCCCAAATTCCGTGACTGGAACACAAAAGACTTGTCCCACTTGACTGGCAGCTTGGCTTTGAGCTATAGTTCTCGATCGCTTTGCTCCTGGGAACTGAGTGGTCCCCCTTAACACACCTCATTCCCCAGGCAAAATTGCCAGAGCCAGACCCTCTTTTTCTGCCCCTAAACTCATTCACACACACACACACACACACACACACACACACACTCTCTCTCTCTCACCCCTCTTCCCACATGTTTGGTCTACTTTGGTCTGCCTCCTGCCCAAAAGTCAAAATTACAATCTAGCAAGATAACCATGCTGAGACAATGCAGAAAGCATTTTGAACCCCTGTGCTTTTCAAGGCACCAGAACAGGGATAGGAAAGGGGGAAAAAAGACAAAGAGGAGAGAGAAGGATGGGGAAAAGTTAAGAGAAGAAGGAAGAGAGGAAGGAAAAGAAGAAACAGGACATGGAGTGGAAGAGAAGAGAGAGTGGGTAAGAAAGGGGGAAAGAAAAAAGAGGCAGCCAGCAAGAAGCAAAGTATAATTTTCATCAACATTCATTCATTCATTTGACAAACATTTATTGAATGTTTAGGAGGGACCAAGAACATTCAAAGCCCACCTCCATGCTATTCCTCCCTTAAAATCCTCTGAGTCTTCATTGACATGGATCCTTTTGAAATAGCTCGTTCCAGTGAGGACATAGATCTTGAGGTTTACCTTTTCATCCTTAGGGTTGAGACTTCACTTGATAATATTTGGACTGGATTTTACCAAGGCAAAGAAAATGTTACAGGAAGGCAGAGAAACCCTATGAATTGGGATTTGCCCAAGACCTGCCCTTCATGGTTGAGGCAGGCATCTGGCATCCAGGCAGCAGTTTGTTTCCCTTGGATGCCCACAGGCCCTGCGCTGTGTTCTCACTTCACCAGTGTTCTCATTTCTCTTCTATCCTTTCTGGTCTAAATGAACATTGTAAGAAGTGCTTCCCTAGAAAAAGATCTGGCTACCCAGAGGGATGTTGTGAAGAAGGAACAAATGGTAAGGAGAAACAAAAGTGGAAAGAGAGTAAAAGGGGCTGTTATAATTGTGCATCAATTTACAGGACCAGCCCAACCCTTGAGGACTGTCCAATTTCACACTCTCAATTTATAGCTGGGCACACTGTGGACCAGAAAGAACCACAGGTTAAAGAATGATGGAATTCTGGAGCTAGACAGGATTATGTTGTCTGCCAAGCAGCAGGCATTGATGGAACAGGTCTTTTGGATTCCAGCCAGGGTTTACATCTCACAGGGAGTTCCATCCCCTGAGGATTTGAATCTGAGAACTGTGTCAATTCCACTGGGGAGCTACATAGTGAGCTGGTCTTTAATGCCAAGAAAGCAAGCTAGAATCAAGAGGTCAAAGTCATCTATACAGAATGGGAAGTCCCCAGGCCACTACAACCTCTATGCCTGATCATTGTGCTGAACAGGAAAATATATCCTGTGTGAGTTCCATGTGAAAATAAGTCAAGTTAAATCAGAGATGAGACCCTACAAAGCTCTTCTCTCTTCCCTAGTTTAAGAAACACCAGTATAAAAAATGAGGCTAGTTACAGGTTCCTCAACCTCAGTACCACTGGTATTTTGGGCCAGAAAATTCTTTGTTGTTGGGGCTGCCTTATGTGTCATAGGATATTTAGCAGCCTCCTGGCCTCTACCTACTGGATGGCAGTGGCACCTCCCCTCCAGTTGGGATGACCAAAAATGTCTCCAGACCTTGCCAAAGGTTCCCCTGATAGGTAAAACCACCCCCAATTAAGGCCTCAGAGAATCACTGAATATTAATGAAATCATCTGAGTCCACAGGCCTGTTCACAGATGGAAAGACCAGGTCAGGCGTGCCTGGGCTTAACCAACTACAACTGGCAGAGTCAGGCTATGAACTAGAGTGCTCAGGGTTCTCCTCACTGCACCGATAATTCTTTTTCTTTTCTTTCTTTTCTCTTTTTTTAATTTTTATTTTTTCTTTTTTTTTTTTTTGAGACAGGGTCTCACTCTGTCACTCAGGCAGGAGTGCAGTGATGCAATCACAGTTCACTGCAGCCTCAACCTCCCAGGCTCAAGAGATCCTCCCATCTCAGCCTCCCGAGTAGCTGGGACCACAGGTACACAACACCATGCCTGGCTAACTTTTTGTATTTTTTGTAGAGACAGGGTTTTGCCATATTGCCCATGCTGGTCTCGAACTCCTGAGCCCAAGTGATCCACTGGCCTCAGCCTCCCAAAGTGCTGAGATTACATAAATAATTCTTCCTTCAGGATTTGATGTGTGATTCCTCTGTACTCTCGGCTCCTTAGTGTTTCTTTGTGTGATGTGGCTGCCCTGTCCCTTGCATCAAGGGGTTAAATCTGGCAACGCCCCCTACAGTATTAGATCAGGTACTGGTCAGAATTCTTTCAATATGTTGCTGCTCTTGGATTGGAAGAAAGGGCCAAGACTGCCTCCTCTGACTTACCATGTTTTAGGAGGTTGGAAGGCCTGAATATTTCTTTTCCCTTTTCTTAATGGGTGACCTTCCCTAGCCCCCATGCGGCTGCTGTGAAGATAGAGATAACATGAAGTATGGTGCTTGGAATTATTTAAACTCTATGATTCACAAGCATTTAGATTATTTAACTGCTGATTATGATTATTTAGGCTGAAAGACTATACTTCTCTAGCTCAGAAAATGTTTGTATTTCCATTAAAAACCACCAGGCTGAAGTCCCTTTTGACTGACATTTTTCTCTATTAAAACTATACATACAGTGCATGTTTTTGGCCGGAAGACAGTGTGTCCCTTATTTTGTTTTAAGATAAGGAAGCCAACTTCAAAGGCCTTCTCCAACTAGTTCTCCTCAGGCCCCCTTCCTCCCACCATCTCCCCATCCTGCTGTCCTCCTGCCCCAAAAAAGGGAAGAAGCACCTATCTGCCCACTGCTTTCTACTATTTAATTAAAACTGGTGCCACCATTCCCACACTTGAAATTCTTACACTGATATCTCAAGTTCTTCATTGGAAGACTGCACTCAATGGCTAAGACTGTGAACTATAGTGTCAAACAGACTTGTATTTGAGTTCCACATATATGAGCCTCAGTGTCTCCATCCACAGAATGGGGGCAATAATACTCCCCGCCTCACAGGAGGTGACAGCACTATCTGGGTGAAGTACTTAGTCCATGGAATCAGTACTTAATAAGTGTTCACTGGTAATATTAATCCCATCCCCCAAAGTCTGCATGCACTGGATAGCATATATGCCTGGGCTAATTTAATTCTCTGAAGACATTTTAATCCAAGATAGTACATTCCTCAAGGCAGGGATAGTGAAGGACTCTTGATTCTACCTGACATGCAATTTAACTCACTTTAATTATTTCTCTATAATGAGCTATGAAACACATCCCTGCTTGGCTCATATATTTAATAACCTAAGAGTTTTATGAAAAATAAATGCCTAAAAATTCAGGGAAAATTCTATTGTGGATGTATTAGAGCAGTGTCCTAAACCATGCAGTAACTTTCTTTTTTCTTTCTTTTTCTTTTCTTTTTTTTTCTTTTTCTTAATTTTTTTTTTTGGCAGAGTTTCTGCATTCAAATTAAGTCCCTCAAGGGAAGGAACGAAAAAGAGCCCAGCATTTCCTAAGTTTCATCTACGTGACAGGGCATTTATTTAGTGGAATTACATACAGGAGGGTCTTGGAGATTGCCTTTGCCTTTCACTTGGGATGAAAATTTCCTCTGCAGCATGCAAAACAGGTGAGAGTGTTCCTGCTGCTACAGAGTTCTTTTGCACTAAAAGAAAAATCTTCCTCCTCTCAAATTTTGCCTACCAACTCTAGCACAGTCATCTGAGGCAGCATGAATCAAGCCCAGTTTTCTTCTTACAGTCACTTCCTTAACAGTTAAAAGAAGCATCTGTCTTCTTGGACTTCTCTGGACCTAATACCCCTTATAGGTCAGCTATCCCCAGCACAAAGAGATTTTCAGGAATACCTCAACTTGTTCACTCACTACATGCCTCCTCACAGTCTACCAACCATGGTACCCAGAAATGAACTCAGATATGCACTAAACATACATGCATACACATACATGTCTGTTAGGAATAGACTAGAGGTGTAATTGCAAAGTTGTTTTTTACTGCTAAGTGACATAACATACCAGTTGACCTATTTTTCTTCACACTTTATTCATGTTGTCAGAGACTGCCAATTGCCCCCAATATCCATTCTTTCCTTTCCTTCCTTAGAACTGGATTCCCAGAATGCAGCTAAAGGCTATATTTCCCTGCTTGGTCTTGAAGCTAAGTATGACCATGTGGCTTAAAACCCTGGCCAGTGGGCCCCTTCCCCCACACTTGTTCTCACATCTAGTAAAATATAAGCTCCACCAACAGGAGGATTTTTGTTCATAGAGTCCTTTCTGTTCACTAAGAACAGGGCTTAGATAACTGCCTAGGGCTTAGAACAGTGCTTGCACATAGCAGATGCTCAGCAAATATTGAATAAACTGTGAAATGACTCAGATGTCAATGGATGGGATGTGTAACTTAAAGGACAGGGAGGTTTCTTTCTCGTGCCTCCTTTCTGCTGGTTGGAATAGGGATTGGATAGCTGGAACTGAAGCAAAAGTCTCACACTAAGAGGTGCAAGCAAATGCTAAAAATGGCAAAATGTCAAGACAGAAGGAACGTGAGTCCCTAGTGATTACAAAGCTACTTGTATGAGCTTCTGGAATGTGGGGTTTTCTGATTCTTGCATTTGAAGCTAACTAGAACATTCCTCTATTCTAAAGTTATTTTCTTTATAGTTAAGTTTTACTTACCCACTATAAGTTTTATGTTCAGCATAGTTTTTTTGTTGTTTTGTTTTGTTTTTGCTATAGACTATAAGCCATCAACTTCAGAGTTAAAAGAAGGAAACAGAAATCTGGAGTAGTAAGCAACTGTGCATTTATGTCACTGCCTGCAGCTAAAACCAAAATTGGTTTTGAATGAGTCATTTTTTGTGACATTTATTCCTTCCCTCTCTGCTACCTGTCCTGACTCACTACAGGTAACTCAGAAAGCTGCAATAGGCTTTATCAGTGTTCTAGCTGATTTAAATACCTGTTGGAACTGAGCAGGTAGTAAACAGAAACAGATGACAAACAGGACATTCTAGGACACATTACCATAGTATTTAATATTTTTAAAATTGGACATGTTAAAGTTTTTCTCAATAAACTACTGGTTAAAGAAAGAATAGTATTATAGCAAAAAAAAAAAAGAAAAAAAAGAAATTCTTGAATGGAGAAGGCCAAGTTGTAAATTAAAGACAGGATTAGTGTATGCTAACTGTAATGAATGTACCTAACATACTAATATATGTATAGCCTTTTGTGGGTTAAAAATCACTTTCTCATGAATTTATAATCTCAGTCAATCCCCATAAGATCTCTGTGGGCTAGCACAACCCTCTTGTTTATTGAGTTTATCAATTTTAAGTAACAATTGGCTTCAAAACTCTTCTCCCAAACTCCATTTATCCTGTCCAAATTGCTAGGCACTTAGGATTCCTTCCTAAAGAAATGTGATTTGTCTTTTCTCATGTTGGCATGAAGTAAAAAATAAATTGATTTTATCATTTCTGCACCCTTGCTCTCCTTTGAAGGGTACTTACCTAATGAGTGGCTCTCTCAGAAAGGATCTTAGATCAAAGAGGCCAACAGGATAATGCCCTCGAATAAGCTGCTGTCTTACCTCACTGTAAATGTCCTAAAATAATCCAGTGTATACAAAGACTTGTGAGGCTATCTGGAGAAGACGTCTAAAACCCAACAATACCCAGTAAATTAAGATGAATTGCACCATATCGTCAGATGAGTTAAAAACAAAGGGGCCTGCTGAAAATGTTTGTATAAGCATAGGAAATCACCACAGAAAGTCTAAAATAAACATTTCAAAATATGTGACTATTAAGCAGGTATCAAAACCCTTATTCAACTTAGCATTTTATACTAAATGAAAAATATCAATTAGGATGCCTGTCTACCTATTAAACTACTATAGTAGTTTAAATCGTCAAAGCAAATGCACACAGATTTTTAAGTACTGTATCTCATGGCCCTCAATTTCTTTTAGCCACAGATTTCAACTCCACCTGCCATAAATTAAATAACTGGGCTTTTGTTACTGGAATGTAAGCTTATTAGCTGGCATTAATAAAATCAAACATAAAATGATGTTCTTAATATGCTTTTAATAAAATTCCTTTAAAATAGGAGTAAATGTAACAAAATTGAACAATTATGAAATGTTTTAGCAAGAAGTTTTGGATATATTTTAAGTACAAGAATAATCTTATACACAAGGAAAGGTGAATATTATGTACTATGAAAATATATGGTTGGTAACTGTTAGTTTCTTCCAGCAGAGGAATAATAACTGGCAGTTAGAATATCAACCAATAAAGACCAGACTGAAGAAGGGTATTGCTGTGGTTTGAATATTTGTCCCCTCCAAAACTCCTATTGAAATTTGATCCCAGGTGGGGCCTAATGGGAAAACGGTGTTTGGGTTGTGGGGTGAATCCCTTGAATAGATTAATGCCCTCTCCCTTGGGGGTGAGTGAGTTCTCACTCTGCTAGTTTCCCTGAAAGAGCTGATTGTTAAAAAGAGCATGGCTCTTTCCCTCATCTCCACCTTGCTTCCTCTCTCCCCATGTGATCTCTGCACATACAGCTTTCCTTTCCCTTCTGCCGTAAGTGGAAGCAGCCTGAGGCCCTCACCAGAAGCAGATGCTGGCACCAAGCTCCTTGTACAGCCTGCAGAACCATGAGCCAAATGAACCATTTTTCTTTATAAATTACCTAGCTTCAGTATTCCTTTATAGCAACACTAAATGGACTAAGCCAGGAATGTTGAGGGAAATAATCATACACATGTATACAATTGGACTTCTGTATACATAGGTTCCACATTTGTGGATTCAATCAACCACGGATCAGAAATATTTTTGGAAAAAATGCATTTGCACTGAACATGTACAGACTTTTTTTCTTGCTATTATTTCCTAAACAATACAAATGTAACAACTATTTTCATAGCATCTACATTGTATTAGGTATAAGAAGGCAGGAGATGATTTAAAGCATACAGGAGGATGTGCGTGGGTTATATGCAAATACTATGCCATTTTATATCAGGGACTTCAGCATCTGTGGATTTTGGTATCTAAAGGAGGCCCTAGAACCAATCACCCACAGATACCAAGGGATGACTATAGAATCAAGGCTCTCCTTTTGAATCAAGTTGGCCTCAGTTCCTAAAAGTGTTCCCACATTACAGGAAAATACACCACACTTTCCATGTCCCTCCATGCCCCAAATAAACAAGAGGGTCCTTACCTTTGGAAATGACTTTCTAAGTGGGATTCCAAACCTCTTTGGTTACATAAGAAACTACTTTATCTATTTATCTATTCATTTATTTGCTTATTTGTTTATTCATTTCCTTCACTCATTTTACTAAAATGCAAGCTCAACAAGGTCAAGTTTGTTCATCTAAAAGAGTACCTAGCACATAGTAGATCATCAGTGAATATTTATACATTTTTTAACTAATTCATCCTTTCATTTTTCAAATACTTTTTGAGTGCCTACCATGTGACAGATTCACAATATCCAATATTAAAAGAAAATTCCACTGTAAATAAAATCACATCGTGAGAAATCTTTACATTGGAAGAATCAGGCAATATTTACTCACTCTAAATCCAGTTGGCATTTAAAATAAGAGAAGCCAAAGAAGAATGGTAGGAGAAAATGTAGGTCAGTGTGGCACATGTCCCAAAATGATATAACACAAAACAGAACTTTGGGTAAAAATTAAACAGCCTAAGAGTGGATGTAAGTATAAAAGGATAGTACCAGAGGTCATTGTGATGATTAAACAGTTCTGCATCTTGACTGTGGTGGTGGTGACACAAATCAGCACATGTAATAAAAGTGGATATAATTAAACATACACACACACACACACACACACACACACACAAGTGCATGTAAAACTGGATAAATTGGAATAATGTTAAGGCCGGGTGCAGTGGCTCACACCTGTAAGCCCAGCACTTTGGGAGGCTGAGGCGGGTGGATCACGAGGTCAGGAGATCGAGACCATCCTGGCTAACAAGGTGAAACCCTGTCTCTACTAAAAATACAAAAATTAGCTGGGTGTGGTGGTGGGTGCCTGTAGTCCCAGCAGCTCGGGAGGTGGAGGCAGGAGAATGGTGTGAACCCAGGAGGCAGAGCTTGCAGTGAGCCAAGATTGCACCACTGCACTCCAGCCTGGGCAACAGAGTGAGGCTCCGTCTCAAAACAACAACAACAACAACAACAACAACAACAACAACAACACCACAAAACTGGAGAAATTGGAATAATGTTAATAGATATGTAAAACTGGAGAAATTTGAAGAAGGCTGGTAGATTGTACCAATATCAATTTCCTCATGTGATGTTGTACTTTAGTTATGAAAGATGTTACCAATTAGGGAAATGGTTGAAGGATATGAGAACCCTCTTTATAATATTTCTTGCAGCAGCCTGACAATCCACAGGTATTTACAAATATGTTAATAAAATAAAATTAAACAGCAGAATGCTTATCAGAACACTGGAACTGACACAGATGCCCAATAATGATGTAAACCTATATGACAGTATATTGAGTAATTAAAAATAATGCAATCCTATGTTTGCAACATAGAAGGTTGTTCACGTTCACAGAAGAAGAGGCACTTGCAAAATAGGCAAGTACAGTCCAATTTTCTTTACAAAATAAGGAGCATTTGCAAAGATATACACCAAAATGCCATCAGTGTCTCTCTCTCCATGTTAGGATCATGAATAATTTTTTTCATATTGTTTCTTTATACTGCCTCTTTTTTTTCCCTTAAAATGAACAATATCACCTAACAAACATCTAAACAAATATCTATCTTTGGATGGGGTTCAGGTAAATTCTGTATAGCTCTGGAACAAAAACCAAGACAAATGGAAAGACATTTCAGTTCAATATAATGACAAATGAGCTACCTGTAAGAGCCATGGAACATGAACCACCACCTTATGAGCCCATGGCCTGCCATGGGAATGGTATTCACCAGGGCCTGGTGAATTCCTTATGAGTAATCCTGTGAATGGGAGACAGGCTTCTGCAGGCTGAGAGGTTGGACCCAGTTGCTTTCCAATTCTAAAACTCTGTGCCATTTGGTTTGCAAGGAATTTAACAGATACCACCTCTCCTTTCAAAAGCCCCCTTTAGGTTTCAAAGCACTTTCACATGTGCTGGTTTATATTAATTTTAGTTTGCTGCTTAAAAAAAAAAATCTTATCCCTACAAGAGTTCTGTAGAGTAAGCAGGGCAGGTATTATCACCTCCATTTTACTGAAGAGAAAACTGAGGCAACCAGAGAGTGATGTTTAATGTTATGGGGTGAGACAGAAATTAGTTATGAAATCACAGTTTCTTTCTCTTGACTCACGGCCTCACCCCTCTTCCCTCTAACATCACACAGCCTCTCCCTTCCCACCAGGGTTTGGAAACTGGGTAGACCTGACCTAAAGATGCCTGTCTAAAGATAATGGGTGCTGGTTGAATGAAAAACCAACAATGCTTGGCACAGATGATATCAACTCACCAACAATGATAATACCCATCTGACTGTTCCCACGAACTTATGTGGACTCAATCAAAGTCAAGTAACCAGTGTGTCAATTCAGCTTAAACACTGTGACTGAACAAACCAGTGGCAAACTTGAACAGCCCAAGAGGCTGGTGCCTCTAGTTGAGGATCTCAGTCAATATACTTGCCCTGTACCTAAGTCCTCCCATAGTCCCAGGGCAGAAGCCCACAGGTTGGGCTTCTAGGCCAGTTAAATAGTGAATAGGGCCCATATCAGGCTTAATGAAGCAGGGCTTTGTTACTTTCACCAAAGGAATTAACACAGGAATTTTGTATTTATTTTGCAGTGGCAGCAGATTAAGCACTTCAGCAATAATGTGGCAATTCACCAAAAGAGGTCTTAGTTAGGTGCTATCTGAAACCATGAAGTTAAGTGGGAAAACATACACATGGAAAAAGTTTATATGTTTTAGAAAAATAAATCCAAATTTTAGATAAATGATACTCTTCACAAAGTATGCTAAACAGAGGACATATTTTCATTGGCTGATAGTGCCATTTGCATACATATATCATTTTCTGTGTGCCAAACTCTCTGCTGAGAACCCCTCCTCACAACCACCCCCATTCAAGTCATTACAGGAGGAAACTGGAAGGTTAGTGAGGTTAAGGGCATTTCTCCCAAGTCACAGCCACCAGGTGGAAGCAACAGGATTCCACCCTGGGTCTGATGACTCACAAACCAGCATATTTCACCATTACTTGTTCTCTCAAAATGTTGAAAGTATACGCTCCTTTTATAAACAGGAAGTAATTAAAATTTCTTTATAATAGCATAATAAATCACTTCAGGAGATGGAGAGTTAACTTGAGAACAGCTGGAAAACAAGGAGAAAAACTAGGCTGGACTTGACACATAACACACAGGGAGGAAGACGAGAGACAGGTGAACAGGAAAGAATACAGGCTGATTGAATCAATGGACCCATATTGCTAATGCACTAATACTAGTATTGGCTATTGTTGATAAATTATTTTTATTCTATACTACATTTATTATGGAAAGTAAAATGCAAAAAACATCATATGATAAATTTTTCAAGGGTAAAACAAACTTATAAGTTGAATTTCAGTATTTTTAATCTCCATTCAAAAATCAAATCCAAAATGAAGGTGGAAGCATATGCAATTCCAAAATCTTTCTCTATTCTTATATAAATCATAACATTCCATATTGTTTTCTAGGAAATGAATTTTATTGGTCAATATCAGCAAGATGGAAACTTTCTCAAATAAACCATTTTATGAACTTTGTATATAGACATTATAAAAATACATAACTTTAGATTCTAACATGAATACATTCATAAATGGACTTTCCACTTTGAATATTGCTGTTTCTTCAATTATTTAATACTACACTATATTTTTGGTGTTTCTCAGCTAAGTGTTTACACATATATTGACATTTATAATTTTTCTGGGTGTCATTTAAATTCATACACATATTCCACAACTAATTACATAAGTTAATCTTTTAAACAACAGTAAATATTGGCAAACATCAAGATTTTATATATGCTGTGCTTATAAACATGTATCCTTTTAACAGTGTTAATAAATTATTGATGAAGGTGATAATATCGCAGATACTTAAAATACTTTTCTTCTTAGCTACATAAAATTCAGTCTCCAGTATTCAATCTAGTCACTCACTCAACAAACCATTGAGCACCTATCACATTCAAGACACTGTTGTGGGCAACAAACAATCATTGAGCACCTCCCATGTGCCCAGCACTGCTCTTGTCTGCATAATGACTACAGTGACTCAAACAGACAAAAGTTCTAGTCTTAATGAGTTCACATAAACTCCTGGAGAAAATTAGATAGCAGAAACGGAGGTTGAGGTAGAAAACTGGTTTTGTCATGGCCAGATGGCCTTAAGCAAATTATGAATCTCTCTGAGTCTCAGCTCCCTCACCTCTGAACTGAGTATAATAATACCTGGTTTTATTATATTATCTTTTATTAGAAAAAATGCTAGTTTATATGTGAAAAAAACCCTATTTATTCTTTGGTCTTGGAGAAACTGAGGTAGTTGATGAGGAATAAATGTTTTGTCCTCATTATTAAATCCTTCAAAATATTTCATTCCAATATTTTCCATGATCTAAGCTTTCTGAGTTTAATGCTAACCATGTGTAAGGCTTGCTGGGTCACGATAAGGTCACTTCCATACCTAGCCACCAATTTCAAAGTCTGTGTTATAGGCTTAAGATGCCGTAATTATGTATGTTTCCCCTTACTGTGGAGGGAAGTTAGATTTAAATTATAATTTAGTGATGATTTCATTTAAAAACATAGAGACGCTCCTTCTTGACTAGTTCTTCACAAACAGACCTATTGCAATTGATATTTATTAAAATTTCTCAGTAATTTTCTTTCCTATGTTATTCCATGATGATGCTCTTTCATTGTGAGAATGAAACAAGAGTGAGGTGTAGGTGGGTGTGTCACAGGACCACAGGAACAACCATTTCCCAGCACTCAGCCCCATGTCATTGATTAAATCAAAGGAAGCAATTGGTTCCAATCCAATCTCCCTGATTTAGCTTCCCAAGCCCCCACCTAGGTGGGGTGTGGCGGGGTGTGGGATTTCTAACCTATTTTTATAAGCCCAGCAAATCAAAGTTTCACTTTCTGAACAAAGAGGTGCCAACCTTGAGACTCTGTGAGAGTCAACACAAACCAGGCATTGTGCACAAGTGAGAAGAATATAATTAGCAAAGTTACAGTCACAATTAGGAAATAACTCCTCAGAAAAGTTTCCACTTAACTCTGAGCAGCGCTCAAATTACCATTGTGCTTAACGGGGCCTCCATCTCTTGGCTGGCTCAGACCTTTCCAACAGATCTATGAATCCCAGCACCATCCACACAACACAGACACCCAAAATCTAGTGCTGGATCTATATTTTTTTCAATAACAGATGTGAGAAATGTGCAAATTGAGACACCAAAGTTACAATTAAAAAATAAGAAACATACTTTCAGAAATGACCAGGCAAGTGTGAGCTAAATTATTCTTTTTCTGAGCTCTTTCTTCATCTTCTCTAGCCCTTCCCCTTTCCCACTCTCAAGAGAGGCTAGAAGAGAGAGGCTACCAAAGCAGCAATGGGTACTCACTTCATCTCCAGGATCTCCTCCAGCTGTTTCCTCCTCTCAATCCGGAGGTTGGCCAAGTGCGCTTCTTTTTCGGCCAGGGACTGTTGTGTGGAGGCGAGGCGTGCTTTGGTGGCATCCAGTTCCTGTCTGGTCTTCTCCAGTGCATTCATCAGTTCCTCTATCTGAAAGGCACATGGAGCTCTGTGTGTTATTTCTCCTTCATTCAAGCACAAGACATCCCTTGTTAGCCTGTGTTCCAACAACAAACACAAAGGAATCACAGGGATCCTTGAACTGGGCCGCTGTGTCTTGGAGCCCTTTCTTTCTTTGTCATTGAAACTATGAAAATGCAAATGCCTAAGAATGATATAATGGACTCTGGGGAGTTGTGGGGAAAGGCTGGGAGGGGGTTGAGGGATAAAAGACTACACATTGGGTTGAGTGTATACTACTCGGGTGATGGTTGCACCAAAATCTCACAAATCACCACTAAAGAGCTTACTCATGTAACCAAATATCACCTGTTCCCCCAAAACCTATGGAAAGAAAAAATTAAAACAAAACAGAACAAAAACCCTTAAAAAATGTTTCAAACACAAGAAATGTCCAAATTTCTCCAAGGTCCTTGTTCAATTGGATTGCCCAATAACCTTTATAAAACTACTTAATGTGTTCACTAGAATTGGGGGTGAGTGGCTTGACCCAATTTCAACCTCTGTTTGGCAAAAGTCTCAGATACTTTCTCACCATTGAAGGAAGGCAACACTCAAATGCATTTTGCCCAGCACAATATACTTTTGTGTGTAGGCCCCAGAGTACTTTGAAAGAAAGTTAATCTATGTGTTTCAGATTCAGTCACGTTTTAACCTATCAAAGCCGTGTTTGGTAAAAGCTATTCAATGTCCAGGGAGCCTCAGGAGTCCCTCTCACCTCACCTCCCAGCTTTACATTCAGGAAGCAAGGTTTGGCCAAAGGTAAACAGAATTCCAGCCACAAAAGGTTCAAGTTTGGTTTGCCCCTGAAGTTTGAGAGGGTTCTAAACTTGAAATAAATGACATGTAACTTTTATAGGGTGCTAATACACCATAGAAATAAGCCAGACTATCAAATATCCACGGTTTTCAGCCAGGTCCCAAAAAATGAGACCCAGGAGCCCTGAGGCAAAGCCTTATCCTCCCCAAAGCTTTGGGGACTCTTAAAAGCCAACACACAACAAAGAAGGCTGGTGTTTATGGTTCCGTTCCAAAGACTTCCGTGGAGCAAGCTGGTGAAATGCCATCCCTTGCACAGATGCAGGCTGTGTCCTCCCTGCTGATCCAAAATCATGATTCCAGGAAGTTTCTAGATTCCAGAGCTGATGTTTGGCTTTCTAAAATACCCCTTCCAGCTGAACTTGGCAGAATAGGCTCATCCATCACTAAAGTCAACAGAACGCCCTTCAAAATGTGTCAATGACATGTTAAGTTCCAATTCATAAAGACTTTCTACACAATTTCTTCAGTTTTACATGAAATTTATTCAGAATAAGCATTATAGTTCACATCCAAGGTAAATTATATGCTTTTAAGATTCAGAAAACCCTTCATTTTGCCCTGATAAAAAGAGGAAACTGAATGATCATGTAGTTTAAATCAAAGCCAAAACCAAAAAGAGTTTAAAAAGCAAGGAATATAAAGAATAACCTATGAAAGTGACAAAACCACCCCTATGTAACTGTAGAGTAAATTGAATTATTCTTTAACTTTACAAATCTATGCAGTTTAAAAAGTATTAATAAACTTTTCAGTTTCTCATATAAGTTCACAGAACATCACAAATATGACTAGAAGCCCAAAGCAATATGTGACGAAGTTAAAGCGGAGTTTTGAGTTTTCCTCCCTTTTTCTATTTTTGATAGAAAATAGCAGTGACCCCCAAAAAATCAGAATTATGATCATTCCATATGCCAATTCAGATAGTCTGCCTGACCCTCCATATGAGATGGTCTGTGTCCTCATGATTCCTTTTCTGTCATAAATCGTTCTTTATTTCAAACATAATATTGATTTCAGAGGAGTGGGAGGTCTCCATTATTCTCATTTGTTCAATCTCTCTCTCATTCATCGAAGCTGATCTATCTGCAATCTATAGACACAGAGCTACTCAGCTGGGTTTCCAAATCTTAGATCACCTGCCACTGGACCGCTTAGGGCAAACACTAGCTAGTTCTACATTAACCCAACTTTAAATGACACTTTAGAGTAATGATTTCAGGCTGCTCCAGCCATTTCAGCAAGAAGCACATGGAGAAACTGGGCACCTGGGAGACACAATACAGAGTTGTAACTGATGGAGAAGCCACTGGCCTCCAACATCAGTAACTGCTAGTATCAGATGAGACGAAACTGCTCCTCTCAACATCTTGGAGACAGAGTTTTAAAATAAGTTCCCAGGCCAAGCTCCTCACTCTTCCTAATTTGTGTGGCCCTGGACCGAGGACCATGTGGGGCACTGGCCTCAGAACACATCCTTCTAGTTTTAGCATGACCACTGCTTCTCTCTGTAACTTTTTGCAAACAATCACTATACCCTCGGAATCTCAGTTTCCTAGATGATGGCCATGGGTTCTTCCTGTGTTTAACATTCTAGAGAACTGAAAACTGTTTCCTTTGCTGCCAAAACAAGGGCCTTAGAAAGCAAAAAATATCTCCCCTGCTGGGGTGATCATTAGGGTGGTTTCACAATATTCTAGTTCTCTTCCTTACAGGCACATGGTAGGACCCCACATCCCCTCACCCTTTGAATTGGGTGTGGCTTTGGCCAATTAAAACCACTGTCATTTCCAGGTAGAAACATTTAAGTGGTAGCATTCAACTCCAGTGTTACCCTTTCCCTGCCCTGGTGACCGTGGAAGCAAGTTTCAGATGACATCATCTTCAGCCTGAGTCCCTGAGTGACCACAATGAAGCCCAGGGCAAACCCACATCACATAGGCAAAATATAAACCTTTGTTGTGCTTTGCCTCTGAGATTGGGGGTGGTAACTCCCAGCATAACCTGGCCTATCTTCACTGGTGAACTGTCTGGTTCTATTTTTTTTTTTTTTTTTTTTTTTTTTTTGAGCTGGAGTCTCGCTCTGTCACCAGGCTAAAGTGCAGTGGCGTGATCTTGGCTCACTGCAATCTCTGCCTCCCGGGTTCAAGTGATTCTCCTGCCTCAGCCTCCTGAGTAGCTGGGATTATAGATGCATGCCACCACGCCCAGCTAATTTTTGTATTTTTAGTAGAGACGGGGTTTCACCATGTTGGCCAGGATGGTCTGAGTCTCCTGACCTCATGATCCACCCGCCTTGGCCTCCCAAAGTGCTGGGATTACAGGCATGAGCCAACTGTCTGATTCTTATCAAGTGCTCTATGCTTGCCTCCATCTCCCCATCACAGTCATCTCTCAACCAGAGGAAAGTGCTTGTTATTCTTGCGGTCCCATGGTATTTCTACTCTTGCAGACCACAAGTAACTCCCTTCTTGCCAAATGTCTTTTCTTAATGTGTGGTTTGCACAGCTAAACATGCCCCCAAGTCTCTGTCCCTTCTTTGAAATAACATTTTAACTGATTGACTGTACATATGTAGTTTGTGTCTTCATCACCAGATTGGAACCATGGCATTATTACGGTGTGAGTGAGATGAGCTCCTTCATCTTTCTCAGCTTCCATTTCCTCATCCATATTTACCTCAACAGGTAAATAGGGAACCCTATTGCTTGCTTATCAGATGATTATGGGCACATTAAGTGAGATGATGTAGCCCATAAGGCATTTATTCTTCTTCTTCTGATATCAAGAAATTAATTTTTTTCTGATAATAAGAATAAAGTGTGGCCAGGGACAGTGGCTCACACCTATAATCCCAACACTTTGGGAGGCCAGGGCCAGTGGATCATTTGATCACAAATGGTGACCCCAGGAGTTTGAGACCAGGCTGGGCAACATGGCAAAACTGCATCCCTACAAAAAGTAGAAAAGAAATGTAGCCAGGCGTGGTGACACGCACCTAGAGTCCCAGCTACCCTGGGGGGCTGAGGCAAGGAGATCACCTGAGCCTGGGAAGCCAAAACTGTAATGAGCTGTGATTATGCCACTGCACTCCAGGCTGGGTGACAGAGTGAGACCCTGTCTCAAAGAAAAGAAAAAGAATAAAGTATATTCATTGTAAAAAATATGAAAAATCCAGGTATGAAAATGTTTTAGCTTTCTTCTGAAGATTAAATACTAACATCATTTTTAGTTAAGATCCTCCCAAGTCCCACCACCTAGAAGTAAACATTATAAACATTGTTATAATTTCTCTCTATATTTATGCACATATAATTGAGATGCTACATATAAATATATACATAATTGTGTATATAATTGATATATGATGAGAATTTTCTTTTGTAATTAAATTGTCTTTTGGAAATACAGTTTTAATATATGAGCAGTGCTCTATCCACTCCTCATCTTCCTAAAACTGATGCTTCTCTTAGTGTTATGGTCTCAATGTTTACGTACCCCCACAATTCATATGTTGAAATCTTAACCCCCAAGATGATGGCATTAAGGGGTGAGACCTTTGGGAAATGATTAGGTCATGGGCGCAGAGGCCTCCTATATGGGATTAGTGACCTTATGAAAGAAGCCCAATGGAGTCTGTATGTCCCCTTTCACCATGTAGGGACACGGCAAGACGTCAGCAGTTTGCAACCCAGGAGAGGGCCCTCACCAGAATCTGACCATGCTGGCACCTTGGTCTTAGACTTCCCAGCCTCCAGAATGTGAGAAATACATTTCTGTTATGTATAAGCCACCTACTGTATGGTATTTTGTTAGAGCAGCCCAAATGGACTACGACACTTAGGAACTTATTCCCCTGTTTATTTTGCAAATTACTCATCTTCCTGCAGCCCATAACTGGGTCTTTCTCCTTGTGACTCCATCCTAGAGGCATTTCCACCATCCACATAGAAATACAGGGGATGCATTGAGGTCTGTCTCTACAGTTCTCACCTCTATGTAGATGTCTCTCCAAACTTTATCTCCTTTTTCCTCACTTGACCTCTTTCACATGTACCTAACCACCTGTTGATCACTTCCATCTGGATGTCCTAATATTACTTTAAATTGAGGATGACCAAAAGCCAACTCTTGACCCGTGTACACCTGCCTAAACCAAACTCCTATCACCTGTCCTCACCCTCCCAACTTGCCACTCCCTAACACATCCACCATTTTGGTCCAAGGCCCTGACCTTTTCTCAGTCATTCCTGTTTAAGACCTCAGAGCCACATTGATCTTCTCTTTCCTCTTTTATTTTCCATTCATCACCAACTCCTAGAGCTCTATTTTGGAAATATTTCTTGGATCCATCATTCCCTTCTATCATTACTTTTGACACCCCTCCCACATGTATAATAAGGTAGAACATAATTATGCATGCATACACATATGTATGTATATGTGGGCTTTCACATGTGTGTGCATATGCTCATGTGTGTATCCCTAGCCTCTGACTCTACTCTTACCCCTAAGTGAGGACATGGTTTTGCCTGATCATCTGTAACAATAGTACTTATAGTATTATATGAAGCAATGATTGCAGAGCTCTTAGTGCTGAGCCTGGCAAATATGAAAACACTTAGTATATTCTTAACACAAGAGGCGGAGCAGCGTAGTGGCTTAGAAACATAATTCAGGAGCTAGACTGCCACTTACTAGATGTATAAATTCACTCTAAGTGAATTATAACTTTTTTCCCAGGTGGAAAAATTGATTTCATGTAAGAAAAATAAAATAGTATTTACATTTAATAAATAATATTCAATAAGCACTATTACAAAGTTATAGAAATAAACTGGACTGTTTACCTTCATGAAAGAACCTAGACAAAATTTTCTAGGTTTCTCAACTTAAACTTGGAGGCAAAATTTGCTTTAAACATGTATTAAGCATTACCATTGCTATGCAAAAATTAGGTTATGGTAATTTTTACTCAAATTATATTAAAATGCCCAGAAGAAGGATTATTTGGGGACAATATAATAATAGAATTGACTTTTTTAAAAAATGTTAGCTTTAGGGGCTACATATGCATGTTTGTTACATAGGTACGTTGCATGTGGGAATTGGGCTTCTACGTGTACCCATCACCCAAATATTGAACATTATACCCAACAGGTACTTCTTCAAACTTCATCCCCCTTCTTCCCTCCCTACTTTATAAAAAAAGAAGGAAATCATGTCCTTTGCAGCAACATGGATGGAGCTGGAGGCCATTATCCTACACGAACTAACTCAGAAGGAGAAAATCAAGTATCACATGTTCTCACATGTACGTGGCAGCTGAACAATGAATTACAAAATTCTGAGCTTCAAGTACCTCTTGTGAAGTGGAGCTAATGACATAACTTAGCTCAAAGGGTTTTTATGATGATTAAATGGGTTCACATGGGCAATGCTCTCAGCACAATGCCTAGTACTCAGTAGTGCCACAGAAGTATCAACTCTTTCTAATACAGTGCCTAGTAATTATTCAGCCTATCTATGTCTGCATATTGCTCCATTCACCAATGCTCAACCACACATACACATGCACATATACCCCTGGACTGCCCTACATTCACTCCTCTGCTTATCAAAACTGCCCATTCTTTAAGGCCCTGTCTACACCTGACCTCCTTCACAGCTTGCAGCGATCAAAAGCTGGAGCTCTAGAAGCAGTCAGATATGAGTCAAGTTTGGGTTCCACCTACAAGATCTTTGACCTTAGGCCAATCTTAACCCAATGTTTCCCAAACTTGGTTTAAGATTGGTTAGGTTACTGCATGTTAGAATCCCTTGGGAAGCTTTTAAAAATGTTGATGCCGTGGTCACACTGCTCCTAATTAAATCAAAATATTTGAGGGCGGGAGCCAGGCATCTGTATTTTATTAAAGATCCAGGTGATTCCAAAATGCAGCCAAGTCTTGGAACCCTAGACGTTACTGACCTCTCTAAGCCTACAGATCCTCCCCTTTAAAGTGGAGAGGAAGCAGAAGCAGCCACACAGAATTGACATAAGCGTAAAGTGAAATAATGCATGGAAAGTACCCTGCCTAATACCCTGGAAGGCACCAGCACATGCCCATTCCTAGCCTCACTACTTTCACCCAACCCAACTGCCTTCAGTTTTCATTGCCTGCACCCATTCTGCACAATATGTATGCTTAGTTGCTATAATACAACTGGACTGTAATCCCTGGAGGGCAGAGACTGTGTCTCCATCTTCTTTGCAAGCCCCTTCAGTACCTGACATAGCACCAGTATCCACACTCAATAAATACCTATGCAATGGGAGGAAGGGGAGCACAAAGACGTGATTCTGAAACACCCTCCTTTGACCCACTTAGTGCAATGATGGATGAAGTGTAAGTCCAAACTTGATACTTTCCTACCCCATAAATCAGTGGTCCCTTCGCCATCCTCAACAAATACCCTTCAAGTTCTTGCTCTCTGTTTGCTTCAAGCACCTTCTCTTTGCTATGGGGATGAGGGGGCTCAGTTACTTGGCTCCTGAAAGGATGGAGGCCCTATGTTCGCTGCCACCCCAGCAGCCGCCTGGAGAACCCAGGAACCTGTGAGTTTCACAGAGACACAATAAAGATGTCTCAGGTTCTGCGCTGGTATAGAAGCATGTGGCTTTTGGTCCTGCTATGCATTCCACATGCTCTGTCCTGGGACCTGGGAGATACACACTCCTTTCCTTCATTCCACCACCTCGCTAGGCATCTCCCACATGCCAGGCACTCTGCTGGACACTAGCCACAGGTCTGTCTTCAGAAGGGTTTCCACAGGGAAGTTGGGAATCAACAAATTACTTAATCACAATAGTGATTTTAAAGAAAAGTACTGGGTGGTGCAAAAGAGTAAAACAGCAGCCCATCCTGCACTAGGCACTGTGGCTGGCCTCCCTAAGGCAAGCAAGTGGAGTAGCCTGGGGAAGCGCAGGTGGTGGCCCAGCTGGAAGATGCCCTGTGGTCCCATTCTTTAGAAAAATGCTAGTTGGAGAATCACAGTAATTAAGAGACAATAAAAGCTTTTGACAGTCCAGCAAGAAAGCAACCCATTTGTCTCTATTTAACACAGCATGTGCTTCTTTTAGAAGTACATCTATTAGTAATTCACCAGACAATAATATTTCCTGGGGAAAAAAGTTTTAGAAAAGGTGTTTAATTGCTAAAATGTCATTTTCAGTGAAAACAGGATTCACAGCCACCTCAGAAGTCTCTAGAATATTCCAGATGTTTCACTTAAAATAATTTCCTAAAAGGTCCTCAAATGTGGCAAGACTGGAATTCTGATTTTATATCAAAGATTACATTTTTAAAATACATTGGCTTGGTGTTACATATCTAGAACATAATAATTAAAGGTTTCTTCAAGCTAGATGTTGATTTAGCTTAATCAATTACAAAAAAAGAAAAAACCCTGAATAATTGTGTGCTATTTCTGATTGTATTAGTCATTCTATGTTGCAGATCATATCATTAAAACTCTCTTTTAAAATAGTTGTTACCAGGAAATATTCAACTGTATTTACTGTATCTGAATAATTCATAACTGTTCACTTTCAGAATAATGAAGTCATCACCTGGCTTTCTAAAAAGTCCAGTGTTTACGCATGGCTCTGGAGAAATCGTCGGATCTTTTAAAGTGAACAGTGGAGCCTTAAAACAATAAAATAAAAAACCCGTTTAAGACCTTAAATCATTAACATGTGTCGACTTAAACTTACACATACATTTGTGTTGTTTAACTAAATATTTGAAAACCAGCCTCTCTCTCAGTTATCTGCCAGGACCCCACTCCAGGTTCCATGCATCTCTTCCTGACGCGTGGCAGCTTCCCATGCTTTTCAAGAGGCTTGCTTGGCAAGAGCTGATACTCAAATATTTTGATAAAGCTATTTTTTCCCTTAAATTATATGTCAGCATGGAGTTGGTGTGTATTTTCTGTTAATGATTTGGAATTTTTAAAGCCATATTTCAAAAACAGACAGGCTCTTCTGAGTTAGGCTCCGCCATCCATCCTGGTTTCCTGTCTTCATTCCATCCTGAGTGCAAGAGGATGGCAGTTTTCAGTTTGCACCAGAACACAGAACCAATGAAATCCCCATATCCCAGGTTGCAGCAAATCTGGAATGTGAATTGGTCCTGTGGGAATAGCTGGACTTGGCCCAGCACAACTCTGGACACAGAAGGTCACCCTGAGATCAGAAGGTGAAGATAAACGCTTAAACCCCCCGTCAGCAGCAGCAACTCCTCCGACAGTGATGCTGGAGGCTGAAGGACCTGTTAAAACAAGGACTACTAATCTTATTTTTCCAATTACCCTTATCTGACATTTCTATCTCTTCCTCCTTCCCACCTCCCCACTGCTGCCTTAGAGTGACACCTTTTGGAAAAGGTTGAAACTGAAAATCCCCAGACTGCTTTCAGCCTGGACCTGACCATCCCTAAGACTGTGTTTGTGATTTGTTTTCTCCTCATTGAAGTTTAAGCATCAAGGAGCTTTGCTTACATTGGTTGCCTCTGATCCTTCTCCTGCAAACAAATGCCCACATTAAGAACATTTGTTTGGGCTCCAACTCTTTGATTTTGACAACGTTTCACATTCTCCCTTTCCTCTTCTCTTCTCAGGCCTATTAACAAAACTTCACACCATAATAAAAGAAGGATAGAGAGGAAATGTGCAAAAATACATACATCTGACTTAACAGAGTCTGTTAAATGAGAAAGTGTCAGAGTACAAATGAATGACACTTTCTCCAAAATGCCCTTGAGCACTCTTCATTCCAGATGGGATTGGGCTCAGTGGAAGTTCCTCAAGAAAAAGGCTGTGGGGGTGTGCTTCTGGGTATGTGGTGTAGGGGTATATCTCGAGCAGCTGGGAGGCTTTATTACACGTGTGTCACAGTTCTGCAGTGTGGCAAAGAGATGGCCTTCTCTCTAACAGCCTGGGACATTCTTGAGAAGCAGTATAGGGATAGTAAAGGATGTGGACTCTGAAGTCAGAAAGCCTAGGTCCCCATCAGGCCCCAGCTACATGCTGACGGTGTGATTTTAGGAAAGGAGCTTGACCTCTATGTACGTCAGCTTCCTCTTCTACAAAATGTAAATAATAACTGCACCTTCCGGAGACCTTGTGAGGAATACGGGCAGTACAACAGCAACATGCTTGGCACACAGTAAGCATGCAACCACCCGAGATTGTCATCAACAGTGGTATTAGCTTAAACACTAGTACTTCATTTTCAGCCTATAAGAGGATGCATAAGCAAGACAAAGGGTTGGATTTCCATTTTTTTTTTACATTTTCCAAAAGATGCATCACATTTTTCATCTTCAGTGGAAAGGTGAAAATTTTCACCAAGAAACCCGCTTTGTAACAAACCAAATTAATCATACACAAAATATGCATTGTTCATATTTTAATCTTACTTAGGCTAAATTCCAAACATAAAGATGAAGGAACTGGAGAAGAAAATAGAGAAGCATCGCACAGTAGATCTTCCTGCAATGCTGGCAACGTTGTAACTTTTTCTGCCCAATATGTATGCCACTAACTACATGCGGCACTTCCAATGTGTCTGGTGCAAACCAGGAAATGAATTCTTAACTTAATTTAACATTAATTAAAATTTAAATGTAAATAGTCACAGGTCTATTGGCTACTGCATTAGAAAGAACAATATGAGAACATACCATTTTCACAACTTTGTTGTCCAATGGTGATGTTCAGAAATTATTTCGGTCTTTGTGGAACATTTACCTTTTTTGGTCACGGGAAACAAACATTTCAATTCTTTTAAATTCAGTATAACTAATGAATTACTATTTGATCTGATGATTCTACTTTCTGGATTTATTCTAAGGATATATAATAAGGGATTTTCCCAGACGAATTTACTCTAAGGATATAATAAGCATATTCATCACAATGTTATTTATAAAAATCAGAATAAAAGTTTGTATGTGTATGGATATATTTACATACATATACACAATACATACATACACAAACATATATGTATACAATCTTCAAAAAAATTAGTTACAAAAATTATGGAATACGTGTGTGAGTGTGTGTGTGTGAGAGAGAGAGTGTGTGTGTGATTTAAAAGTGTTACAAAGAAATTAAATAATAAATTATGGGCACCCAATTGTTGAGATGTTCGTCAGATATTAAACACTAAGCAAAAAGATTTAACGTAAAGGAAAGATGCTCATGAAATCTTAAGTGAGGAAAGCAGGTGGTAAATGGTAGATACAATACAATCTCAACTATGTGTTGGGATTTTTTTGCATATTCGTAGGAGAAAAGACTAGAGGGAAATGTATCAAAATATTCATGATGGGTTTGTTTCTAGGTTTAGGGATTTCACATACTCTATTATATATTTCTTTGTACTTATTGATAAAAATATGTATTACAAATGTTTACAAAAAGAGTAATTAAACCAATTTCAACTAAGAAAGATCTGCCTAGGAAATATTTCTGATCCCATGGAAAAAGCAGTTGCAGGTAAACATAGCCTCTAAAGGACAGGTATGAAGCAGTCCTCCAGAAAAAGATGGGGCCCTCTGGCGGCAGTTACAATGGCAGCTAACTTTAGCCAAAATGACCTTAAGATGGGCTACTCTTTAAGGCAGGGGTACTTTGGTTCTGAGAGTCCCTTAGATTATACTGGTTATAATCCGGTGGGGAGAGCCCAATTGTTGGTGACTCTAGAGCTGTCAACAGTAATTCCTGCCGCCTCCACCCTGCCCCACAATGCACTTTACTCATTTCACTTTGTTCTCTAATAAAGTTCCTATGGGTTTTGGAAGTCCAATATGTTCATTTTCTTTCTTATTTTGTTTGGTGCTTTGTTTAGTATTGTCCGATTTTGTTATTATAATTTTGTTTCTTCAGCACTCAAAATAAGCTGTGAGGCCCTAGAAAATCAAAACCATTTGTCCAGGCTACTTGGCCACCTCCATTAGCAGAGTCTGTTCATTCCCATTCAACAAATCAGGGTGGTGTTCTCAAACAAACCCACTTTCTTATAATGCAAGGATCAGTGCTGGGACAATTCCAAGGAAGGAGAAGAAAATGGGTTTCCTTTACTTTGAGTTCCCCTACTGACTTGGCTCTGGAAGAGACACCTATTGATGATGACAAATTTCTATCAGCTCAAATCAAGCCTGACTCCAAGCCTGATACCTCAGGATCCTTGCATCACAAGATCTACCTTGAACAATAGGGAGTGGCTTCCCTATATGTCACCTTGCTCTTTTAAGCACACAGAGTCCAAAGCACCCTTGCATCCTCCACCTGGCACAGCCTCTTCTCAAACACACAGTAGATAGTCAACAGATGTGGGAGGGAGGTTGGAAGGGAGAAAAGAAGAAAAGGAGCCATACTGTAGAAAGGTAATCATTACTGGTGATTTAGATAATATCCTATTTGATTCTCACATATTCCCAAAGAAGCAGACCATTTAAATGATGGATAACTTAAGCTCAGAAAGGGTAAAGGATTTTCAAGTGGTTTACTTTTTACCAGGATGTAAGACTGATTGTTGAATACAAATATAATGGAAGAAGTGTTAGAGGGGACTCTACTGAGAGGCTCTGGGAGGAAACCCAGGACCACAAGACCCTCAAGAGCAAGAAAATCCCTGGCTCATTTTCTATCACATAGTCAGCACCAACAAATGCGTGGATGAACATAAATTAGTGATGGATCTTGGGTCTCTTTTGTTTCACTGGAGTAGAATAGTCATTATCTGTTTTGATCCCAGCACTGTTCCAAAATGCCTTAGTTGATTTTTGTATTCTATTTCAGTTTTCCATTATTGTACAATAAATTATAGTAAACTTGGCTGCTTATAGTTCTACAGGTCAGAAGTCTAGGCAAGGTGTGACTGGGGTCTCCACTTAGAGTCTCATAAGGTTGCTATCAAGATATTGGCAGGCTGCTTTCTCATCTGGAGCAGCTCAGGGTCCTCTTCCAAGCTCATGGAGTTGAAAGATTATTCAATTCCTTGCAGATGTGGGTCTGAGGTCACCTTGTCATGTCCAGCTCATTGAAGCCACCTGTATTCTTTGCCGCACAGTCCCCTCAAATCTTTAAAGCCAGCAAATGGAGAATCTCCCTCACATCAAATCCATCTCATGCTTTAACTCTCCTTCTTCTGTAAAAGCCCAGTCCCATTTAAGGGCTCACCTTAAGGATTAATTAAGTCAGGCCCACCAAAGATAATGTCCCTTTCTTAAAGTCAACTGTGCCAAATAACATGCTTAATCACGTGAGTGACATCCCATCACTTCCACAGTCACTATCCATAAGATCGATGAGGCCATTCCCATACTCTGAAGGAAGAATCCCTCCACAAAATATCATAGCTTTGAAGACTTCAGCAGATAATTTTCATGTTGTAAATGCCATCTAGTCCCAAGGATGACTACACACTAGGTGAAGCAACATTCGAATCAGTGACTTGATACCGACTGAATCAGGATATGAAATTGACTTTCTTAAGAGTCATGTGATAAAAATGTCATAATTGTGTTCCCTTTTTATAAAACAAACCATCACACACAAACACAGACACATGCATTTTAAGTGTCATGTTCAGCAATAGCTACCAGTGCATCTTATGCTAACCCATAGATACCACCAGCAGGTACCGGTTTCCTTATTATTATAATTCAGGTAAGTAAAAAAATCACAGTAAAGCTTCATCATCCTCCAACTAAATATATCCTCCAGACTGCTGGCTTGGTTAGCTCCTCAGTGGGAGGAAAGCAAAAACCAGACATAACGTGCCAGAATGAAGTCTTCCGCTTCAATTTCTCCTTTATTTAAAACATTTTATAGGGGCTTTATGTTGACCCTATTGCTTCAGGAGAAGGAAATCCTCCCAAATGCGTCCCTAGGGCACAGCATCCCCCACAGTGACTTGGCTCCCTCCTCTCGGCGATTACTGCGACATGGAAAAAGTTCTTAATTGGTTAACCTTGGGAAAAATCACTTCATACAGGGAAAACTCAGAACAAAGACGCCCACCCAAACAGTCAGTTCTCCCCACGTACAAAGCGGCTGGTAAGGAGTATGAGAGGCACCACATGAGCAAGGCTGACCGACAGAACTTAGCTGCATTTTAAAGCTAAATAGAGGGTTCCTATGCTTTCCTTCCATCTCCAAATGGAATAAGTATTCACACAATCACAAGAGTAGATCCGCTAAACCTTGCCTCTCTTCCAGTCATCAGCGTGCTGCTCAGCATCCTCTTTGTACCCCAGGGAAGGAGACTGCTTTCTGGCCATCCAGCTGAACTAATGAGAGTGGGGTTTTGACACTGGGCTCCTAGGACCAGTTACTCTGCTTCTCACCTGGCTCCACACCAGAGATTATCCCCTAGCCCCTGCCAGGGGCTGTGATTTATCCCAAGGGAGCCTGGCGGAGAGTGGGCGGATGGCAAAGGTCAAATTCAGCCCACTCCTATAAAAACAACCAAAGTACACATCCTGATGTGCATAATTTTCATGCTTAAAATCAGCAACTTTTGTCTTTCTGGATTATCTTGATTCATGGAAACATTCACTGTTCATCTGGGCAGAAACAAAACATACTCACATCTTAACATGTGACACTTTCACAACTGGGATGAAAAGCTATCTGCCAGATTGTACCATTTATATTCACCTATTAAACTCCAAGCTTCACCAAATACCTGTATCATGCTTTGGAAATAGACATCTATGTTTTCCCCAAAAGACACATTTTCTACGATGTATGTCTTTAAACTATATTTTCAAAATAAATGATTTTCCCTAGTAGCTCTTCTCTGATTAAAAAAAATTCACCATTTTCATTACCAATATGAGATTATAGTCTAGTCTCCTATAAAGTGATTAAACATAACTCTGCATCAAATGTAACTCTGGTATCAAATAGTCTCAAGACAAATAAAAGTGAAAACATTGGATTCCTTGCTTTTTAAATGCCAAATGTTCACTCAAGGATCTGATTGCTTCAGCTGGGACTTTTTCTTTCTTGTACAGCTTCTGAAATATTTAAATTGCTTTGTTTAAAAATATTTCTCCTTATTTTTCCTCTCATTTCTTCAAGAATATATAGCTATAATAAAACCATGATACCCAGAGTTCAAGAGGAAAAACAGCCTCATTATTTAAAATAAGTAATAATTATACATATATCGAAATGAATACCCCATTTTGATGGGTCACATTCAGAAACCTTAAAGGCACCTCTATCTGGGCAATAGTTCCTTTTGGACTAAAAACAATTAGGCTGTGTAATTTTGTGCTGAATCCCTTCAGATAACTGTGTACGCACAGCCAGGCCACTTTCTCACTGGCATGGAGGCCAGGGCTGTCAGGCCCACTCCTCTGGTTAATGTCAGTAGCACTATGTATAAAAGGTGACTCCAGTGTGTACAAATGTTGATCTTTAGAGAAGTCATGCCTAGACTCACACACACATCCACTCTTTTGCCCAGTAGGTCAACAGCAGGAACAGAGGGCAGCCCAGGAAGGGACTTGCCAAGAGCAGAGGCTTATTTGTTAGGTTACATAGCCCTCGGGGACTTTCTTGCCTGAGATTAATCCATAATCCTGTTTCGTGTTTAAAAATTCAGGTTCTAAAAGCCTTGCCTATGAGACATTTTCAGAGGTGATGGAGAAATGTTCTCATGTACAGCAACAAATTAAGTGCCAGTGCAAGTGAGCACTGACAAGAAAGGAACTGTGTGGAATAGGTGGCACAACATTTTTGCCCTCATCCAAAATCATTTCTTTAAAGTTCCAAAATGGATACAGATCATATTTTAATGGCCAGAGTACCATAGGTAAAAATAGAATAAACACACACACACAAGTTGAAACCATCTATGGCTTTTCTGATTGCTGCACAAGTAAAGCAAAATCAAGATGCCCCCTGATCGAAAATACAGCAGAGGTTCTGAAGAAATATAATATTCGCTGATGTGACTTCCAAACTAAATTTCATCTGAATACCAAATAGTAAGAAGAGCCCTCATCTCAGCTTTGAACAATCCTATTTTTATTACATCAAAATTGTTTCTTCCCTTGCCAACCTCATTCTACCCCTTTTTGCTACAAACTTAATGTCCAGAAAGCTTCCTTTTACAACTCTAGCAGACCCAACCAAAAAAAGCAGGAATTCCTAATGCTGCAGAAACCATCATGAACATGTTCTCATCTGGATGAGTCTAATAAAGTATAACTCACTCTACTCTTCAGTGAAGAAAGAAAGCGTCTGGGGGGAAACACATTTCTGAACAAGATGGCCATGTGAACTCCTCAACACCCTAGACCACCGAGGTGTGGACAGAGCCAGCTGGCCTCGTGGCATCTTCTCCTTCAATTTAGACAGAAAGAAAAGCATGACAGTTAATAATCCACATTGCCATTTCAATGTGTGACTCAGCCCGTTTTCACGGTCATTCCTGCTAAGGTTTAACTTACAGTGTTTGGCAACAGAGCTGACCTTTTAAAAGCCAAAGGTGAGCATGGGAAGAGCATTTTCTCCCCAGATGCAACTTCTCTAGTCTAACAAAAGCAGCTCCCGTTTCCAAATATGAACAAAAAAGGAGACAAATCACCAAGCTTGTTGCCTATGTCTTGATGTGTTTCACGTTCTTCTTTTTGAGACAGAGTCTCACTCTGTTGCCCAAGCTGCAGTGCAGTGGCTCAATCTCGGCTCACTGCAACCTCTGCCTCCCGGGTTCAAGCAATTCTCCTGCCTCAGCCTCCTGAGTAGCTAGGACCACAGGCATGCACCATCACGCCCAGCTAATTTTTGTATTTTTAGTAGAGATGGGGTTTCACCATGTTAGTCAGGTTGGTCTCGAACTCCTGACCTCAAGCAATCCACCTGCCTCAGCCTCCCAAAGTGCTGGGATTACAGGCGTGAGCCACCACGCACATTCTTCTTTTTACTTTTTTTGTGGACCTCACAGTTTGGAGTAGTGGTGGTGGTGGTGGTGGTGGTCGTGTGTGTGTGCAGCATCCCTCCCGCCCCCTCCCTCCATAGGCCCTAGCACACGCTCTTCCACTTAACAGTAACTCCGAGGGGAAGTCACCATTTGTATAGGTGGAGGAAGCCAAAACCCTACAACAGAGCAGACTAAGGAATTTTCACACCTATAAGCATTGACTTCCAAAATCAAAATATAATTTTGAAAGAGGCGGTATAGTATCTATTGCCTTGCAAATAAAACCCCAACTCCTTCCTGCAGCTGACAAGGGCCCTGTATTGTCAAGACCCCTACTCAACTACATCCCATGCAACCCTTGCCTTGTAGAATCTGTTCTTTCTTACCATGCCTTGTTTCCAGGCCCCTTCTCCCAAACTCTTCAAATAGCAGGCATCTTCTAAACTGTCAGGTCTTGGCATAAATGTCACCACCTCCCAAAGGCCCTTCTGAGTCCCTTCAGATAAAGGAGCTGCCTGCCTCCCACCTGTCCCTGGTATTCTTCATCTCAGCTCCAAGTTGGATTTCCTCATAGCATGTGTCACAATTTTAAATGACTTTACTTAAGAATTTCCTTCTATGTACCTTCCCATTTCCTTCACAAGGCTTTTTGCTCCATGTCTAACTTACTCCTCCTGTATTTGTAATACCCATCCTGAGGCCTGGCACATGGCTGACACTTAGTAAGTACTCACCTGACTCATAACTAGAATTAGCAAAAACAATACCTGATGTTTATGCCAGTGGTTGTCAAAGTAGTGGCAGGGGGGGCCGGGCGCGGTGGCTCACGAGGTCAGGAGATCGAGACCACCCTGGCTAACACGGTGAAACCCCATCTCTACTAAAAATACAAAAAATTAGCCGGGCATGGTGGCAGGCGCCTGTAGTCCCAGCTACTCGGGCGGCTGAGGCAGGAGAATGGCGTGAACCCGGGAGGCGGAGCTTGCAGTGAGCCGAGATCGCGCCACTGCACTCCAGCCTGGGTGACAGAGCGAGACTCTGTCTCAAAAAAAAAAAAAAAAAAAAAAGTAGTGGCAGGGGGTTCCCCAACCAGCAGCAGCAGCATCACCTGGAAATGTATTTGAATGTACGTTCTCAGCATCCTCCCATCCCATGTTTCTACCTATTGAATCAGAAACTGAGGATGCGGTCCAACAATATGTGTTTTAACAACCCTTCTGATTGATTCTGATTCTGATGCATGTTCAAGTTCCAGAACTACTGCTTCACACAATATTGCCCACTTTCCAAAGGGCATTCAAACACAGATGTTGTAGGCCTGCCTGTAATCGGGAAAGGAAGAGTGAGCACCATTTTGCAGGAGACTTATCTTTACAGGCAAAGAGGCTGTGAACATTCATCCTGGAAAAGACCCCATGTTGATGAGTGTTTCTGTGTTTGGGGGAGTCTCTGTGAAAGGAACCAATTTATGCAAAGGATTCCCTGGCTCATTTCTATTCAATCAGAGGGTGATCAGGCTGAGTATGATGATGCCGCAGCCATATCACTGGCATGGGAATCCTGCCTTTTCTGTAGTGATGGCCCAGATGATAGGGGTGCTTGCCTCCCAGTCTTCATCTTGAGGGTAAGGTTTCCTGAAAACAGATACTGCCTTGTCATGTATGCACCCTGGCCTTCACCCAACACCTAGCACACAGTGGTGAATCAGAAAGTGTCTGCAAAAGAACCAGTAGCTGAAGTAGTGGTGATGTCACCTGTATTGCTGGGAGAAAACATGCAAGAGGGCTTTGCTTGCCGGATTTATCAGTAGGCTAGTAGCTTTTATATGGTAAAGTGGTTCAAAAACATGCTGGGTAGAGAAAGAATGCAAGACTTAGAGTTAAGAAAGATCCCAGTTCAAATCCCGGCCACTTGCTCCTGTATGTCTTTGGCCAAGGTAGCTAGCCTTGCTGAGCCTCTGATTCCTTAACTGTAAATGGAGATATCATGCCCTGCTGCACAGGGCTCTTGTGAGGATTATGTGAGATTGCAGGATAAAGTGTCTAGAATAGCATCAGGTACGTACTCAGTGCCAAGATGCTGTAATGACCCATATTAGCATTATTGCTTAATTGTTTGACTGGAGAAAATGAATCAGAGGTCTTTGTCTCTGATATAATGTGTATTCTGTAATTTGATGTAACAGAGCTACAGAAGGGCATTCCTGCCCACCCCATAGTTTTCAGTGTGATGGGAGAGATCCATCAGTATAAAACATGAGGAAACACAGACGCTGAGTTTGGACTGATGAAGGCTCAGATCCCTTCTCTGCCACTTACCAGCTGTGTGACCTTGAGCAAGCCACTTACACTCTCTGGGCTTCTGCATTTGTAGATTGGAGATAATAACACACTTCACTCAGGGTCATAGCAAGGACTGGAGATTAAAATATCCATGAAACACTCAGCCCTGTGCCTAGCCCTTAGTAAGCACTTGATAAACGATAAGTATTATTTACTAAAACCAACAATAGGCAGGGCAGAATTCCACCTCTGCTACAGAAGAGGCAGACAGGGAGGAGCAGAGTGTTAGAGGCAAAAACAAAGAGGGGACGATACATTGGGAAAAGCAACACACAGGGAGAGGAGGCTTCCCAGAAGTGATAGCGTTTAAATGACAGGGGTCACCAACTCAAAGGCTGGTAGGGCGAAGCAGTTATTGTCAAGGCCTGATGCTGGCCAGGAAGGGAAATGCCCTTTAGCTGCTGCTAATTTCCACCATGTAAACATGCAGGTTCTACATGGCCAGATCCCCTGATTTATCAAAAGAAGCAAACATATCTGAATTTTCCTGAAAAAAATCTTATTTTTTAATTAGTGCTTCAATCAAAGAGAAAAATATCCTGCCTGAATTGAACTACACACATTATAGGCCACATCTGGATCATGAATGATCAGTTTTGAGGCCTTATTTTAAAGGATGACTAGAGTTTTGTCAAGCAGGGTTGGTGGAAAGAGCATTCTAGCAAGGAAAGAGTATGGGCTGGGACAGGGAGGCAGGAAAGGCCAGGAAATGTTCAGAAAGCAGAATTCTGCTCCAGGGGACTGAGAGTGAACAGAGGAGGAAAGGAAGAGTCAGGGAGCGATGCTCAGAGGGAGAAGCCTTCCAGGGAGAGATGTGGGCTGGGCTGGCAGGTGAGTCCGAGAATGCTGACAAGGAGAAGGAAGGAGTTAGAAATGATAGAAGAGCAGGCAGCTGGCCGGTCACTCTCTTCCCCTCTTTGGGACGCAGTTTTCCTTGCTATAAACTGAGCTCATGAATTAGATGAGCTTTAAGCCCTCTTCTAGCCCCATCCATAACATTCAGGGGGGTCACCACAACTCCTACACGTTGGGTTGCCATATCAGCTCCTGTGCTCTAGGTTCTGGGGAATGCTGTTCTAGCTTACCATCAAGGAAGAAAAGGGTCACGTGCCTGCCCCAAGGAC
Organism: Homo sapiens; assembly: GCF_000001405.40. Classification (NCBI taxonomy): domain Eukaryota; kingdom Metazoa; phylum Chordata; class Mammalia; order Primates; family Hominidae; genus Homo; species Homo sapiens. Next base: position 55,908,853 of record NC_000003.12, read on the forward strand.
CACCTTTTCTAGCCATAGGGGACAAGCTAACTTAAGTAATGCAGAGAAAACTGTGGGCAATAAGTATAGAGTCAATCCTGACATGAAGTAGTCCCTCGAATAATAACACATGCATCTTCATTGAATACCCATTTTGAGCCAGACTCTGGCCCACTTACCGGACAGAACAATGTCTAAGGTCCCACTATTATTTCCATGTTACAGATCAGGCACAGGATGGTTAAATAGGTCTACAGCCAAAAAGCTGGAAAATGGTAGGACCAGCAGTCAAACAGGAAGTCAGTCTAATGCCAGCCCCTTCCATCTCGGCCCCTCTGCCAAGCTGCCTTCCTCTAGATCCTTTCATATCCGTGTTTCGGTGCTGCACTTCTTTCACAATGGCGTCTGAAATTATGTGTTGGTATAACTCAACTGGGAACATTCCTTGGCCACATCAGGACAGACTAAAAACCAGAGTTCCCTCTCCTGCTCCAGAAGGTGGCCAAAAGTTTGAGTCCTGGGGAGTTTTGTACTTCTCTTGATACAGAGGAGAGATAAAAGGTCTTTGTTCCCAAGAATCTGGGATCTTGGTCCAAGGAGTCAAATTGTCAGAATGAGTTTGAATAAGCAGGGAGTAGCTGGGCTTGGAGAGATGGGGATTTCTGCCTGCGGTGGCTGTGTAGATCTCACAGACAGAAGGGGTTTGAAGTGCATTCCATTCCAAGAAGCTCTCCAGAGCAGGGAGACAAGAAGCAGAGGACTGAAACCTAAGGGTAAAGGTTCAGGCAGCCATGGGAGGGAGTGTGTCAGCAACTATCTTTGGCACGGACCCTGAGCATCCCGGAGGCAGCCACCCTGGGACAAAGACCACAGGCCTTCCCTCAATCACTCTGGGCAAATTAAGAGAACCCTGAGGGACAGAGAGGGACCCTCATAAAGTCTGAGATTTATTTTTCTACCAAACATGACAGATGAGGTGAGGGGTTGTCAATTAACATTTAATTTGACTTAGAAAACACAAAATATTAGGTTTTTGCATCCAAATATCATGGGATAAATTTGGCCAATGATAATCATTTACGTGGAAAAATATTTATATTGAGAAGGCCTCATTTGTTTGAGGAATTTTGTCCATGTGAATACAAAAAGCCTTCCCTCTCTCACATACATATACGTTATGTATTCAGGTTGTTTTTTTTCTCTAAATATTCTGTTTAGGTTGAATCAATGACTAGTCTATAAGATAAAGGTAAAACTCTATTTTAAGAAAACATTGGGCTGGCCACAGTGGCTTACACCTGTAATCTCAGCACTTTGGGAGGCAGATGGGGGCAGATCACTTGAAGCCAAGAGTTGGAGACCAGCCTGGCCAACATGTTGAAACCTGGTCTCTGCTAAAAAATACAAAAAAAATAGCTGGCATGGTGGTGTACGCCTGTAATCCCAGCTACTCCGGAGGCTGAGGCACAAAAATCCCTTGGACCTGGGAGGTGGAGGTTGTAGTGAGCCGAGATCACACCACTGCATTCCAGCCCGGGTGACAGAGCAAGACTCTGTCTCAACAAAAAAACAAAAAAACAAAAAAAACAAAACAAAACAAAAGAAAGCAAGAAAAACAAAACATTAATGTGTGTATATATGTATATATGTAGACATATAAATATGTGTTTCTAACTCTGCTGGAAATGAGAGATAAACCAAATATTCTAGGGGTTTCCCTAAGAGTCAACATCAATACCCCAAAACTAATTAACTAATAAGTATTAATACTAATTAACAATTGCATGGCATTAATTTTGTGCCAGGCATGGATCTAAATCTTGTGAGTATGAACAATCGTCTGTAATACCATTTATTTCTCACAGCACCCTGTTGAGTCATCATTATCATTTTACAGATGATGAAACTGAGACACAAAGAGGTTAAGCAACTTGCCCACAGTCACACAGCTAGTGAGTGGCACAGCTGGGATTTGAACCCAGGCTGTCAGTCTCTACAGTCTGATAACCACTAGAATATTTTGCTTTGTAACATCTGTTGTAAGGATTAAAGGTAAAAATGTATCACTTTTCAAGCTTTCTAGAAATTCTTTCACTAATTCAACACACTTATTGTGGCACTATGCCAGGGATGAGGGATGCAATCCCTGCACTCATGGTGCTCATAGTCTAGCAAATAACTTCTCTTCTTCCCCTTTCCCTCCCTCCCTGCGCTCTGTCCCTCTCTTTGTCCCAAGGAAATTATCCACATGAACAGACTTTATTTCACAACTTCATCTAAAAACTCACATGCACATACCCTGATGATGTAACTTAACAGGTCTAACAAAACCTCAAATTTACAAATTTAAAAAAGAAAATCACCAACCCAAAGAGAGGAGGACGTGGCCCAATGGGAAATAAACCCAAATTGCTAAGACACATACAGCACTAAAATCTAGAAGGCTTCAAAGATAACATTTGCCACTATTGAGAGATTTCTTGTGCTTTCAAAGTCCACAAGCAGAGAGTGGTTCATAAACATCCTGTCTAAATGTAATATTGGAGGCCTGTCTCAAGGTAATATTCTAGTAAGGGAAAGAGCATTGACTTCATCGTAAGCGGCTAGTCTGCCGCTGATGGCAGACTAAGACTGGAATGTGCAGATAATTATCTTTAAGGCCAGTCAACGGCTATATGTCTCCTATAATATCACCTTTAAGATCAAGCCAAGACATTCCAGTCTGAATCAAGGTTTATTTATGAAAGGATTTAACACTTTTAGATCCCATATTGCTTGGAGGACCACCAATTTGCATTCCCAAATACCCAATTTCTTCAATTTCACAGAGCATGAATGAGATTTCAGGTTCTCATATGTTAGAGGGAAAAATTTAAGACACTAAAATTCCTTTTCTTCAATGAGGTGAATTTCTTTGCTAACACCTCCACAAAATAAAATCACCACTAGGGACTTAAAGTAGCAAATATCATAAGTCATAATGCCACATTCATGTAGATATAACCAAATTTTCAGGTATTTCCAGCTGAATGGTCTCTCTTGTTCCACTCAAACTTGAAAGGTCAAAGGAGCAATTTGATTGTGGGTGCTCTATACAGACCACAGACAGGAGGAGGAATGGCCCTTCTACCAGCAAGGGCACAACACTTAAAGGGGCATGCAGACAGCTGAAACCCAAATGAACCCCCATACATTGGAGTGATCTACCAAAGGGAACCAGTTAATCAGGAAGGCTGTATGAGTTTCCTCATTGGTGGTGGTAGGGATTGATCAGACATCCGTTTTAAAGAACCGGTATAAATATTGGCTTAAACTAGACCAGAACCAGCATAGTATGGGGTGTGGAGAGAGAGGTGGTGGTACCTACCCACAGGTGAGGAGAGAGAGAAGAAATCTCAGAAGAGATATCCCAGAGCTGGTATTTCAGCCCTACAATGATACTTGATGGTTGCCAGTGCGAGTGAGAAAGATAATGATGACCATGGAGGTTGCCAACAGATATTAAATCAACCCATCATTTTATAGGGAACATAGTAGCATTCATTTGATAACATCAGCACACTGAAATAGTTTAAAAATGAAGCAAGAAAAAAATGAAAAGTGACTTCAGTTGAAGAACAGTCAAATGCCTTGTCTTTATTATTACCCTACTGTATGTATGTGTGTGCATGTGTAAGTGTATATTTACTTTTATATGAAAATCCAACCCTCTTGATGGTCATATTTATCACTCTAAACTAATAAAGAGCCATTCTAATTTTCTAAGACAAAATTAAATGTACATATACACATATTTGTACACATAGTAGAGAAGGCTGTTTGGAAAGAAATATATCAGGGAATTAACAGTGGTTTTCCTTGATTATGAATCATGGGCTCTTTTTTTCTATTTCTCATTACTCAAACCCAAAATAGCTTTACTGATACTTTGACCCCAATTATAAAAATAATGCATATTTATGTCTTGTTAATATTAAACATACAGGAAAGTATGAGAGAGAGAAAGAAAAGCAAAACAAAATCACAAGCACAAACCCAGGACCCAGAGGAACACTGAGGGCCATTTTTATAGACTTCCAAATTTTTTCCATCAGTGCTTCTTCTTTTAACAAGTCAATCATGCTACACATACTGTTTTATGGCTTTCTTTTTTTATTGCATTTATTTATTTAGAGATGGGGTCTTGCTCTGTTGCCCAGGCTGGAGTATAATGGTGTGATCATAGCTCACTGCAGCCTTGAACTCCTGGGCTCAAGCAATCCTCCCACTTCAGCCTCCTGAGTAGCTAAGACTATGGGTGCATGCCACCACACCTGGCTATTTTTCTTTTTTTAGAGACAGGTCTTGCTATGTTGTCCAGTCTGGTCCTTCCTTTTAGCTCGACAAAATAACATGGATGTTTTCTCTATCGATAAATATTGATCTAGTTCATTTTTTCATGGCCACAGTGTAATCTATAAGAATCACCTCCTGGGGGTCTTATGGTTATTTCCAAATTTTTTAATTTATAAATAAGAGTAGATAAATCATATCTAAATATTTTCTTTGCCAACAATCTGGTGATTACTTAAGAGAAATTCCCAGAAAGCTACTTGCTGGTTCGAAGGACATGTACATCTTTATGGTTTAGTGCACATACCTATAAATTGGTCTCCTGAAAAACCACAAAAATCCAGAAACAGAGGTATATTTTATTTTCTTCTTTTTGTTTTTCTGTATTTTTTGTAACTTACTTTTTTGCTGACGTTATACTTAAAAATTGCTTCTACAAAAGGAAAAAAAAATATTTTATGGAAAAAGAAAAGGGACAATTGGAAGATGACTTTTTCCAATGGAGAATTTTGATCTATGGGACAGGACTTTCCCAGAAAGAAGATGGGGACACAAGACTTGACACTACTGTCCATTAAACTCACCACCTCACCTCCCTTGCTCATGCCCATCATCCAGACTTTTCACACACAGTCATCTACAGGAGGAAATGCAGTGATGAGCAAGCCTCAGTATTCACTCTTTACATGGTTCTAGCTAACACTGCATCAATAAAAGACCACTCTGTACCCTTTTTCTAGTAGTATCTCCCTTGAAGCTAGAGATTCAAAAGAATCCACCTTAGATTGAAGCGGGACTTTCCAATTTCCTTCCCTTATTCTTAAACTAATAAAATATTCTTGCCCCTTTATGACAATTTTTTTTTTTTTAAAGATAACACAGCCCAGCTGAACCAGGAGTGAGGAACAAGGAGACTGGATACTCATCTTGAGAAAAGTCTCCAAAAGTGATCAATTTAAAAAATATTTTCAGTTATTATTTTCATGAAGTTTGTTAACTCTGATGCAAAGATGTCTCTGAAATCTCTAGATATACACAGAAATTAGTCAACAACTGAGGTTTTTTCTGTATGGGCTAGTTTCCCACCAACCAGAGCCACGCGCTCCCAAACCCTTTCTGTTCTTAGTCTCACTCCCTCTAATGTCAAACCTGGCTAAACTAGGGGCTGGAGACTGGGTCTCTTATCTTTAAATGTTACATTATTCTTAACACTCTCTATTGGCTAAAAATGAAACAGAAGTTCAGAAAACTCACAGGCCACGAATCTGCTTACTTCAGAGGTCACCTTTAAGATTTAAGAATACTGCCAGCTTTTCACTTTAACATGGTACCCACTCCTACCCAAATCCTCTTTCTGTTGATACACATACAACTTGATTCTTACCACTTCTAGAAAGCCATCGCCCTACTACTCGTCCTCTCCTTAGATGCAAGGTCTGAGAATTCATGAACTCCCCTGATGCAAGTGACCTACTGGCTAAGCTTCACCTCAGGCCAGAAGAAACAACTGGCCCATGCATTGCACCATTTTCCAACCAGCAGATGTAAACACATGTAAACCTAGGCCCACAAAGGAAGCAGCTACTTCTTAAAAGTTGACTTTGATGATCTCTTGAACTTTATCCCATAAAACTAGACACCCACCATTGCAAGATGGAAGGTGAGGAGCTAGAGGTGTGCTTTCTTTCTGGACATTCTTCCTTCTAAGTGCTAACCATACCAGCAGTCCTCTATTTGGGAACATAGGTCATTATTTTAATGCATATAAAAAGCAAACAATTAAGATAGAACCAAAGATTTTAAAAATAATCTAATTTTGAAGCATCTTGCCTTTCAGATTCAGTCTTTTATAAAATCTATGCCGTCGTCGCATATTTCATACACACTTTTTAATTTGATCCACCCTATCGTTGAAATGCTCATATCCATAGTGTCCTGAGTAAGTCTCAGGATGGACATTTGTCAGGATATTAGTAATTTCCATATTTGTCTCTACTTTACCAAGTATATAAACCCTATGCTGTTTAACATTATTTCAGCACTTTTTAAAGCAAAAATAAAATATAGTGATTTTAAAATTAATATAATTATACGATCATTGCTGTACCAACAAAGATTATGACGCTTATGTTGGCTTACAGAAGACGTTTCCATAGAACAGACAGAAACGGTCATTTTAGCTAATTAAAAAAAAAGTCTGCAGTACAACAAAGGGCTGTTATGGAGGTATGTAGCATATAAAATCAAACTCACGAGAACCAAGAATCACTTATATTAATTTATAATACACCTTGGTTTCAGAAAGAAATGGCTGTGTTTTTAATATTTTAGGCCTCTTGATAAAATTCTGTCACATGACAGCTATACATTTGGTTATGAGAAAAGTGAATTTGGATTCATGAAAGACACATGACATTTGAGCTAATGGGGATGTACAATAACATCCCATGGATCCTTATGGATGTCAATACACCTGACAAGTAATAGCTTTCCTACCTTCTGACTGGCTGAAGGATTGGAAGCAAGATAACCACCCTCACTAGTAGTACATGTATACAGAAAGACAACAGCCTCAATTAAGATCATCGAGGGGAGCTGACTTAATTTGGGGAGGTGCCTATCCAGAGGCTTTGTGATCACTTCCTAAATTTATTGCTGTATTGTAGAGAGCAAGAATTCTGGATAAGTAAGGTCCTAAAATGTAAGAAGTTACAGATGGCTCCAAAATTTATTTGAATCTTTAAAAAATGATTACAGATTTTAAGACAAAAAAATCACTTAAGTCCTTCCTAGTAATAAATATTTTCAAAATAGAACATGCATATTCATAGTATTTGTAATAAGGCCATCCCAACTCACACACAGAGCTGCTGATGCAAAGTCCTAGAGCATGAACTCTGCTGCGAGGTCAAGCCAGGCCATTCTGAGAGGAGTGCTAAGTCCTTCAACCACTGCAGACCCATTCAGCTCACTGTGGCAACAGCGTGGTGAGAATATTTCAGTGAGAATATTCCAGTGGCCTGGAAGAATGAGTGTACTTCACAAAGCACCCAATTTATTCCCATAAAATGCCTAGCATGCCAATTGACTTTAGGCTCATTTTACACAAAAATCTAGGTTTTTGGAAAGATTTACTCTTGGGTTTCCAAATGTTTATTGCCTTGCTGACAGATTTTTAGACTGGTGCTTGTAACAGGTGATTTTTCACAACACAAGGAATCCAAAATGCAATTCCAGGACACTAAGCAAAAACTATCTCTAAGATTCCAGTTGGTGTCAAATCACATAGAACCTAGAATATGCAAGCAGAGAAGTAAAAATGCTTCTTCGTTAATAATCACATGTGCGCTAGTATAGTATCATCAAAAGTTACACCGACTACACCTCCCACTCATCCATGCCTACTGGTATGTTCTCTGTTCAGCAAATGCACTGAGCGTGTTCCCACTGCAGGTAGCTTGCATTTGCTGTTCCTACCACCCAGAGTTCGCCCATTCCAGTGCTTGTAGGTTGGCTCCTGACTGTTATTCAGCTTCAGGAGTAGCCCTGCTGCCTCTCCAAGCCACACTGTATATAATATGGCCTGGCTGACTTCCTTCATAGCATATATTACAATCTCCAACTCTCTTGTTCATTTTAAAAACATGTATTTTTTGTTAATGAGGGCAAGACTTGGTCTTTCTTGCCCTTCTGTTCCTAGTACCTGGAATAGTATTTAGGACAGGGGTGGGCACTCAATAAATATATGCTAAATAAATGAGTAAACAGTTTAATTAATCAAAAGTACTAGGGGTTTTTTTGCACTAAAGTGCAAAGCCATGAGGTATGATTTGTATTGTATTGTAATTATTCCATTATTATAAAAACAAGATATATTTGAGAAAAGCCATATGAAAATTAGGTCATAATCTGAAGAATGAAGAGGATTCCATTAACTCACTAGTTCCCAAAATTCCATCATGAAGGTCCCCTGTTGTAGTTTTTCTTCCATGATGCCAATGGTTTGAAATAAAATGCTTTTCAAACCCACTGGCTTCTAGTAAATCAGTTTGTATACCCTTATACACTTTCTAACAAGATTTTTGCAAGAAAAAATAAATGGCAGGGGTAAAAACTTGTTAATGAATGTTCATAGCAACATTCCTTATAATGGCCAAAAGCAGAAACAACCCAAATGTCATCAACCAATGAACAGATAAATAAAATATGATATATCCATATAGCCATGCAATGGAACATTATTCCTAACAATAAATGAAATACTAATACATGCTGCCACATGGATGAGCCTTGAAAACATTATCCTAAGAAAAAGAAGCCAGATACAAAAGGCCATAGGCTATATGATTCCATTTATATGAAATATATGAATAGGCAAATCTATAAACTATATAATTCCATTTATATGAAATGTATGAATAGGCAAATCCATAAAGACAGAAAACAGATTAGTGGTTACTGGAAGCTGGGGTTTGAGGAAGGGCAGGGGGAGTGTGGAATAACTGGTTATAGGTACAGAGTTTCCTTTTGAGGTAACAAAAATGTTCTAAAATTGATTGCACAACTCTGAATATGCTGAAAATCATTGAATGCTACACTTTAAATGGTGAATTGCATGGTATGTGAATTATATCTCAATAAGGCTGCTACATATTTTTCTAAATGCTTTGTGGATACCAGTTATATCTTTGAGAATGGAGCTAGATGATTAATTCTCATCCAGACCAAAAGTCTACAAATAAAGACACTATCTGCTAATTGAGAGTTGCCTTGATTAAGAAAATGCTAGCTGCTCTAACAGAGAAACACTGAAATCTCGGTGGCTTATTATAAGTTTATTTCTAGCTCAAATTTTTTCTGTCTAGTGGTTTCACTATCCTTTAGCCTGGGCCTCAGAGTCCCAGTATATCTTCTATATCTAGATATCATATAGAGATAAGACAATAGATCACACCAAAGCTATTTATATTCCAGGTCTGAAAATGGAAAAGGATAAGTTACTTTCATTGACCGAAGCTTGGTCTTATGGCCATTTCTAGCTACAATGTAATCTGGAAATGTAATGTATATCTAGGAGTAAGAGGAATCAGGTTTTGTTGAAGGTATAGCAGAGACTTACTCCCTCAGGGTTTACTGTCTTAAAAAATAAAAAGGTGGGGGCAGGGTGATCTATGAGCATCTGTTTTGTCTCACTCTTCCTCCGAATATCTTCCTTCTTAACAATAAATTGGTGCCAGTCAGGGAATAAATTGGTAAAACTACCTTACAGAGAAATTTGGCAATATGTAATAAAGTTAAAGATGTGTGAAAATTATGGCCCAAGGTGCTAGATTAGAAAAACATAACCACGAGTTTTTTCAGCTTTTCATTCCTTAAATCTGGGCTGGCCTTGGGACTTGCTTAGACCAATAGAATGTGGTGGAAATGATGCACTGTGTGCATTTCAGAGTCAAAGCCTTAAAAGGCCTTGAAGCTTCTTCTTGAAACACTGTCTTAAGAATGCTGTGCTGTTAGGAAGCTGATCCACCCTATCATAGGATAAGAAGCCATATGGAGATCTGAAGTGCCCTAGCTACAGGCAGCACCAACAACCAGATATGTAAGTGGGGCCACATCAGACCATTCACTCATTCTAGACATCACCTGACTGCAACTAGATGAAGAAGACTAGCTAAAGAATCATGCCAAAACACAGCATTGTGTAAATCATTATTTTAAGCCAGTAAGTTTGGGGTGTTCTGTTATGCAGCAATAGATTCCTGATATAAACAAGAATTTTAACTTCAAATACACACTAAAGATATATTCTCATACGTTTTCTCAAAGAGAAATGCTCAAGAATGTCCACCACAGCATTGTTTGCAAAAGGAAAAATACAAAAATAACTAATATGGCAACCATTACCAAAAAATGGATATTTAAAGTATGATGTAGGTAGGATGCAGTGGTTCACGCCTGTAATCCTAACACTTTGGGTGGCCAAAGTGGGAGGATTGCTTGAGGCCAGGAGTTCAAGACCAGCCTGGGCAACATAACAAGACCTTATCTCTACAAAAAGTTTCAAAATTAGCAGGGCACAGTGGCACATGCCTGCAGTCCTAGCTACTTGGAAGACTGAAGTGAGAGGATGGCTTCAGCCCAGGAGTTTGAAGCTGTCATGAGCTATGACCATGCCACTGCACTCCAATCTAGGCAACATAGTAAGACCGTCTCTAAAAAAAATCATTTAAAAAAGTATGATGCCAATGGAGCGCTATGCAGCAATGAAAATAAAACAGAGCTACAGGTATCAATTGGATAAACTTCAAAAACATACTATTAAGAAATTAACATGAATTGCCCAGTGATACACATTTATTCAATCAACAAATATTTATTGAACAATTTGTAGGTATCTGGAATACACCCCCACAACCTCACAACTTTATCTTCAACGAACATGTATTCTAGTGGTAGGAGACAGCCAAAACAGAAGAAAATAAGTAAAATGTGTAATAACTGAGACAGTGAAGAGTGCTAAAGAGAATAATAAAGCAGAAGAAGGAGATGACCGACTTGCAATTTTAGGTGGGGTAGCCCAGGAAGGCCCTAAGGCAGAGCCATGTAAATAAGACTTGAGGGGGTAGTAAACCAGCCAGTGGCTATCAGGGGAAGGGCATTTTAGGCAAAGGGAATTGCAAGTGCAAAAGCCCCAAGGTGGAAGGGCCTCCTGTGCGTTCAAGGAATAAGGAGGAGGCCACTGAGTAATTGGCCTAATAAGTGAAGTTAATGAATAAAGAAGAAAGTATGAAGCCATTTATGTTGCACTTAAGAATGCAGAAAATAATAGCACATATTATCTGTGAATTCATAACATCTAGTAAAATTACAAAAATAGTCTACATTGGTTAGGAATACACACATATGTCAAATAAGTATAAAAATTAGTATGGCCGGATGCACATTACATTTTGGAGAGGATTCTCTTTGAGAAAAATGGAGATACATGGAATCAGGATGGAGTAAAATATTTTATCTCTTTAAAAATGTCAAGCAAATATGAAAAAATTATTTATTTATTAAGTAAAATTTAATTTGTATTGAGTGTTGGGTAAATGGATTTCATTACACTATTTTCTGTATTTTCCATTATGTTTGAAATATTTCATAATTGGTTTTAAAAAGGCACTAAACGAATAAATATTTCATCAACAATCAGCAACTGTTGTTTAAATGAGAAGATCTAGTTACACATACACACAGGCACACTAAAACACACACACACACACACACACACACACACACCCCAAGTGAGAAGGATATTGCTAACTGTCCAAAAACTCAACAGGCATCTGGGTGATGGGCTTCACTGAAAAGGACATCATCTCTCCCTGGAGGTAACAATCAACACATTTCATGCATAATATTATGTAAGATTTAATCCATATCTTGTTATCTTAATTCTATTTTAATAATGGCATACATCAACATGAATTCTACTTGAACCCTTTAGTGCTTCTTTATCTGCTTCTAATACAATTTTAAAGAAGGATTTGAATGTAAAATTCATTCTAAATAATAGAGCACGTGATTCTGCAAAACTGAAGAGGAAGTGGGGAGGTTAATAATGATAACAGTGACAATAATTGTATGGCATTCATTGGATGCTCAGTATTTGTCAGTCACTTTTCCAAATTCCTATCTTGTTTTTCCTACCAACCCTATGAGGTTATCCCATTTGACCACAGAAGAACAGAGGGGCAGAGTGAGTGACATGCCCAAGGTCACACAGCTAGAAAGTGATGACACTGGGCTTCAAACCTAGGGGGCTAAGTTTGATGGCAGAGACTGAATCATAACCACTCGGTTCTGGTGGGAATGCAGAAACCTCTGAGCACACCCTAAAACCTCTCTCACAATTTGCTGCTTATGTACTAAAGTAAAAACTGACTGTGAATGTGTTTGTGCAATTAGGCAATAAATTATTAACTACATGGTTCATATTTGCTTTAATTGATGGGATTAGCGGCTTCAATTGAATCAGTGTGAACCTTAATTACCCACCAACATGAATTTGAAATCTGGCTGACTCTGGTAAATAAAAATATATCCATAAAACTGCACCCAAAATAGTTATGACCCTTTAAACTCTTATAAACACTATCATCCTTATTATGGTGTTGGTGTTTGGGGAAGAGGGGGCAGGGTCCGATCTAGCTCTGAGAATTGCCTCCTGATTCTCACTGAACTCCTCATTCATTTCTTTGAAGGCGGTATTCCCACATGTATCAGTCCTACAGAGTTTTATCAGGCAAGGTTTGGAGATTGCTTCTCTACTGGGAATTCTCAATATGACAGTTCAAAATTCTGTCATCGCAAACTGAACAATCAACCTGAATATGGTTTTTAAAAAATGAGATGCTGAGACAATGAATACAATGCAATGGCTTCTAAGATCATTATAGCCAAAGTTGGAAAATGCAAATTATTTTATTTTATTTTGAGCCACAAAAATGAAAAAGAACTAGCATATAACTTTTCTACTAGTTTTGTATTAATAGGAGATTTAAATATGAATGTAGTCCATATATGGAGAGTATTAATTCTTATAACTGAAAAATCATGTTTTCTAGGAATTATGTGCAATTGGGAACATCAAAAAAGTACTTAATGGGACATCTTAAAAACAAATTCATTGTTGGTTAATCAATTCTTTCAGATAATTTCTACTGTTAATATAACTAATAGTTTCCTAATTTAAGTGAAGCTTTGTTAAATGATATCAGACTCTCTCTACCTCTTTGCTCTTGCTAAATTCTAACGATTGTATAATATCAACCCAGAGATACTGCTTTGCCCTACACATTAGCTCATACAGAGAAATGTATTCATTCAGAAGTCTTCCCAGACATACCTCCTCCAGTCACTTAGTCTTCAAACTAAATAAGTGGACTAGAACTTTCTAGCAACTGTCTCAGAATACTTCTGACCCACATAGTTTCAAATCAGTTACTTTAAGTACATTAAAGCTTAATTTAAACTATTTTTATTACTGGGAGCAAGGTAAATTCATGCTCCCAGAGTGACGTTTCTAACAAAACCAACTCAAACTTTGCTTCACTAAAATATAGCCACCCAGGGGAAAAACATCATAAAGATAGTAATTATGGTGAGATAATCAAAGGCCTCCACACTGAAAAAAAAAATTGTCCTAAAAATGTCACTTGTGGGTTTTGAGGCTTTGGAGCCTTGCAAGGGGCTTATTTTAAACAGAAATCCAGCGGAAGCAACACACTTTTGGTCTCTCTGTGTCTCCCCTCCCCTTTCTCTCACTCTTGGGAAGAAGAAAAGATGCCAGTAGAAAAACATCAAACAGCTCTTCTCCCCCTACCCCCTTCTTTCTTTGTCTTAATTTCTACAGTTGCTTCAAAACATCCCCATTTTACTTAGAATCTTTTTCCTCTCAGATGTTCCTGGCTTGTAATTACAATCAAACAGAGATCCTACGTAACTGTCCTCAAGACCTTCCAGGTCCCCCACAGGGAAATTCCCAGCTGAAACTGCATCTGTCTCTTGCTCTTTAAAGAAACCAGCAGTAAGAATTAACTATAAAAGTTGACTCAATTTGAATGGACAGCTCTCAAAAAAAGGAAACACAATAAGCACATGAACAAGATGCTCAACATCACCAGATATTGGGGAGATGCAAATAAAACCACAGTGAGATGGCTGTTGTCAAAAAGTATTGGTGAGGATGTGGGGGAATTGGAGGCCTGTGCATTGCCGGTGAAAAAGCAAAATGGTGTAGCTACTGTGGAAAACAGTATGGCAGCTCCTCAAAATATTGGGAATGGAATTACCATACAGTCCATCAATTCCACTCTGGGTAGATGCCCAAAAGAATTAAAAGCAGGGACTTGAACAGATATGTATATATCACTGTTCATAGGAGCATGATTCACAATAGCCAGGAAGTAGAAACAACCCAAGTGTCTATTGAAGATGAATGAATAAACAAAATGTGATATATACATGCAATGGAAAATATTCCATTATTCATCCTTAAAAAGGAAAATTCTGACACATGCTACACACAGATGAACCCTGAAGACATCGAGTTAAGTGAAATAAACCAGACATAAAAAGAAAAATATTGTATGACTCGGCTCATTTGAGGTACTTAGAGTAATTAAATTCATAAAGCCAGAAAATAAAACACAGGTTGCCAGGGACCAGGGGTATGAGGTTATTGGTGAGTTACTGTTTAACAGATATAGAGTTTCAGTTCTGGGATGGATGACAGTGATAGTTACACAACACTTTGAATGTATTTAAAGCCACTGGTAAAATGGTAAATGTTATGTTATATATATTTTGCCACAATAAAAAAAAAGTTGGTTCAGAAGATATAATAGCAAACAAGGAATTATTTTCAATTTATTTATAAAAGCAATAGCTTTTATAAATCTGTCTCTTCAGTTGCAGCTCCAGGATAGGCTACAAATAAAGGGATTCTGGGTTGTAGAGGCTCTCCTCTTAGTGACCTCAGATCAGAGTCTAGATTGTGGTAGACAGAATCACAACAATTCATGCCTTTAAATTTTCTACTGCTTTAGGGAGAAGCCTCTAGCTTAAGACAAATGGATCTCATTTCTTCTGTGCACCAGCCCTGACAGACATCACTAATCGATTACAGCACTGCCTTGCACTGAGTCCCCTGGGACCTCATAATCTTTCCCAACATAGGGTTAAGGCAGCCACCAATTAATCAGAGCTGTCTCCCAAAATGAAATCTATTTGCTGTAGTGATCCAGGTGGCAATCTATTTATTTTAAGCCAAACTAAAATGTTACATATTAAAAACCTTATTATTAAGCTGGGGACACAATATTATAGATGTAAGGAGACAGATTTGCCCTACTCTCTGTTCATGCCTTTTCAACTGTTTGGGATTCTGACACATACCATAGAAAAGCACCTTGGATCAAACAACACAAAAAATCAGAGAGGTAGAGATTCTAGTACATATAATATACTGGTAGAATTAAAGCTGTCCTTAGGAAAGTCCTCACTGTCTTCTAGAGCAGGGGTTGGCAAACTTTTTCTGCCAAGGGCCAGACAGTAAAATTTCGGCCTTTGTGGTCCATATGGCCTGTGTTGCAACTCCTCAATTCTTTCCTATGAAAACAGCTACAGACAAATGAATGGGCATGGCTGCATTCTAATGAAACTATGCATAAAAACAAGTGGCGAGAGGGATCCAGGTTTGGCCCACAGACCATAGTTGGCCAACCAGTGTTCTAGATATTCTATCTTCAGTCCAGATCTCTGTAGGGGCCTTTTTACTCTTTGTTTTCACCTACCTTTAGATTTTTAAAGCCATTTCTAGCCCCACCTGAGCATCACCTTCCTCTCTCCGCAAAAATCCTGTGGACCCAGATATAGCTGAATGAAGACCTGGCACAGAAGGCAGAACTCCAAGCAGAAGGTGGAGTGAGGCAGAAAGAAAGAATCCAAGAGCACAGAAATGCTGTGGGGAGAGGGAGCAGGGGGTGGAATGTAGAGTTAGAACTAAAAGCCAAGAACTAAGGCTTTCTCCTAGTGGGAACCTGAAAGATGGATCAGCAGAGTAGGGGAGTCACTCCTCAATTTCTACCCACCCACAGAAGCTGGATGCTTTAAAATATAGGATTCAAATCCATTCAAAATGAACCCTGTGTGGATATACTCTTGGATTCCCTGTGTGAGCTTGATCTGACTAGGGGCCAGTTTGGTTATAGTATGCACTACCTTGCTAAGGACAGTACAGAGAATTATATCCTCACATCTCTCTGAAGACTGGTGCAAAGTAGCTTCAAAGCTTAAACAAGGTTATTTAATCTGTTGCCACTTCCAACAAACTGCTCAAACACAATTATATACAGCAGGGTAAGCATGGAGCAGGTTGAGCCAGAAGAAACAAAGAGCAGGATATGTTTGTATAGAGAATGGATCTATTTAGTGTTACCAGATCCTAAAGCTGGAGGCAGATTCTCGTGCAAAATGGGGATGAGAGTTAAGCCAGGGTAAGACAACGGAGGGCATTGAATGTCCCAATAAATATCTCAGAGTTATACCTTGCATTCAATGGCAGGGTTATTGAACATCTTAGGTACGGCAGTTATGAGAAAGTATAGAGAGTAACTCAAAACAGAATCAGGGCTTGAGGCAGAGGGATTGGTCAGGAAGCCACTGCATAATCTAAGCAAGAGAAGATGAAGATCAGAACAAAGTCAGGGTATGAAAGGGATGAGGAGGAGGTTGCAGATTCAAGAAATATTTAGAGGCTAAAATCAGCAGGACCCAGTGAGCAATTAGATGTGAGAACAGGGGTATGTTGGAGACAGAAAGGAACTAAGGGTGGCTCAGATTTCTGTCCTGGACAACTGGGCAGATGCCTGGACCATGTCCCTGTGAAGCCAGACCAAGCCATACCCCAATATGATCTTCCAAATTACAGTGAGAACTACGCACCCAGCAAACAGGAAATCTGGAAAAAGTTCCAAGAAGAAAAGATTTAAAGACAAAACCAAGTTTGGAAATATCCCAGTAACAAGTACTGGAAATCATAATTACAGACGCATAAATAAAAGGCCAGCAGAGACAAACGACCATATGATGCTACTATTAAAGCTGGCTTTACTGTACACGGTAGTATTTCTACTGTGTTTCAATGTTTTGCCTGTAAAATACACAAAGCTATAAAATGTATATCACATGTGTGTCTGTGTGTTTTACAACCAGGCCATGCCTTAGATGAACACCTTCTGTCCTGTAGTATTTCATTAGACACAGCACTTTTAAACAATGGAGGGAATTTTAGCAAGTACATATTTCCAATGACCCACCCAGAAAAGAGATTTGAGTGGGTGGGCACCCATTTACTATTTAGGTTTATGAATTATTATTATTTCTACAACTTTTAAAATATTTTCAAGTTGTCTTAAATAGTGTATACATCATTAAATAGATGTCAAATGATTATGGGAAAATGACATGGAATTGTTGAAGATTTGAAGCACTACCAGTCATGGGTAACTAAATTTAAAAAGACATGTAGGATAGAAAAAGACAAAAATGAACAGCAAAACGTCCAGAAGCTTGGAAAAATATGTTCCCATGGAGTAAATTCAAGGTCTACATGCTGTGCCTAAATTCAAACCAAGACCTAGCATGCTGGCTTCTACATTCCACCTGCTGCCCTAACAGAGCTTGTTTTTTGTTTTTTGTTTTTAAAAAAAAAAAAACTAAAAGATCGAAGTCCTACACCTTGAAGGACACACAAAGATTTTATATCATTTATCAAGGATTGAAATAAATAATATTCAGAAACAGGCTCCTGGTCTTCCAGTTTCACCTGTGAAATGTACCTATGTTCCATGGACTACAGAACAGTTGAACACAAGTAAGATCCGGGTTTGAATCTTGGGTCTGTCACTAGCAAACTGCATTCCGTGGAATAAGGCATCCTCCTTTATCACCTTCTGTCTCTACATCTGAAAAATTAGGAGGTGAACTCGAGCATCATGGCCTCTTCCTGCCAGGTCCTCCAGCCAGGCAGCCCCTGGAGAGTCCTCCACAGCACTCCACAAGTTTTTCATTAATTTCCTATTTCAGGTCTCTGTGGCTGGAAGGCAAATCTATGAAGATGGGGGTCATGTAATCTTCTTGACTTCAGAATACCCAATGCATAATACAGTTCCTGGCACTCAGGAGGAGCTCAATAAATATTTTTAAAGTAACTGCCTTCAAGTAACTTCCAAAGGCTTTTTTTAATTCATTTGTTTTTGTGCAGTTAGTTACTAGCAATGCCAGAAATAAAATTCAGATCCCTGATACTGCCCTGAGAGTGGAGGGCAAATCAGTTCTAAGTTGGACCCCTGTCCATTCTGTTTTTGCTATCAGATCATTTGGGGACTTGCCTCATTAGAAGCTTTCCCAGTAACTGGTTGCTTGCCCATCTGAAGGTCCACATTCCTAAACTGTTCCCCAGAGCCTCCTGTTTCTTCCAAAAGGAAACATAAACCCTATTTAGGTTTGTCTTAGATTTTACATTAACAACCATAAAGAGACTGATCATGAAATGGCACATACTAGGAAAGTTGCAAAGGTAAGCAGAATCTCAGGGTAACTTCTCAAAATTAAGCCTTGTCCCACTCAATTCTTCTCCTTCCCTAAAAATCCCTAGGGAATGATCCATCCCACAAAGTTGCACCATCCTTTTGTTTTTTTGCTTTTTATGGCAGGGGGTGTTTGTACTTTTTACATTTTTATTTTCAATTTTTGTGGGTGCACAGATGTATATATTTATGGGGTATATGAGATATTTTGATATAGGCACACAATGTGCAATAATCACATCAGAGTAAATGAGGTATCTATCACCTCAAGCATTTATCCTTTCTTTGTATTACAAATAATTCTATTCTATTCTTTTAGTTATTTTAAAACATACAATAAATTATTGTTGACTCTAGTCATCCTGTCGTGTTATCAAATACTAGATCTTATTCATCCTATCTAACTATATTTTTGTACCAGTTAACCATCCCCACTCCCCGACTCCAACCCCAGTACCCTTCCCAGCCTCTGGTAACCATCCTTCTACTCTCTATCTCCATGAGTTTCACTGTTTTAATTTTTTTTAGCTCCCACAAATAAGTGAGAACATGAGAAGTTGGTCTTTCTGTGCCTGGCTTATTTTACATCACATAACTACCTCTAGTTCCACCCATGTTGTTGCAAATGACAGGATCTCATTCTGTGTTATGGCTGAATGGTACTCCATTGTGTATATGTATCACATTTTCTTTATCCACTCATCTGTTGATAGACACTTAGGTTCCTTCCAAATCTTGGCTATTGTGAATAGTACTGCAGTAAACATAGTAGTGTAGATATCTCTTTGATATATGGATTTCCTTTCTTTTGGGTATATACCTAGCAGTAAGATTGCTGCATTGTATGGTAGTTCCATTTTTAGTTTTTTAAGGAACCTCCAAACTGTTCTCCATAGTGGTTGTACATAGTGGTTACACTCCTACCAACAGTGCGTAAGTCTTCCCTTTTCTCACATCCTTCCCAGCATTTGTTATTGCCTGTCTTTTGGATAAAAGCCATTTTAGCCAGGATAAGATGATATCTCCTTGTAGTTTTGCTTTGCCTTTCTCTGATGATCAATAATGTTGAGTACTTTTTTCATATACCTGTTTGCCATTTGTATGTCTTCTTTTGAGAAATGTCTATTCACGTCTTTTGCCCATTTTTTAATCGAATTATTCAATTTTTTTCTTATAGAGTTGTTAGAGCTCCTTATATATTCTGGTTATCAATCCCTTTTCAGATGGATAGTTTGCAAATATTTCCCATTCTGTAGGCTGTCTCTTCACTTTGTTGATTGTTTCCCTTGTGTGTAGAAGCTTTTTAACTTGATGTAATCCCACTTGTCCATTTTTATTTAGATGCCTGTGCTTGTGGGGTATTACTCAAGAAATCTTTGCCCAGTCCAATGTCCTGGAGAGTTTCCCCAGTGTTTTCTTTTAGGAGAGTCATAGTTTGACAACTTAGATTTAAGTCTTTTCTACATTTTGATTTGATTTTTGTATATGGCAGAGACTGGGGGCTAGTTTCATTCTTCTGTATATGGATGTCCAGTTTTCCCAGCACCATTTACTGAAGAGACTGTCCTTTCCCCAATGTATCATTCTTGGCAACTTTGTTGAAAACGAGTTCACTGTAGATGTCTGGATCTATTTCCAGGTTCTCTATTCTGTTCTATTGGTCCATGTATCTCTTTTTATGCCAGAACCATACTGTTTTGGTTACTATCCACCATTGCTTTGTTCCTGCCATGGGGAGTTAACCTCTTTGGTGGGGAGTACTCCCCATCTCCTTGACCAAGATCCCTCTTCCTCAGCCAGTAGAGAGAGGCTCCCAGTTTGAACCTTCTCTCAATTTTTCTATCTACTGATTGCTGGGTCCCCTCCCCTAAGCCACAGGGACTGGGAAAATAGCTGTTGACTCCTTCAGAGGAGGAGCTCCAGAAGAGTGTAAACAGAGAGCTCCCCCTAAAACTTCCTGCTCAGCACTGCCATCCTGATGTCCACTGTCTCTGAGTCTCCAGAAGAGACTCCCTCACAATGGCAGAAGTAAGGGGCTCTGAGCCAGCCACACCCCTCACAGGTACTGCCCTGCCCTTCTCAATTTCTCCAAGCAGCTTCCTCTTACCTGCTAGCCCTGGCTGAGTTCAAGTTTTGTATATTTTTTTCTCTTGACTTTTGATCTTCCTTGCATGCCCACTTTTATTTCATTCCTGTTCTTCCAATGGGAAAAATTTGAAGCTTGCTTTCAAATAAGGAAAGAAAAAAGTGGACAAAGCTAAGTTATAATATATAGGGATAGGCAAATGGATAATAAAAATTACAAAGGAAGGTGATATAATTTGTATTTGTGTCCCCACCCAAATCACGTGTCTGACTGTAATCCCCAGTGTTGAAGGAAGGGCCTAGTGGGAGGGGACTGGATCATGGGAACGGACTTCCCCCTTGCTGTTCTTGTGATAATGAGTTCTCAGGAGATCTGCTTGTTTAAAAGTGTGTAGCACTGTCCCCTTCGCTCTCTTCCTTCTGCTGCAGCCATATAAGAAGACATGCCTGCGTTCCCTTCCCCTTCTGCCATGATTGAAGATTTCTTGAGGCCTCCTCAGCCATGCTTCCTGTACAGCCTGTGGAACTGTGAGGCAATTAAACTTCTTTTATTTATAAATTACTCAGTCTTGGCTGGACACCATGGCTCATGCCTGTAATCCAGCACTTTGGAAGGCCAAGGCACGTAGATCACTTGAGGTCAGGAATTCGAGACCAGCCTGGCCAACATGGTGAAACCCAATCTCAACAAAAAATATAAAAATTAGCCAGGCATAGTGGTGGGCACCTGTAATCCCAGCCACTTGGGAGGCTGAGGCAGGAGAATTGCTTGACCCTGGGAGGCAGAGGACGCAGTGAGCTGAGATGGCACCACTGCACTCCAGCCTGGGTGACAGAGTGAGACTCCGTCTCAAGAAAATAAATAAATAAATAAATAAATAAATAACCCAGTCTCAGGTAGTTTTTTACAGCAATGCAAGAACAGACTAATACAGAAAGTAAGGCAGAGATTACCACAGAAGTCAGGAGAGTGGTTATTCTTGAAATCAAAACAGCATGGTACTGGTACCAAAACAGAGATATAGATCAATGGAACAGAACAGAGGCCTCAGAAATAACACCACACATCTACAACCATCTGATCTTTGACAAACCTGATAAAAACAAGCAATGGGGAAAGGAGTCCCTATTTAATAAATGGTGTTGGGAAAACGGGCTAGCCATATGCAGAAAACTGAAACTGGACCCCTTCCTTACACCTTATAAAAAAATTAGCTCAAGATGGATTAAAGAGTTAAACGTAAGATCTAAAACCATAAAAACCCTAGAAGAAAACCTTGGCAATACTATTCAGGACATAGGCATGGGCAAAGCCTTCATGACTAAAACACCAAAAGCAATGGCGACAAAAGCCAAAATTGACAAATGGGATCTAATTAAACTAAAGAGCTTTTGCACAGCAAAAGAAACTACCATCACAGTGAACAGGCAACCTACAGAATGGGAGAAAATTTTTGCAATCTATCCATCTGACAAAGGGCTAATATCCAGAATCTACAAAGAACTTAAACAAATTTACAGGAAAAAAAACAACCCCAACAAAATGTGGGTGAAGGATATGAACAGACACTTCTCAAAAGAAGACATTTATGCGGCCAACAAGAATATTAAAAAAGGCTTATCATCACTGGTCATTAGAGAAATGCAAATCAAAACCACAATGAGATAACATCTCATGCCAGTTAGAATGGCGATCATTAAAAAGTCAGGAAACAACAGATGCTGGAGAGGACATGGAGAAATAGGGAGGCTTTTACACTGTTGGTGAGAGTGTAAATTAGTTCAACCATTGTGGAAGACAGTGTGGCAATTCCTCAAGGATCTAGAACCTGAAATAACATTTGACCCAGCAATCCCATTACTGGGTGTATACCCAAAGGATTATAAATCATTCCACTATAAAGACACCTGCACATGTATGTTTATTCCAGCACTGTTCACAATAGCAAAGACTTGGAACCAACCCAAATGCCCATCAGTGATAGACTGGATAAAGAAAACATGGCACATATACACTATGGAATACTATGCAGCCATAAAAAAGAATGAGTTCATGTCCTTTTCAGGGACATGGATGAAGCTGGAAACGATCATTCTCAGCAAACTAACACAGGAACAGAAAACCAAACAGCACATGTTCTCATTCATAAATGCAAATTGAACAATGAGAACACATGGACACAGGGAGGGGAACACCACACACTGGGGCCTGTCGGGGTGTGGGGGGCTAGGGGAGGGATAGCATTAGGAAAAATACTTAATGTAGATGATGGGTTGATGGGTGCAGCAAACCAGCATGGCACATGTATACCTATGTAATAAACCTGCATGTTCTGCACATGTATCCCAGAACTTAAAGTATAATTTAAAAAAAAAAAGAAAGGAGGAAGTGGTGTGGTTTGAGCAAGACCTCTTGGAGAGGTTCTGGGGTAACTAAAAAGTTCTAGGTCCTTACATGAGTGTTGGCTCAAAGGTGTTCATCTTATAAAAATCATTTGCTGTGCATGTGCTTAAGCTGTTTTCTGCATTTGTACTGTACTTAAAATTTTTACTTCTTTTTTCAACTCTCATCATCTTGGATTCTATAACTTAACTATGGAATAACGATCAACTGGATTTGTGTAGAATTTGTTCTGTAAATAGAGAACCTAACAAGTCTCCTCCCATGTTTTCATAAGTTCTCATTGCTGCAATAAATATTTCATATCCAACTTCCATTTGCTTGTCTCTATTCATGAATCAAAGCAGATCTGCTTGAAGACAGACAGTATGTCTAAGTAAGGAAAGCTAGGCTAGAGAAAAGCTTCCATGATGGATAACCTAGGGTCTAAAAGGCCTGAGTAGTCACTAAAAATATAATGCCTCTTTCCTTTTATGTCTGTTAAAGTATTTTAAAGAATTTCTATGTACCGAGAAGAACTTTAAAGCAGATGAAGGCAATAATGATGTTATTATTATGACATCTATTGCTATTGCTTGCCTGGGGCTAAGTATTTAATGCACTTCATCAAATTTAATCTTTATAACAACCCTAAGAGATGGATATCATGTTTTCTTAGTAATTCTGCCTGGTTCATACTGTTATGAACAGGCTGTGCTCGTTCTCACCTCTGGACCTTTGTACATGCTGTTTCCTTTACCTGAAATGCACTGCCCCCAAATATTTGCATGGCTGGCTTCTGCTCTGCCTTCAGATCTTAGCTTGAATACTGCACACTCCTCATTTCACAATCATCCCTCTTTTCCTTTCTGGTACCCCTTAAAATATATTCCCAATACATTCACCACTCATAAAAGCAAGTGTCCAGTGGGATTCTTTATTCCTTGACAGAACTATAGTAAAATCTTCCAAAAGTAACAGATGACTCTGATGACTGAGCCATCCTGGAAATTTTTTTCAGCGAATACTCAGCTAGAATGAGGCAAACTATCTTGAGATACTTACCTTTTAATAAGGAGCCATGAAAAAAAGAAGGCAATTAATACATAGGTCTGGCCAGCAAAAATGGTATTGTTAATTACTTTGAAGAATAAAGAAAGCACTGGGCGTGGTAGCTCACGCCTGTAATTGCAACACTTTCGGAGGCCAAGGTGGGTGGATCACTTGAGGTCAGGAGTTTGAGACCAGCCTAGCCAACAAGGTGAAACCTTGCCTCTACTAAAACTACAAAAATTAACCAGGCATGGTGGTGAGTGCCTGTAATCCCACCTACTCGAGAGGCTGAGGCAGGAGAATAGCTTGAACCTGGGAGGTGGAGGCTGCAGTGAGTAGAGATCGCGCCACTGCACTCCAACCTGGGTGAAAGAGCAAGACTTTGTCTCAAAAAAAAAAAAAAGAGAGAGAATAAAGAAAGTAACCATGCCCAATCTCAAATGCCAACCTTTAGGCTTAGAAGTGAGAAAGCCTACCCTCTGTGCAAAAATGAAACCAAAGAAAAGAATCTTAAATTCTCATTGAAACAGCTGTACATGGGTTTTGGCAAGTCAAGTTTTAATTGCAAAATTTAAGCAACAATAAAGATAGCAAACACAATTCTTCAGCCATGAGAAGAAAGAATAACGATACCTGTATGCACTTAAACCAACAGGGAAGTATACAGTGTTTCTAAAATTTATTTCATGGCTAAAATTTGTGTTTAGCTTGGTTTTGTGGCTGCCTTTGCAGCCTATATGTGCAGGGCTATATAAATACTCTTCAGGGATCCTGCCTCCCCATAGCATCAATCAAATTAACCAAGTAGCCGTCAAAGTCCGTTTGGAGAGCTCTATGTGGCTCAAACCAACTGCAGGCAAACCGCGTGGCCACAGGAGCCGTGCCATTTCCTCCTCAGTCACCTCACTCCTGTGGCCTCTGGACTGGAGACGGTGTCCAGCCTCTCGATTTACAGGAACCCTTTGCCCACCTCCAGTGCGTGGGTATGCAAGGCCATATTTAGCTCAACCTACGCATAGTTCACTTTGCCCAACCAGGTGAAGCCAGACACCAAGTGAGCACAAAGAAGAAAGGGCTTTCTGTCTCAAGTATCTGTCTGTGTGAAGTCAGTGGCCACTTTGGTGCCTATGTGTCAAATTCTTTGGGTTTTTAATTTAGAGGTGGAAAATACAGCCATCTAACTCTAGCAAGCAAAATTAAGGAGGCCATGATGTTTCATGGCAAGAAAATAAAACCATTTGAAAATGGATATGCATATGTGTATATATATCTATATACGCGCATATATACCATATGTGCATGTGTGCTCAATGAGGGTATGGCTAGCTGCCAAACATTAAGAAAAGTTCTAAAAATTTATGATGCTGGGAAAAAGTATACAAAGACATAAATCTTGCATTTTTCTCCCAGTCAGTGCAAAAGTATCAGAACAGGCATGCAAATCTTCAATACAGTTTAACCCTAAGAGTTTCGAGTTAAAACATATCAGAATATGACTGAATATTTGGTCAATGCTAGGTGTAGTAATGATAATGATGACAACAGTAATTGTGACTGTCATTTCCAGAGTACACTCCCATGCATAAAGAACTGTGACAATGACTTTACATTGAGAAGTCATTGATTCATACAAACTGATGAGGTAGCTAGTCTTCTTATCCCCATTTTAAAGATAAGAAAACTGAGGCATAGCAAGAGTAAGCAATCTCAAAATCACACAGCTGTGAAGTGCTAGAAGAAGGAATGGATTCCAGGCCTACGTAACTCTAGATTGAAGAATGAAAAGAGATGGCCACTGACATGCAGCCTCCCTTCTGAAATGGGGAATGGAAAAGAAACAACATCCAGATCTAGACAAAGAAAAAAAATTGGGAAGAACTCAGGAAATTTCTGGATAATTTAGGCCTTTAAGGAATCAACATCATCCACAATGTCTACATAATTTTGGCAATATGAAGTCTTTTTGTGATTACAAATGACTTTGAATTTTCTGCAGTATAGAAGGAGCCATTTGAAAAGTTCAAAACCCAATCAGTATATTATTTATATGATGCTTAAAAATTAGCTTGCTTCATTTCAAATAAAAAAATCATGCGGTCTGGGGGAAAAAAAGATAAGGTTACAAAACATGCCAGACTGTTCCCATCTCTGTGCACATAATCCCCATTCTAAGCAGTGACCTTGGAGGCTGTGACCTACTCCAAAGATGTAGCCTTTACTCCATGACATTTTGGGAAACAGCTTTGGAACCATCTTCAGAGTTAGGCACAGTACCCTGCCAGAAGCATAACTTTATAGCCACATGTTTTTTAGAACCAAGTCTGGAGAATAAGGCTGCTGATCAAAATAGGAAATGCTGGGTTTTAGGTAAGAACATGTGATTACAAAAGAGTATGATCTCTTGCATGGCTTTCAAGGTGGCCAGAGGAGTTCCAGAAAGCTTTTGAGTAATAGTCGCCATGCTGGGAAGTGAATACCAGTTCCACGGGGTGATAGCTGAGAAGGAAAACATTCATTTGAAATGTGAGTGCCAAAAACTAGACTATTGAAGATGGTGGCTGTGACGTAGTCCTAGTGCTTACACAGGTTTAGTGTTCCCTGCATGGAGCCCGGCACACAGCAGGTGACCACTGTGCATTTGCTGAATAGCTCAATTACTCCATCCATCTGTCAATTAGACAATGAACAAACTCTTGGCTAGTGAGAAAATTCCTTGCTCACATAAGTGCTATTGGCCAAGATCTAAACACTCAGAAAAAGTATGGCTTCACTTAGAGAACCAAAGTATGAAGAAAAAGTTGCTCTGAGAACCTGCTGGCTCATTTTGCCACCTTTCTGAAAATTTTTCCAGTCTGCAGGCCATGTGCCCTACATGTGTGCATACAGGGTGCCTGCCACACAAGGCCATTGCTCTGAGGACAGGGTGGAAATTAGGTTTCCTCTGGCCCCTTTGTTACGCTGCCCTCCCTGCTCTCCAGACAGCCATTCCAAGCAGCTTCTAATGAGGAAGGTGCCCTCTGCAACTTCAAGGAGAAATGAAAAACAGCTAGGGTAGCTCAACAATAATGCACATCTTCAAATGCCAACAAGAATGCCTCTTGCAGAAAATCTCTGTTCAAACAAACTTCATGACAAAATCTAAATAGTGCATTCTTTATTCATGGTTAGCCTATCTGATTATTCAGTTATTCATGCATCTCATTTTATGAATAATTAATAGTAATTATCTTATTACCTATCAGGCACTGAAAAGACACAGGTCCTCACTTCGAAGGAGGTCTCCATTGAGTCTCAGGCAGAACACACACTCCTGCTCTCTCCCGAGCCCCCTGCATGGGCTGATTGGCGTTGGCACTCTTCTCTTCCCTCACAGATACAGCCTCAGTCCTTCTCTCCTGCATGCTGAGAAGCCACTACCAATCCTCAGAGCTGCTATGGAAGCTTATTTGCAACTCTGCTCACTTATAATAACTCATGTATTCAGTTAGTCAAAAAGTATTTATTGAATGTCTACCAAGGGCCAACTCTGTTTTGGATACGTAAGATAGTCCTACATTCTAGGAGGAGGGATGATGGACAAAGTGCCTATGTGCTCATGGGAAAGACAGATAAGTATACAAATAACTGTACATTATTATTTTAGGCTGTGATATAAGTGATGAAGAAAAATAAAGACAGAAACATAAAGAAAGACAAGAACTATTAATTAGAAAGAGCATTCAGAGAAAGCCTGTCTGAGAAAACGACATGGCAGCAGAAACCTACATGAAATGAAGAAGTAACTCACACACATACCTGAAGAAAGAACCTTCTAGCTAAGGGACCAGCTTGTTCCAAGGGCAGGGAGGGTTTGGAGACTGGAGTGCTGGAGCAGTCAGTGAGGGAAACAATGGGAGGACAACAGGGGGTCCCAAAGAGAGCCAGGGCCAATGGCACAGGGTGCTATAGGCTATGGTAAGTAAGGTCTTTACAGAGCCCTCACCAGTGTAAATGCTGAAAAACAACATGACATCATCAGCATCCTAGCAACATCATCACGGCATCAACCTGCATTTACTCTGTGCCGGATGCTGTTTTCTAAATGACCACACAACACTAGGAGGCAAGTACTACCATCACCCGAAACTTATCAACCTTGTTGCACAACACACAGCTAGTAAGTGACAGCATCGGGAGTCAACACAGAAGCCAATGATCTTAACCCACGTGGTAAAAACATCCCTTAGAAAAGCAATTACAGGCCGGGCACAGTGGCTCACGCCTGTAATTCCAGCATTTTGGGAGGCCAAGTGGGGCAGATCACTTGACATCAGGAGTTTGAGACCAGCCTGGCCAACATGGTGAAACCTTGTCTCTACTAAAAATACAAAAATTAGCCAGTTAGTAGATGAGCCAGGCTCAGGCCTCTAATCCCAGCTACTTGGAAGTCTGAGACAGGCGAATCACTTGAACCTGGGAGGCGGAGGTTGCAGTGAGCCAAGATCACACTACTGCACTCTAGCCTGGGTGACAGAGTGAGACTCCGTCTCAAAAACAAAACAAAACAAAAAAGCAATTACAGCCCGGCCTGGTAAAGAGATAAAAAACATTCACACCTACTCAAAACCTGTAAAACAAGCTAATGATCTGAGTAGATGGCTGTGGCTTTGTTCAAGACTCCAGCTACTTGGTCACACATGGGTTCCTAAGGTACTGGGGTCAAACCTCTCAGAGGGGAAGATAAGGTGCAGGGAAGGCTGCACCAGATGATGGAAAAGCACCTCCAGGGGGGTCACTGACTGTTAGGCAGAGGAGGCTTGTGGAGAGTTCAGGTGACATTGTTCCATGAAATACAAGAGTAAAAAAAAGCACATGTTGTGTAATAAATGATTTTGAATGTAACTAAACTGATAATATAAATGTCATAAGTAGACATCTTGATTATTTTATCTATATCTCTGTAAGTTTCTATATTGAAACTTGAAAATTTATCTTTGAGAAATAGTAGATGAGTTTGTATTCAGGGTGGCTTATGTTTGGGTACATGAGATTATATTTACTGACTCATAAATGACGGGAAGAAGTGGTCATCAGAGCCAGGGATAGAGGCCTAGCTCTTAGCCTAGAAACACATGCAGGGAGCCCCAGCAATGCTGCAGGAGCTGACTTGGGTGGAAAAACTCAAGCTGCCTTTACTTAGAAGGTTCATGTTTTAAACTTGTAGTGCTGCTTAGTCCAATCTACCAAAAAGCCCTACGCCCACATTTCCTAGTATGTCTTATGATTAGGTCTTCATGGTTCTGTCTGTCCATTAGACAGGGCATGAGAGAGAAGCAAGAACCCAGCCTCGAAAAACCAAGAGGTTCTTTCAGAGCCCAACATGATGCCTGTGGAATGAATGAATAGATTAAAACTTTCATTTCAGAAGCATTTAAAATATAGAGCTATGTCCTTATTTTTATATGGGAAACAATAAGCTTTGAGAATTAAAAACATTACAGAAAAGAATGTCCTTGCCCAACTGCCATATATCTCCCAGACTTCATAGCTAACTATGATCTCATTCTAACTACTACCCTGGTCTCAACCACTGGACTCTAACGTACATGTGGTAATTCCTGTGAAGTGAAACTTTATTCTGGTGAACCAAGCAACAGTCAAGAACGACCTTAATCTCTCATTTCCACTAGGAGGAAAATAACCTTGCAAGATGAGTAAAAGGTAAAGCCGTCATTAAGTCAGGTTAAGAGAGGTGCAGTTCATTCAGAAATCACAGGCCCATGTCTGAACAGACCCAGGCATCTAGGAGATGTACACTCAAGGTTATATTGTTTAACAGTTAACATTTTTAAATGTGCGGTTTTCTAATTTCTTATAAGGATCCTTTCACAGCCAAAAAAGTACAACCAAAATAAAAACAAGTCTGCTGGTAATGACACAGGGACGCTCTGTGCTTCATTTTCAACCCGTATAATTGACTTTGACAGCATAACATGAGCCTAGAGCACTATATTCCATATTGCCTTAGCAGAAAAAAAGGTAAAATTGCATCCAAGTTACAATTAACAATGGATACTTAAAAATTTCAATTTTATATTTTAAACCTGGAAATATTTCCACACCTTCCCCCAAAACAGTCATCAATTTTTTTAAAAAAAATTTATCAGATTTGGATTTGGAGTATAGCATAATGTGAACTTGTAATTAGAAATCAATGTGGATTCTGGGATCAAGAAATAATAGATGAAAATATTACTGTACCTTTCATAAACATTTTTCAATTTGCTTCATATCAGTTTTCTTAATGAGGTACAATTTTTTAAAAGTACATTAGAATTAGAATTTTCTTGGTTAATCATTATAACAGAGCTGTTTTTCAACAAAGTGGCAGGGGCAATCCAGGTGAATTTTGATTCAGCAAAGACAATATTATGCTTAATAAAGTATCACCGCAGAATTTGACCAACCTCAAACTCTAATCCAAGAAGTAATTGCATATGTCAGTTATCATCAGTAAGAATTGCCTAAATCGGCATTTGCCCAAGTTCCATAAAATGCTAATACTTTGCAATGTTAATAAATGCCCTAGTGGGAAAGAAAAGGGCTCCCTTTGTCAAGTGATTTAGAGAAATTCTGGATTGAAGAATATCAAACATTTCTTTTGACTGCAGGACTTCTCAGAGCCTTTAACATGTTAATATGCACAGTATTCTTAACCTAAAAGAATATGTATTATTTTCCAGAGGCATTTGACAAATGAAACCCCTTTTCCTTATAGTATTCCATAGAACCATCACTCTGATAAACATGTTTTGTGAAATGTGAATCTAGATTATATCAACCCTCTTTTAGTCAAATTAGTCTCTATTCTATTTTCCCACAGCTCACTATGACCTGAACAATTAGGAGAAAAATAGCCCCTGCTGACATAGTGGCTTATTAAAACAATAATCTACTTCACAAACAATTACATTTTAAAGCCACATAGTTCCTTCCCTTGAGAAATGTCTGTAAGCCAGGTGGCTCAATTCTGAGAAGTTCCTGCACTGTGTATCTTGTGTCCAGACTGTCAGAGTTCTAATCCATCTTGCACCAAAAAAGTAACAATTGGTGGATGTATTATTATAACCGATTGCTCTAAAGAAAACAAAATGTGTTAGTGCACACTATGAAATTCTCAAAATGGCAGACCCTGCACTCCAGATGGAAAACAGAGTTCTTAGAGTGACTTACATTTAAAGCCAGGTATTCTATATTACCAGGATGGTGCCAAGAAGACTGACTTCCCTAGATTCCCAATGGGAGGACATCCCTGCTCCTGACCTGCATGTTCTATTTTGGCAGCAGCCTCACTAGTTGGCCCATGAGCCTCCCCTGCTTGGAAGGTGCTTTTAAATCACCACATATGTGCACCCTTCAATTAGTCCCCAGACCCCAGGATTTCAGAGTTGAAAGGGCCTTACTTCAATACAAGCCCCTCTTTTGTAGATGAGAAAACTGAGGCTTAGAGAAAAAAAAATCACTCGAGCCTAGACTAAAACCCAGATCCCCTCACTTCCTGCTTGATACATTCGTCTCTCACCCACTCAGAAGCTCAGGGCCCCACGGATGACCTGAGGTCCAAAAGGCCTTCCAGAAGCTTCTGTTCTAGCATGCAAGAGCCAAGAGTCCAGCTGCAGCCACAACTTCATTGTTACCTCTTTCAAATACTCTTCTGTCTCAGAGCACGCAGCAGCCCAGTAATGCATGTTCTGGTTTACTTTCAGAAGCTACTGCAAATCAAATGCTGGGGGGAGGACATCTTTAGTCAGAAGAAAAGATCTTGAGATATTCAAATGTAAGGAATTTTGTCTTACTTGTTGTTACATCTCAGTAGGTTGCACAGTGCCTAGCACACAAAAAAGTCCTCAAAAAACATCATTGGGAATGCTTGATGAACTGAAGGCAGAGTCTTACACACATTTAAGAAGCATTTAAGTCTAACTCACTACTTAAAATAAAGCTTAATCCGTTTCCATAAAATCCATGCAAAACCCCGTTACCCAAGTTTATGCCACCTAATTTTTCTATGTTTTTGGAGGGGCCTGACCAGCATCTTCACTGTTGATACAGTTACTGTGCCCAATAAAAGGCATGCAAAGAAACAGTTCCACTCAGGAGAAAGAAAGGTGTCCAGTTTATGACTGAGACCTGAGAAACAGCATCGGCTCTTTCTCTTGCTTAAATTAACATCACTAAGTCTCAATCTTCTTATCTGTAAAGTGGTTTCAAAGATAGTAACATCTTCATTAGTTTGTTGGGACAATTAAACAATTCATTGTGTGTACACAGCAACTTGGCCAACTATGATTGCTTTTTTTAATGGCTGCTAATATTGAAAAGAATTATTAAGCTGGGTGGGTAAGACTTGTCTTGGGATCAGTTGCGTGTACCTGCCATGGGTGTCAATGAAGAGGGTGCAACAGACACATCAGGTGTTTGCTGTACATGTAGATGCACTGCCCTGATGCCCCTTCAGGACCAAGACAGTCTCCAAGTGCCAGGGATGTGCTTTCCCTGAGAGCTGCCTTGTCTAAGATTACACCCTTCTCCTGGCATTGCCCACCTCTATTGACTCAATTAGAGTCAACAGCCCTCCAAATGGCTATCTCAGCTCCAGAGCAACTGATAGGGACTGCTACGGCCTTTGCTGCAACTACATTACAGTTTGACTTTTCCCTGTGCCTAATCCCACTTCCCTCCCTTTCTGAGAGCACCCTCAATAAACTTCTTGCATGTTCATCTCAGAGTCTCAATTTCCCAGGGAACACAACTGAAGACATTATCCTTGGCCTACTTCATTGCTCAATAAAAAGCAGCTATTATTCTTTTGGTTGAATTTTCTAAAATATCCACACTTGTTTTCCATCACAAGAGACTTCCTGACTCTCTTTATGGGTGACATCCTTTCATGGATGGAGAAAAATGGCAAAGATATAAATAACTTAAACTAATTTTTATTTATTATCTAAAGAGTCCTAAACTCTGTACTCTGTTCTCACAGTAATTATCTCCACCACCGATTTACTACTTCTTTAGTTACCCTAGTTTTAAAGACATAAGAGAGGCACAGGAAATGATAGAATATCCTGTTATAAAATATACATAAAGCTTAGTTTATTCACAATAACTAACTAATTTTATATAATTTTAGATGCTCAATCTAATACCCAATGCTGAGGGGCACAAGCCTTAGGTATAAGCTTGAAGATTTTAACCATTCAAATCCTATCAAAGGTAGTCTTACCTTATGGAACCAGTGGGTTGCACAAATGGCACTGGGCAAGGATGCAGAAGGCTTGGGATCTGGTCTCCCCTCTGCCAATAACTCCCTCTAGGATCGTGGGCAGGTCATTTGCCTTTGCTGGGCCCTACTTCCTTCATCGGCAAAACAAGGAGCTTGTATTAAATGAAGTCTAAGGTCCTTTCTTTTTTTTTTTTTTTTTTTTTTTTTTTTTTTTTTTTTGTTGAGACGGAGTCTCGCTCTGTCGCCCAGGCTGGAGTGCAGTGGCGGGATCTCGGCTCACTGCAAGCTCCGCCTCCCGGGTTCACGCCATTCTCCTACCTCAGCCTCCCAAGTAGCTGGGACTACAGGCGCCCGCCACTACGCCCGGCTAATTTTTTTTTTTTTTTGTATTTTTAGTAGAGACGGGGTTTCACCGTTTTAGCCGGGATGGTCTCGATCTCCTGACCTCGTGATCCGCCCGCCTCGGCCTCCCAAAGTGCTGGGATTACAGGCGTGAGCCACCGCGCCCGGCCCGTCTAAGGTCCTTTCTAGTAAGAAAAACTTATGATTGCTCAAACCTTGTAGGGCTTTTTCCAGGCAACATAAATAAGATGTAGAGGGAAAGTGTAATAGCAGAGAAGAAATTAAAAGTGTCATAAATTCAAGTTACCAACTTCCCAAATGTGTATTACAGGACAGACGATTAAGTGAATAGGAACTGATTTAATAGTTGTATTTTCCTTTTGCAAGATTTCCATCTAAATCATTGCCTATGTCATTGATTGTCATTTCCTTAATCTGGAGTGTTTGAATATATAGTTTGGCAATGCTTTGGACAAGCCATAAGTCAAAGTTAACATTTTTAGAAGTTAACCATGCCCAGGTCTCTGCCTTGGGCAGTGATGTGCTGAAATACCAGCATCTATTTGAGCTATTGGAAAGAGGTTATTGATGTCAGTGTGTCATGCACTGTAATTTGCAGGTGCCCCCCTGACTAACCTCTGGTAGCGATAACTCAGGGTAAACCTGAGGTAATTATCCTGGCCAGGGAGAGCTGGTTTAACTAGACTGGCCCTTTTGATGCATGTTGAACACGATTGCACCCTAGGGATTACACAAGTCCTGTGTGTGAGTTATTACATAAATTCTACCTTGGAAAAAGTAAGAAGGTATGCTGTCAGAATTTTTTTCTTCTCCCAGTCCTTTTGCTTTCAATGTTTGGGTTCTTCAGTAATGCCTTCACCGTATTTACTTTGAAAATGATACTGCACGTGTTATGGAGTAAAATAGAATAGAAGAAGATATAGATGCTCCCAAACACACACCTCAGAGGTCTCCCTTCCCAGTGGCTTTTGAAGCATGATTCTGGTTCCGAGTCTTTTGCCTGAGGAAGCGTTTTTTTTTTCAGTGTACGAAACCTGAGGCTTGGTCTAATCTTCACAGGAAGAACTCTCAAGCTTTTGGTACCTCCTTAAGGCTTTATCTTCAATGAGACTCACGACTGCAGACCAGTCACTGAACAATTGTCTGACTCTCAGTTTCCTCATCTATAAAATAAAGATAGATAAACTGGTCCTACCAATCCTCAAGGCCAGAAAAAGGATCCAGCATGAAGATCACCCCACGAAAGCATTTTAGAAAGCACACAGGACTCTGGCTTAGATGGGCTTGTTTTATTATTGACTAAACGAATCATCAGCAGTGGTTTTAATGAACATACAAAAATGGGGTCTCCAGTTTATAGTCCAAGCTTCACCTCAAAATAAGCCCATAGATCAGAGTCAGGGGTAAACAGAGGCAAGACAGACTCTACAAGCCCAGCCCTCCTCTCTCTCTAGAACTGAGCATAGCATTTCTTTTAGGAAAGGATCCACGTCTGCTTCTAGTTTTCACTGGAGCTCACAAAAGGATGACACTTATTGATTTTCCCTTATTGATTTCTATTTCAGGGACCAAAAGCCACAAAATAGGATAACGTCTAAAAAATAGTGTGAGTTTGCTTAGAAAGCCCCCTCAAAATAAATAAGAGATGACTATACCATTCAAGCAAGATTTCTTTTTCCAAAACCCCCACCCCAAGGCTTGTCATTTCAAACTCTACCCCCATAATAACAATGATTACATTTGAGAAATATGTTGCGTTTCATTCAGCAGGATCTTCAGCCTTCGGCAAACAAACATTCACTTTGCCAAGGACTGCTGAAGAGCCACTAATGGAGTGAAACCTGAAAACCCTTTGGAAAAGAATAATGAACCCCACTCTGTCTTCAGGGGGTAATTTAGTAGGTAGCTTAGGCAACACTTGATTAAGAGTAAACCTCTCTTTTCCATAGAAATATATTGTGTTTGTACAGAAAGCCTATATGAAGTGGAGGATTAGGTCAGAAATCCACAGGAAAAAGCAGAAGATGTTTCTCAGAAGAAATATGCAAGTTACTGCACATTTGGAAAAACAAGTCATACTTTAGTGGGAGGAAAGAAGAAAAACTCCACATATAACAGTTTTATTTACACGATTGCACTTGGCTTCTTGGAACATTTCTAACAAATAGTTAGTTCCCAAATACATTGCACAGGATGTCTTGTTGCCCCTGACAGTCTATGAGTTACTACAAAGAGTAATGATTTTAACTCAAGGCTACCTGAAACTGATTGTCAAATAAGATTTTCTGAGACCGCCTACAGGGGCCTGCTATAGCAAAAGTCGTTTTTTTGGCTCGCGGAGGATTATAGTGTGAAAGAAAAACAAATGTCAAAATAAATCCCCAAGGAAAGAAAGCACTTCTGTGCTGACCCTCAGTCCTACTCGTCAACATTCCTTGTCCTCTGTAGACTAACAAATACTTGAGTATTTCTCTTCGTCTGAAACCATGAACAGAGTCTGAAAAAATTAGATGAGGGTCAGTTCATATTTCAACAATGTGATAGGATTTATCCATAACTTAATGGAACTTCCCAATCTCTACCCATCAAGGTAGAAAACTGCAAAACAAATAAATAAAACACTTCACAGCATTAAAAACAAATCATGATGTTAAATTCTAATAAAAATTTAAACAAATGTGGATTCTCTTTTAAACCTGGGTTAGGATGACCTTTCTCATCTTTTCCATATGTTGAAAATGATGGCTGAAATGAAGCCTCCCTAAATCACTCTACACCATGCCTACCAAACAGCCATGGAAAACTAGGAACTAAATAAACTCATTTTGACAATGATGAATCTCTTAACTCTGCTGGTCAGGTTTCTTCTAATGGCAGTACTTAGGTAAGTGTACCATAACACATGAACATAGATCACATTTAAAGTAACAATTTTAAGCTCAGGGAATTGAAAAAGAAATGAATTTAACTTAGTGGCTTGGAGAGATGAACATTTAGATATGAAGCTTAAAAAATTGCTGCTTAAGATATACACGTCCTTCTGCAAAGAAACAACTTAGCAAACCTTGGGAACTCCATAATGAACTATATGTTTTGCTGAAAGCTATGCATTTTTGAGGTTTATGTTGTTTGTTACACTTCCTCTGTTAGCTGATTCCAACTCTAATTGGAGGAGGAAAGTAAAGGAAGTCCCCTTCGAAAAAAGATATTGGCTGTACAGGGTTGCACAAATTAAAAAATAAAATTGCCTTTCTAGCTTTTTTTTTTAGAATTCTATTAAAAGGACAAGAATAAATGAGAACATTCATTTGCTTTTTAAAATGATCACACTTGGGTTTAACCACGGGCAGAGAAGAAACTTTACGGTTCCCTGGGAACCTATAATTTGGAAACGGAAGCACACAAGAACAGACTTTAGTTTTCAGGCAATAAATTGAAGAGAATTCTGCAGACATATAACAGAAAAGGAGCACAAAACATTGGCTTGTACATTTTTTAGAAAGTTAGTTTATTAACTCGATAAGCTACACATAGAAAAATGCAGCCAAAATCTACAAGGATATCCACTGGGGTTTCAAATTGGTATATTTACTCAGTGAGAAATAGCTAGAGCTTTAAAAAGAAAAAAATAAATAAAAATAAAAAAATAAAAAAAAAAGGCATCCCATTCTGGAAATGACGATTTAGTGTGAATCTCTGGAAAGACACCTTGTTGAAAAACCTCCATGTGGGCTCTGATGGGACACACAGAAGCCCAAAGCCCCAAGGTCAGACATAAATATCATGCCCAATAATCTGTGTTCTGGGAAAAGCTCTACAGAATTATACAAGAAAATCACGATCTTTCACATCCACCTTTCACACACAATTCAACATTAACTTGAAGAATGTTTTAATTTTCCTCCTTATTGCCCAAAATGTTTTTTTAATGCTTTATTGGGAATTTCCATTTACTGGTGTGTGTTCTATATCTGTATTACTCATCAGTGTAAAATAGTTGCAAAGAATTTGTTGGTTGATACTCCCAATGGTCACTGTCTTCTATGACTAAAAGCTCATTATCAGTCTCTCTGGGAGAAAACTCTAGTAACTGAAGTCCACATATGTCAGGTACTGTGCTAGATTCTTTCATAAACCTTATTTTATTTAACCTGCCCAGGGAGGTAAAGATTGTAATCCCCATTTACAGATGAAAAAAGTAAGGGTCAGAGAGATTCTCTGCCATACTCAAGGCCCTAAGCTAATAATAATAAGGGCCAGTATTTGAACACTGGCCAGTTCAACTCCACGGTTCTGCATCCTTCCCTTCCTGTTCTCCTTGTCAATGCTCCAAAAAAAATGATTTGAGAAGCTAAATCAAGAACATTCCCTATTCCTGTAGATAGTGGTGATTTCCTCTGAGAAACAATAATTCAAGGTATCTTCAAACAAAATTGGGACTCAGAACAAATACTAAACTGCCACCTCTTTCCAATGAGTCAAGTTCGGCTAACTAGGGTGTATTCTTAGTCACTTTATTTACACAATGTAGACCCACTGGGATCAGAGTGCCAGGCCATGCAGCAGAGGCCGCAAGCCAATGGGCAACTCATGTGCACATGTGCTTCACAGGATCCCAGAGTGTTTAAAAATTCAACTAACTTTCTAAAATCTATAGATTTCACATACAAATTCCCATTTTATGGACTGTCTTGGATAATCGGAGGTCCCATCACCCTAGGCCCACCTTTACAGCAGTGTTCAACCAGAGCTTAGTGGCCACTACTCCCATAGATGAGTAAGGGTTCTTGAGTTCCCTATAGCTCCCCACCACCCTCAACTATATCCACACACTAAGGCCACCTACAGCTGAAATTTTTCATTATGCATATGCTATTTTTCTTATAATAGAGAAATATTTCTCCAGGGCTTGTCTCTTTTGATAGACTGAATGATTGGCCTCAGTTCTCCACCTCTCCTCGTATCTACTCCCGTACATTTTTGTCTTTGTGAGTCAAGTGAACTTTTCCAATCTGTGACTTGGTCATGTGCTTTGCTTTGGGCCAATGCCAAGGGTGAAAATCACAATATCAGTTCAAGAGTAGGCCTTATGAGGCCTAGTATGTTTTTGCTCATTCTCTTGTGCTTCAGCAACTGTCATTAGTTTTCCCTGGGTTGCTGACACCTGGCCTCAGAATGAACACGTGTAACAGAGCTGCCCCAGGCACCACGACAGATGTGCAGTGAGTAGAAGTGCCCAGCCAAACCCACCCTAGAGCAGCTGGGCCAGTTAGTCAACCTGCAAATCTGTAAGAATAAACTATTGGTACTAAAAAGCCACTGCGTTTTGGGTGATTTGTTGCACAGCACAGCATTATTATGGCAATTGCTAACTGACACATCTCTACCAAAAATAAACAATAAAAAACAGGCAGAAAGAACCAGACATCATTATTTTTCCTACACACAAGCCTGTTTCTTATGTTAAAAGCCTAGACCCTGAAGACATTTGAGTTTGCAATTTCTGTCGGAAAACTGTAAACTTATGAAATAAAGAAGACTGGATTTGTAAAATATTTCGTACTGTGCTATATATCCAGGTTTGACTGAGGTGACGCAGGTTTTGTCTATTGCCTTTTGTGTTCTGGTTTGAACAATAAAAAGCATAGTCACTCTATCTTCATTCAACTTTGTTTCCGACTTTCATACCAACTAGTTGAATCTCTTGGTGCTCTTCTTTGAAGCCTGATCCACTAGCTATTATTGTTGTAGGCAATACTCTACATGATATTTTTCTGGATATAATACCTGTTGGGTTGGTTGAAATCATGAAGCCAGTGTATCCAATTGTTACCAAATGCTTGTGTAGAATAAATCAAAATTAACAGGTGCCAATGCCACAACCACCAACCAGCCAAGCTAAATCCTGGCTGACTGACACTTAAAGCTTAACAGGCTAACTTGTAAACAGGAAATGCTCAAAACAATAGCAATATTAAAAAAGGCAAGTGCCTCCAGAAAGTTTTGGCAGTAATTACTACATCTGAGCACATCTGCTTAACAATCCAGGAAAGTGGGAGGTTTACTCTCTATTAACCTTAACCAGAGACATTTTCATCAAAATTAATCGTGATTACTTTTTATTGCATTTCAAATGCTATCCTTTATTTGGGGTGGTCAGGAATGCAACTAAGCAATTCCAGACCATGCTATCTTTTATGAAGAGGTTATGAGGTAGTTATCAAGGCCTCTTATGAAAATATTGCTATACAAAAGTTCATGGGCCAAAACAAGACATTAATTTCCATAACTATATGTGTCCTCAGAAAAGAAGAAATTACTATATATAGAAAAGACAAAAACTTTGATGCTCATTGTATATCAGATTAGAACTGTAGAAATACCTCTGCATATAGTAAACAAATCGTTTTTAATGTTTCATTTGCCTTTTCCTTGTTATTATAACAACCATTAGTCATGAATGCTTATTTTGGGCATGGTCTGTACCCAAGTACAATTCTAAATTATTTATATGCCTTGACTCTTTAACTCTCACAACTACTCTGGAGCAGATGCAATTATTATCCTTGTTTTACGGAATAATACACCATAGCAAGGTGAGCCCTAAGGTCAGGTCGTCTTTAAAGTTCTGGGCCCACCTGGACAGGCGCAGTGGTTCACACCTGTAATCCCAGCACTTTGGGAGGCCGAGGCGGGCGGATCATGAGGTCACGAGATGGAGACCATCCTGGCTAACACAGTGAAACCCCGTCTCTACTAAAAATACAAAAAAAATAGCGGGGCATGGTGGCGGGAGCCTGTAGTCCCAGCTACTCGGGAGGTTGAGGCACGAGAATGGTGTGAACCCGGGAGGTGGAGCTTGCAGTGACCCAAGATCGCGCCACTGCTCTCCAGTCTGGGCGACAGGGGGAGACTCCATCTCAAAAAGAAAAAAAAAAGTTTTGGGCCCACCTACTATTGTCTCACTATTCAGTGAACACTCCAAATCAAGCATCAATGTAAAGGGCCTTCAGTGACACCAGAAGGCATGTCTAGGACACAGAGAAAGGAAAAAAAAAATACCTAATATTGACTAACTAGTCCTCATGTGCCATGCTCTATGCAAGGTATTTCCTTGTATTTCCTACACTGGAATAATTACTGATTTCTCTTTTGGCCAATTAAAAAGATGAACTATGAGTACATATTGAAATTATCTAACTTCTCCTATCTCCAAGGAGGAAACCTAATATATAA
This sequence comes from Homo sapiens, assembly GCF_000001405.40. Classification (NCBI taxonomy): domain Eukaryota; kingdom Metazoa; phylum Chordata; class Mammalia; order Primates; family Hominidae; genus Homo; species Homo sapiens. The sequence continues at coordinate 55,949,684 of NC_000003.12, forward strand.
CTGGAGAAAGACACTAATTAATAACCAAAATTTAACATGAACTCCGGCCAACTTGAACTGCTCTGTTTAAAGGCACACTGGAATAAATAAAGAAACTTCAAAGCAAATGCCCTGTTTTAGCTTGAATGTTTTATTGAGTACATGGGGAGCACTCCTTGGCCAAAAATAAGGGTGGTTAATGAGGAAAAATTGGTGTTTCCAGTGAGTTGGTTTGTTTCTAAGATATGGCTGTCCATTGAAAGATAACTATATTCACAGAGAAGACAGAATAATGATCTGTGTCTGAGCTTCACAGTCTTGAACAAAACAAAACTGGTTTTGTAAACTGTCTGGGATCAGCTGAATGTATCCTCACCCAAATACCTTCTGTGATAATACACACACATTTGCCTTCTTCTATTCCCAAAACAATTTAAATATAAATTGAAAAGGAAGACATTTCTATGTTTTAAGTTTCTTGCCAACTATATAAATGCAGCCCTTACCTTTTAAGGTGAGGTACAGGAACCAAAAGACTCTGCCTTGTATTTCCAGGCTCTACCGTAATTGGCTTTTCATGGCCACCATTCTGAAAATGATGACCCTCCCTGGGAAAGACCTACTGGGTTCCCTGTTAGTGCTAGACTCAGGGCAAAGGCAAAGTCCACCATTTCTGTGCATATTTTCTGGCACCAATGGTGACATTTCTGAGAGAGTCCATCTCTAGTTATTTAGCGATTAAGAAGAGAAGCCTGTGCTTACCTGCAAATGCTGTGAGTTGTCAGCCATGCTGTCTTCTCGCCTGCGCACTTCTTCTAGTAACTGAGCATTTTTCTTCTTTTCCAACTGTTGATTGTGCTTGAGGTTGGCCACCTTCTTATTCTGATCTTTCATATGCCTGAGAAAAGTCAGCACAGCTTGGTTAAATTCTACCACTGGAAGATCATATGTTATCACAAATAGATTCAGGAAGTACTAAGTATAGGCTATCTGGATAAGGGCTTGGGAAAAAGATGATACTTCTGAATAATCCATTCATTCAACTACAAATATGTATTGAGCATCCACTTAATACCAGGTCCCAGGACGGCACTGGGGCTGCAGTGGCAAATGGGGCAGGTATAATCTTCACTCTCATGGAGCTTAGAGGCCAGTGGGCAAGATGGACAAGTACCAAGGAAACACAACTTAGGTTTCTTAACGTTGAAGGAAACAAATAGCATGCTGTGAGAGACAGTGATGTGCATGTGTGGACAGGTGGTGGAGTGGAAGGAGATGACTTTAGATGCTGTGGCCAGGGAAAGCCTCCCTAGCAAAGTGAGACTGTGGGTGAGACTACAAGGAGCTAACCAAGAGAAACACCAGTGGCAGAGCTCCCAAGTAGAGAGAACAATGCGTGTAATTTCCAAGACAGGAAAGAAGAAACTGGAAGGCTGCAGTGAGGCTAATCCAGGGAAGGGTGGATGTGGGTGGGAGATGGGACTGCACAGGTAGGCAGGGCCCAGGCTCATAGGGCCTCTGGTCCATGATACAGCATTTATTTTCTTCTAATTGGTTGCTGTTCTAATTATTATTATTATTCTTTTGGATCATGTTCTTATTCTGAGATCATAATCCATTACTTTGATTTTAAAATAACAATTATGAGGCTCCAATCAAATACATTGTCATCACTTAGCTCAAACACAATAACAGTTTGGCTAATCATAATGTTAAATAAAGCTCTGGGGCTTGGAGTAAAACTTCTTAATGAATCTACAGGATGTCAAAGTGCAAAATCATAAAGTGATCAAGTGAGTAAAAGACTAAAGATAAAGAATGGGTTCAAGAAAACAACAATGGGAATTATAAGCTTAATGTGTACTATTGCACCAGCAGCTTTTAGCAAAACATTCCACAGATTTAGGCAACCATGTCCACAGCAGCTGTCATAAATCTAATCCAACACATGAGGAGGTAGGAGGGCAGTACGGAGGGCTCGGGAGCATTGACACAAGAGGAGGGACGAGCAGCAGAATCATTTGGGGTCCTTTCGGATCCCTTTCCCCCATACCACAGCATTGCCAGGTCAACCACTGTTACTGAGCCCTGACTCAGTAAAAAACATACTGAGAATCACTGCTGTTTTAAAATGTAAACAAGATGAGAACTAGATGATAAACAGCAAACGTGAAATTGAAACAATTAAAATCAAATGAAAACTGCTCTCCGCAAGAAACTCTTATTTCTAGTCCTCATAAATTATGTACCCCCCTACTCTCTCCCATTCCAAGCAAACGAAGCACAAGAGCATTGTTTAGTTAGTAGAATAATATTATCTAGTACTAACAGTGTACTCCTTGCTAATAAAAACAGTCCGAGGGTGCAGCGGCTCATGCCTGTAGTCCCAGCTACTCGGAAGTCTGAGGCAGGAGGATCGCTTGAGCCCAGGAGTTAGACCACCCTGTGCAACATAGCAAGGCCCCATCTCTAAAACACACACACACACACACACACACACACACACACACACACACACTCTCTCTCTCTCTCTCTCTATATATATATATATATATTCTGAACACTTTGTCTTCTTATGAATATTTACACTAACTGAAGCCATGATTTAAATATTATTGGTAGCACTTATTAAGAGGACATAAAGTATGATATAATAACCATCTCCTTAGTCTTTGAGTTGCATTAATTTTTGTCCAATATTTCTCCATTTTTACCTGATACAGCAACATACACACGTGAAGCCACCAAGTCAAACTTGCATGCTAATCCACTTTGAGGAAATTATCTTTTGGTTAGTATAAAGATGTTAAGAATGCCCTCTTGCTTTCTAATTGAATGAGGACACAGTATTTCCAAAGCCCATGCTAACCTAAGGCAGGCGCATTTTCCAGTTCCTTAGGAAATAAGGCCAGAGCTCAGTAACAGGATGTTATGGAGAGGTCAGGATGATTAGTGTGATTGTTTAATTAGAGGGTACTTTTAAAAAGAAATAATCTTATTACTTTAGAATACAGTGTTAAATAGAACCAACTGCTAAAAGTCCCCCTGCCCCAAGTATGGGTGACAAATACAGATTATTATTACAAACATCATTTGCACAGTGAAAGAGCTCCCACAAAGTTCTTGGAGCAGTCTGAACACAGTGACCTTACTTTCAGGGATACTGCAATGTTTTTTCAATCCCAAAGAAAAAAGCATATTCTAAACCCACGTGTCCCTTAAAGCTTTCCTGAATTAAGAAAGAGTGGCGGCCGGGCACGGTGGCTCACACCTGTAATCCCAGCACTTTGGGAGGCCGAGGTGGGCAGATCATGAGGTCGGGAGATCGAGACCATCCTGGCTAACATGGTGAAACCCCATCTCTACTAAAAATACAAACAAACAAACAAAAAAATAGCCAGGCATGGTGGCAGGCACCTGTAGTCCCAGGTACTCGGGAGGCTGAGGCAGGAGAACGGCGTGAACCCGGGAGGCACAGGTTGCAGTGAGCCAAGATCACACCACTGCACTCCAGCCTGGGTGACAGAGTGAAACTCCATCTCAAAAAAAAAAAAAAAGAATGAGTGGCTGAGAAAAATGGGGTACTCTAGTTTTGACATTATGATGGAGGCCTATCTCCAGCCATTCCTTTAAACACTCCCTTATTTAAGACAACAGTGACTGAAAATGGAAAGTTGGGTTTTGAATGGCACTGCTTAGGATTTGGGCCAATTAGAGAGATGCAGAGCAAGGTGGATGAGAATGATCATCTTGTCTTTGTTCATGAAACTGTCAATAGCTACATATAGTGTCCACACTCTCCTGAAGTAGTTCCACAGTTTTCACACATATTTCTAGCAGTTGAAGCCTTTCTTTTACTTAATGCTTACTTGAAAGTCAAAAGGGAAAAGAAGGATTTCTCTGGCACAGGTAGGAAAGAAGCAAGAAGTGGGGTGGAATAGGTGAGCAGAGCCTCACTACCAGATAACCCCTCTCTCAAGTGTTTCTCAGGGAAGCCCTAAGGCTACCTGAAACACATGTTAAAATGGCAATTTATAAGGGATACAGGTAGAGGAGTCATGAAATTTAAAAATACTAGATCTCTTAGAGAAGAGAAAATGCCCTCACAGATGCTCAGTGAAAAAATGACCACAGTGATTTTTGCTAGCAACAACTTCAGCATTTGTAAGAATAAAATCTATAAGTGACCTATCAGTCTCCACATCTTCCCCTACCTGCAGAAGTACACCCACACTGAATGAATCAAAGTGCTAAATTCAGTACAGCTTTCAAATGTCTCCACAATCTAGAAGGTAAGGCCCCTGGTCGTGGAGACTGCAATGCCTTCTTACTATCCTGCCCCAGAACCAAGTATCACTCTTTTCCAAATCCCCATCCACTTGGCAAGGCTCTGCAAGAGACTGACTTGCTCCATTATTTAAAAAAAAAAAAAAAAAAAAAAAAAAAAAAAGGTTTCTTTGGGGTGAAATTTTTCTCCAGAAAAAAAAAAACAGCATTACGAATACATGCAAAATGCAAATCTTAAAAAGATAAAAACAATTATGGTAAAAGAAGTATTTGGAAAATATAGTGGTAAGGTTAGTTTTCAATGTTTAATTTAAATTTACCAGTTTCATAAATCAAGGGATGTCACTATTCAAAATTCAGTTGCCATCAAGGAATTTGAATTAAATTAAAAATTTCCAACAGGTTCAAGGTCAACAATGACTACCATATTAAGAAAGCATGTCAGAGAGAACAGAATCCTGCCATTTTCACTAGAATTATCTGTCAAATTCTAAGAATAAAGTGTTCTCTAACTTGCTGGTGAGAACGTGTCAGACTCTGAGACCTCTAGAATTACATAGCTAGGAGTGCAGGACAGGAGATGCATATGTTTGTCCAAGGGCATATGCATATTTGCAAAACAAGGAGAAAATCAAAACTTATTTTAAAATCTCAATAGAAACAAAAAGATGCCACTTTTTTACCCATCTGCTTTCAAAAACTTTTAAAGATTGGTAATATTCATTGTTGGAAAGAATGCAGGAATCTAGCTCTCTCATATTGGTCAGGAGGAGTATAATTAACGAAAGTATTTTTGGAAATCAATTTGGCAATTTCCACCAAAGCATGCCTTCCTTTTGCCCAAGTAAACCCTTCTTCTAGTAAAACAGCCTACAAAAGTGCTTGCACATGTGCACAAATATATATATATAAATAATATATAAACATTTCCATTACAACTGTAAAAGTAAAAATTTGAAAATTGCCTAATCATCCATCAGAAGGAAACTGAAGAAATTAAGTATATTCATAATATAAAATCAGGCTCGCTAAAAAGATTAAGGCAAAGGACATGGAAAAGCCTTCAGGATATACTGTTACTCAAAAAAGCAGGTAGCAGAAATATAAATAATACATATAGTCTGATCTTATTTATGTTAAAATAGGAATGCCTATTTGGATGTATATAGACACACATGCATATGAACGGAAACTCCTGGAAACTCCACACCAGTCTATAAAAACAGTGGTCATGACTGAAGAAGGGAATAGTTTTGGGAGGAAATGGGATCTTCAATTTATACTGTATGGTGGTGTGTTTGTGTGTGTGTGTGTGTGTGTGTGTGTGTGTGTGTGTGTGTAAGTGGGGTATAAATACACACATGAAGATGCACAAATATTAAGTGTACAAGTCAAAGGTTTTTGTTCAATCAAAATATAGAGCATTGCCATCACCCTGCCTCATGGCCCTTCCCTCTTCCCAGAAGTGATCACTACTCTAATCTTTATTTATATGGATTTCTTTTGTTTACTCTTGAACTTTATATACATGGAATCATATCGTACATAACCTTTTGTATCTGTCATCTTTTGCTTAGCATAAAGGTTTGAGATTTATTATTCATATTGTTGTTTGTATTACAGTTCATTGCTTATTGCTGAGTACTATTCCATTATATGAATACACTATAATTTGATTAGCTATTTCCTTGTTAATGGATATTTGGGCTGTTTCATTTTCTTTTACTGTGAAGAATAAAGTTGCAATGAACATTCTTATACCAGTCTTTTTGTGGATATATGCATTCATTTCTCTTGGACAAATAAGTAGATGCATGTTTAACTGCAAGTGTAAAATGGCACAATCCCATGAAAGACTATTTCTCAGCCATATGAATCTTCTAGGGAGAGCAGTGGCTAAACCTCGGAAGCAGACTGCCTGGGCTCCCATCAGAAGTCTGCCATTTCTAGCTGCGTGGCCGTGGGCAAGCTTCTTAACCTTTGTGCCTAAGCTTCCTCACATATACAAGGAAAACAATAACTGTATCTAACTCATAGGGTGATTGTGAGGGGTTGATGAGTTAGTACTGGTAAAATGTTTAGAACAGACCGCAGCATGTTCACTCTTTCACTCTTAGCTTACAGTAAGAAGAATGTAATCATGTCTTGTGCAATATTGTGCACACATATTTAGTGTCTTTTTACCCATTTCAGAACAGCAAGTATTCCAAATACCTCAAACAATGGACTTTGGAATGCATTATTGAATGCTTTATGTCACACATTTAGCTCCCACTTACACTCTCCTTAATAATGAGATGAGTTACATTCCTAGCAGGTTATCCTAATGGAAGCATTGCAGGAAGCTCATGACAGCCATAGGTAAGTAAGCTGGGATCCTGAAATGACTGCTCAAGTAGATGGGCCACACACACACGACAGAAGCTGACAATGCACATTGCATGCAGAATTTCCAATAATAGAAGCTTTTACTTGTAACCACTGAGATTATTTCATTTTTTTTTTGAAGCTTGTAAATACCATTCAGTACTCCAGCAAAGCTATAAATTTTAGGAAGCTTTCATAAATATTCTAAGGATTTTTTTTTATAGCAAGCATAAATGTGCTAAATGTCATGAGCATGATATCCTTTCCAGGAAGAGAAAGGATCTGGCCTGCTGTGGCAACTTGAACCTAACTCTCCTCCCAGCAAAGAGCCAGAAGCCAGAGCAAGGTCTGAAGACTTAGCTCCAGGATAAGCCAGATCTCATGGACTTTTGCACCTTGTGGCAGCCTCTCCAGAACAGCCCAGCTGTTTGGCTACTAGTTTTGATCATGGTCAACTGCATAAGTCCTTGTCCAAGCCATGCAGCAGGATGCCCAAGCCCACATCCCCACATTTTCCATCCTGGCTTCCCTCCTTGCTTTATTCTTCCTCCTCTCCCTACCGATGGTCCTTGCTCCCCTGAGGTGAGTACCATCGCGCATTGTGTCTTCCACCTCCTCTGTGGTGCTTGGGGCTACACAAGGGCCCAGAGACAAAGCCACCCTCAGTTAAATCTCACAACGCCAACATACTTAAAAAAGACATCATTTGTCATTTACCAGGCCAGCAGGACACACCAAGAACATGATAACATAGCATAAGATAGCTAAAAGAAAGGTGTCAAAGGGAGTGTCCAGATTTGAAAACTTGAGAAGTAGAACGTCCTGGAGGGAAAGACAATTTTAGCCTCCACCTTGTAGCATCAGGCCCCACTAGCAAAACCCTCCTTCAGGAAGATGTTCCTATTCCTTGTTCAGCCTGATAAAATGGTTGAATCATATGTGACCAAGGGGACCAAGAGGCAGTGCAGTAAGATGTCCAAGATCAAGGACTTTGTTGCCAGGTCAGCTGCATTCTTATTGCAGCGGCATCCCTTACCAAGTCTGTAACCCTAGTCAAGTTATCTCATTAGGGGATGGGGACATGAAATGATTTAATAAACCTAAGGCTCTTAAAATAGTTCCTGGCACACAGTGAGTGCTTTATAAATAACAGTGTCACAGGATCCTTAGGGTGTTCCTCCACCAGCTGGAAACCTCTGTGGCCAGCCGCACCCCTGCTTGGGTTTTGCTTGAGGCCACAAGCAAAGTGGGTTCGTTCAACCCACTTGACCCAGCAGGCTGTGCTCGGCTCACACTACCACCTCAGATCCCATGCCTGCCAAGGGCAAGCCAGGCATGGAGTGATGAGGGGTGTGTGAGCAAGCATGGGGTCTGACTACTACGCACAGCCAGGTGTTCCAGCTGCAGTGGGGAGGAGGGGGGGGCAGCTCCAGGCGCCTGCTCCGTGTGAGGCTGCAGCTGGACCAGGTGTACCACAAGCAACTTCCACTGCGGGCACCAGGAAATGCGGTGGTACCTGGAAGCTTGGAGACACCAGGTACCACAGAGCCTCAGAGAGGGTGTCACAGCCCTGGCTCCGGGAGACCCTAGGTCTGGGCTTCCCAAAGAGCCGCAGCTGTTCTCTCCTTCTCACCGCCCACTATATGGTGAGTTGGGGGTGTGTTTCAGTCCTGTTTCTGTTCAGCTCTTTCTGTCCCACCATTCAGTGGGTCGTAAGTTCTTGTCCCACTTCCAGGAAGAATGAAGTATATGGACAACTGGAGGGTGAGCAAGGTAGAGAGGAGCTTCACTGAGTGACAGAACGGCTCTCAGGAGACCCGAAATGGGTAGCTCTTTTCTGCAGGCAGGTCATCCCAATGAGTGTTCAGCTCTCAGCAGGTAGCTCCTGGCTACTCGTGGCAGGTAGCTCCTATCCACAGGCAGGTTGTCCTGAAGAGTCGAGGAGATCTGAAGCAGGTAGCTCCTTCCCACAGCTGGTAGTCCCAACATCTGTGTGAATCTGGATGAGTCCAGGGTTTTCATGGGCTCAGAAGGGAGAAAGTGCATGCTGATTGTTCCATGGGTGGCCATGGGCAGGCCCAGAAAAGGCATCATAAGTTCTCACTCTGGGCTTCAGACTCCACCCAGAACAGGCAGCCCAGCCCCCAGGCTTCAGTCTGTCCCTGGCTTGAAGGTGGGGCTTCACCAGGGATCTGTCCCTTTCTGCCCAGAAACCTGTCTGCCTCCCACTGCCATCAACATGCCATCCACAGTGCCCAGGATATTCATGTAGAGGGGTGCCTGCAGGCCCATGCCAAGCCATCCTCAGCACCCCTGGCCTCCCACCTGTGCTCGTCAGCACCCAAAGTCTAGAGAGGGCCGAGGCAACAGGAAGCTGGAGTGTCAGTGCTGCCCTGAGCATGCGCGCACCTGGCCAGGTTGCAGCAGCGCCCAGGCTTGGCCACAACTTTGCTCCACACAGGAGCAGGCACCAGGAGTGGGAAGAGGACAGGGAGCAGGAACAGGCACTTCTGAGCCTGTGGGCACTGGGGGCTTCCCGGCCCCTGAGAGCGCAGGGATGCATGGGCCCAGAGCCACAGCTGGGAAGCTGCAGCTGTGCCCAGGAGCATGGAGCTTCTGCTGTGCCAACTCAGTAAGGGGCAGGGCTCCAGCCTGTTCTTGGATCCCGCTGGACCCACAGAGCATGCAACCCCAGCTGTGCCTCCCCACTGCAGCCAGTATCTTTGCAGCAGCCACTCCAGACGGTCCACTGCAGCCATCAAGAGCCTGATCCCCCTGCCCCAACCCTCTTCTAGAGCACTTATCTACTCCCCCACTTCACTCACCATTGACTTTCCTACCCAAGCCAAGAAAACCTTGGGAGCAATCTTAGCAGGTGACACAGCAGAAGGTAACAATTAGCAAAAGAAGGGTTTATTTTCCTTGTAGATATTTCACTCTGGCGGAGGTTCTGAAGGGCTGATTCCTTCTAACATTCTCCCGTATTCTGACCCTGAAACCTCCCCCAAATATGGATGTAACACCACCTTAAATGTAAACAGAACCCAGTGCCTGAAAGCCAATGCTAAGAAATGATAGAGCCTATTCAGGAAGACCCCAAGGATGGAGAGCAGAGAGATCCTGGGTGACTGCAGATGCCCTCCTACCCCTCCTGATGGACTTGGTAAGATTGGCATGAGCCCACAGGAAACTCCAAGGAAAAAGGCAAGCCAGCTTTCTCATCCTCCTCAGAACTCAATGTTGAACCCACAGGCATCTAATAATAAGATGCTCTTCCTTGCGAGCAGACCACACACAGATGTCAGGGCCACGTGATTAACTAACGAGCCTGGCTCTGATTTACTATTTACCAAACAAATTTCTTATCACTTGGCCTCCCATCTAGGTCTGGTGAGCCAGAGAGCACAGGGTGGTCATGTAGGGCTGAGAATAGTGGCCCTGGGATGGTTATTTTTCACATTGTTAAGCATTAAATATGTTGTCACAGTACATCGCTCTCACTGTAGACTAGACTATATGCTCCGGATTCCTGGTCCACATGGTCAAAGCTGGTGGCAGATGCACTTCCAGGAGGGTTCAAAGCAGGGTTCCTCTGCCATCTGTGCCCGCATGAAAATATCCCCTGCTTCAGTATGTTGTGGCTCCACATATCCACCTGGTGCCTCAAAGCCCTGCCCAGAGCCAATAGCGCAGGAGTGCAAACAGGGAAACATTGCTCCTGCTTCCATGAGAGCTGAAGCCACCATCACATTTTGCCTGGACCACAGGTCTCTTCTTGCCTCCCTGGTCTCCCTGCTTCCACTCTTGCTTCTCTTTTCATCCATTCTCCATCCAACAGCAAGATTGGGTGTTTCAAAGTAAGTCAGATCATGCACTTGTTGGCATACAATCTTCCAACGGCTTCCCTTTCCCAAAGAATAAAATTGCACACCAGTGAACTTTGCTGGCCAGTCTCATCCCACACCATCCTCACCGTTAGCCCCAGAATCAGGAATTCAGTCTCCTTTCAGTTGCAATAACACAGCAGCTCCTTCCCACTGGAAGGTATAGGCACAGGCTATTTTCCCTGTCTGGGATTCCTCTCCACAGCCACCACTCCTCCCACAGCTGACTTTTACCCTTTAAGTCTCAGTTGAAGTAATGCCTCCTCAGAAGGCCCTTTTTTGGGCATCAAATGCAAGGATGCCCCTCCTATCACTGAGAATCTCTGACAGCACCCCATGCACTTGTTTCACAGCACTCGGCCAATTTGTAAGCATATATTTATTTGCATTTTGAATTCCTTATGGACTATTCCACCACCAGACAAGCAGGAGTCCATCCCCAGGATATTCACTGGAGTGAAGTAATGAGTCCTACCCATGTCCTCTCTGGCCCAAGCTACCATCATGTCCAAGTTGGACGAGGATGCTGGCTCCAATTGTCCACCCAATCCACTCTCTGCTGGGCAGCAGAAAGTATACAAATAGATTATATCTTCCTCCCTCGAAAAACATTTCATTGGATCTCCACTGCCTGTAAAACCACCCATGTGTTGGCCGGGCATGGTGGCTCATGCCTGTAATCCTAGCACTTTGGGAGGCCGAGGGAGGTGGATCACCTGAGGTCAGGAGTTCGAGACAAGCCTGGCCAACATGGCAAAACCCCGTCTCTATTCAAATACAAAAATTAGCCAGGTGTGGTGGCAGGCACCTATAATCCCAGCTACTCAGGAGGCTGAGCTACTCCGCTGGGGCGGAGGTTGCAGTGAGCCAAGATCGTGCCACTTCACTCCAGCCTGAATGAAAGAACAAAACTTTGTCTCAAAAAAATATACATATCCATATGTCTTCACACTGACTTCTACCAGATCTAACTCCTACTGTGCAAGTCTTATCTCACCCTACTCCCCCAAGCTACACTGGCCTTCCATTTGCACTCTGACATGCCAAGCCCTATAGTCCTCTGCGGCTCTGAACAAGCAGTTTCCTCTTCTAGAAACTGTTTACCTCACCCCCACCCTGCCCCTTCCTTCATCACTGATAACTCATATTTATTTTTTCACCCCAGTATAAGCATGATATCCTCTGGAAGCTGTCTTGGCCTATCAAGAAATTTAGGTCCTCCTGTTACTAACTCCCAAATCACACCATGCCTGTCTTGCCATGAACTCACCACACTTCTGCTCCTTTTCTGTCTTCCTTGTTCTGCTATAGGCACCCTCTGTACAGTGATCACACCTACCTTCTTGTCTTCTCTACACTAAGGGTCTAGCACAATGCCTAGTCCATTGCCACCAACAGATTTCTGCTGGTGACAATTTAATTTAATTTATTTCTGGAACTGACCCTCACTTTGGTCAATGGATGAAACAAGTCCCCCTTTTTTGCCACATGCTTTATGTGAATTCTTAAAATTATTTAGGAATGTGCATCCAGGGATTTACATGAATTAAGTTTGCTCTCTTACATCTGTTTTCAGAAAGGCACTTTCTATTAAAAAAAATTCAATTTCATAAAATGATTGTCAGTTCCTCACCAATGAAATGATACCCAGTCAAAAAAAAAAAAAAAGCCACAAAAAACCTGGACTGATTCTTCACATTGACTTCTACCAGATCTAACTCCTACCATCCAAGTCTTATCTTATCCTCCACCGCCAAGCCACACTGGCCTTCCATTTGCACCCTGACATGCCAAGTCCTACTGTCCTCAGGGTGGTAGGTGATGATGAATACTAGTGAGTACTGTTAGCTGGTGCTAACAATGACAACCTAGAGTTATCATTCCTAGAAAGCTAATTTTCAAAATTAAACTGGAAATCTAAGAGGCCGAGGTCAAAAAAGAAAAAAAAGCCTGGGTAACTCTTTCTGAATTTAATTTGTATTCAACAGATGATTTTTAAAATCTACATAGTTCACAGCAGACTGATGGCTTGTTCTCATTTATGCTGCTGAGAAAGTCTTTCCAAAGTCTGGAAAAGTGGTCAGCAATCTTTTTCTGTAAGTGGCCAGATAGTAAATATCTTAGACTTCACAGGCCATATGGCCTCTGTCAAAACTACTTAACTTTGCCTCTACTTTCTCATGTAGTACAAAAGTAGCCACAGACAATATATACACTAATATATACACTAACAATATATACATTAATATATACACTGTGTTCCAATAAAACTTTATTTGCAAGAACAAGTAGCAGGGTCAGATTTGGCCTGTGGGCCTGAATTTGCTGAACCCTGGTCTAGAACATGAGACCAGGGCTATATAATCACCACAGCAGCAAATGCTCATATTACTTACTCTGTGACATCACATGATGTGCTCTAGGCACTTTACATATATTAACTTACTTAATTCTTGCAAAGGCCTTACTAGGTAGGTCCTATTTGTTTACTCCTTTTACAGATGAGGGAACCGTCGAAAGTTACAGAGCTAGTGAATATCAGAGCCAAGATTCTCAATCATTCTGGCTCCAGAGACTATCTCCAACTCTTAACCTCTATGCTATGCCAACCAACTGTGCAGAATGTTGCAGAGTTCCTTCCCACCACTGTCCCACTTTCCCTTCCCCAAATCAACCCTACAAAGCTCTATGGAGCACAAATGGGAAATCTCAGGATACTATGTCTGTTCTGTAGTTCAGCCACTTCAAGACACACCACTCCAAACTTCACAGGACGCCCCTGGCCAGTAGCTTGGTTGACTATTAGAGAACTAGATACAGATGAGGTCATTATTTGGGAACATTAGCTTTCCACCAGAAGAGCTTCAGGATGGAAGGTGAGAGCTCAGCAGCTTTAATGCCACAGGGCAGCAACAGTTATTGAAATGAGGACTCAGCTATGAAGCAGAACACAAAACCAACAAGGGAACACTGCAATTTCCCTGTTAATTTCCATTCTCTGAACCCATTAATCTCAAGGTGATCACCTTTTGAAAAAATTATAAGGTTCTATGGATGGATATAGCCCCAAAAGCAGAAATTTGTATTGTATTTCACATCCTGGAACCTAAGTGTATCACAATGAGTTTGATTCTTCTTCCTGTACAGACAGATTAAATCTGAGACAAAGAGTTTGGAGATAACAAAGTAAGTGAAGATAAAAACAGAAGCTCAACACAACGTTCCCTTTTTGTAAGAGAAGGACAAAAGGGCAAGGACTATAGAGATACTAGGTAACGGGTCTGAGGACAGAGCTTCAGGACCAAAGGGGCAAACCCAAGACAGGGACAAGACATAAGATAAAAACTCCTGCCCTCTTCCCACCTCATATCTCCTCTTTGCACATTATTTACCTCTTTTCAAATTAAAAAAATGGAATCTGAACACTTTGAAAACAAAACATTCATTTAATTGCCACAATTCCATGGAGTACTGTATCATTCTAAAAGCCTACGACTCCACTGTTAGACACAGCCACATTAGGGCCAATTTGGTAGGGTGTCAGCTGTATTTACAGTTTGGAGCAATATAAAAACATATGGCAACTGTGAAAATTGACCCCCTGGGGGCTAACGCTGGAGGAAACCAACATTCCGCAGTCTGGCCAGAGGTTGAGGGCGATTTGCCCAGACAATATACAGCCAAGGCAGCCTATAAGCACAAGGGGCACTTCGTGTATGCAAGACCTACTTTTATTGCATCCCATCTGAAATTGGGCTGCAGTGGTCCAGACATAAAATAAAACGGAGGTATAAGAAGATAAAAATCTTATATGATGATTTTCCAAATTAGAGTATGGAAGTAATGTGTTGGCGTTTATATTATTTGCTATCAGAAATCAATTTTAAAACATTGTTAAGTAATAAAAGCATCTTCCATGTTCAAATGTTGGATTATGCATCAGATGCTGTGCTAAACACTGTAAAAATATAATCTCAGTTAAATGAAACAACATCCTTACATGGAGGGCACTTCATCCCCATTTTACAGATGAAGAAGCAGACGCTTAGAGAGGTTATATAATATGCCCAACATCATATACTTAAAAAGTTAGGGATGCAGAATTTGAACTATTGTTCTGATGATGCCAAAGATCATGGCATCTATTATGCTATATAAAAATAATAAAATACTATCGTACATTACTGAGGCCTTGGCCACAAAAGAGAATGGAACATAATAACTAGGCCTAGACATTCCCTTTTGAAAGCTACAATCTTTTTTTTTTTCTATGAGGTAGGCAAAGCACCAGCTGCAATAAAGCAAGTTATACACTCTTTAGGATCTGGTCCATCTGAGGTGTGGCTTACTGGATCAACCCAAAAATAATTTAAACCAGCACTGAATTAGGTTTCTATTGGTACATAACAAATTCCTACAAACTTAGCAGCCTAAAACCACATTTATTTATTATCTCACAGCTTCTGTGGGTCAGAAGTCCAGGCACAGCTCAGCTGGTCCCTCTGTTCATGGTCTTACCAGGCTGAAATCAGGGTGTCAGCCAGACTGCAATTCTCATCTGCAGGCTTAACCGGGGAATAATGTGCTTCCAAGCTCATTCAGGTCGTTGGCAGGATTCCTTTCCTTGCAGTTCTATGCCTGAGGTTCCCAGCTTTTAACTGGCTATTAGCTAGAGACTGGAGGCTTCTCTCTGGTCTGAAAGGCCACCCAAAGTTCCTTGCCATGTGGCCTTCTACCTAAGCAGTTCATAACATGCCTGTTTGATTCTTTGAGGCTAGCAGGAGAATCTCCACTCTGCTGAGATGAAGTTTCATATAATATAACATAATCATGGCAGTGGTACTCCATCACCTTTACCATATGATATACCCTATTTAAGGGAATGGCAACCATCACCTTTGCCATATTCTATCAGCTAGATGCAAGTCACAAGACCTGCCCACACTCAAGTGGAGGAAATTATACAAGGGTGTG
Source organism: Homo sapiens (assembly GCF_000001405.40). Taxonomy (NCBI): domain Eukaryota; kingdom Metazoa; phylum Chordata; class Mammalia; order Primates; family Hominidae; genus Homo; species Homo sapiens. Next base: position 55,965,175 of record NC_000003.12, read on the forward strand.
AAAACCAGGGGGTGGAGATCATGGGACCATGTCAGAATCCTGTCTCTCATATGCAATATCCAATAGAACTTTCTGCAATTATGGAAATCTTCTACTTCTACGCTATCCAGTAGACTAGCCATGAGCCACATGTGACTATTGGACATTTAAAATGCAGCCCATGCAACTGTAAAAGTGATTTTTAAATATTATTTAATTTTAACTAATTTAAATTTAAGTAGTCTCATGTGGCTAATGGCTGCCCTATTGGACAGCACAGATTTGAACATTAACCAATGTCCATATTATATGTTAGCTATTTTTTAAAACTTCTTAAACCTTTGTTTTATTTTTGTGTTTGTGTTCTTCTTTCTAAATATTTCATAATCATTTTACTGCCCATTTCAAACAGTTCTTAGGGACTATTCACATTAGTATCTACCTAACAGACTTCATTTTTCCATTGTCCAAAACTTCTTCCAAACTATTTTCATTAATGCAACTTAAGGCATCTGGAAGGCTTAACTTATGCTCAATGGGGGGTTACGGTAATTTATGCATCCTTACACTTTCCCAAGTATTTATCCCCATGACAACACACTACAAAAATAAATGGCTGATCTTTCCACTCTTCTTCTCGTAACTCAAACCTCTTCTCTTAGTCTGATGTGAATGAGTAAAACAGAATCAGTGGTGGGTGGTGGATGAAGCAAAAATCAATGAAGGATAACAAAGTGGCAGAATTATCGGCAAAGAGGGCATAAACCACTTCCCCCTGATTAAATGAGAAGACAGAACAAACCACTTCCCCACACAATTGCCTCAACACAACCACTTCCAAAATCCACCGCTAAAATGTCACCTGTTTCAGTTTCACTTGATGACATATTTTTCCTAACCCAGTGGTTTCCAAATAGCGTTCTACCAGTACTAGCTCTAGGGTATGTTAATAACGTTACCAAAAAACAAAAACAAAACCAACAAACAAGGGGCTAGGGTCAAATAAGTCTTGAGAGCCCATGTACAGATTCCTGACCCCTGGAACATAAGCCTTCCCTCTTCTTGACCAAGCCTATTTCCTCAATGGACATAATCCTCCATACTAGAGTCATGACAGGAACTTTACCTAGTGGGATTCATGAAAATCCTGGGTACCCACAGTTTTTCATGCCCTTTCTAGTTTCCACCTGGATGGCAATGTTTCTAGAGCTCCCAGGGGCAGGGTGGCCAAACATTTAGGAATGTTACCCTATCTAAAACCCACAGAGCAGCCACTAGGATCTCCAACTCAGGTGCCTAAGCATGTATGCCATAGAATGTAGCATTTGATCAGCATCTCTTTGGACCAGGCAATGTTCATGTTGTATATACACCTCATTTAATCCTCACGACAATCTTATGACATAGATATTACATAGACCAGAAAAATGAGGAAGAGCAGGAAAGCAACGTGCTTAGAAGGCTCATCTAGCTAGAGGGAGGCAGTGCTGGAGCTCCACCCCAATCTATTAGACTCCAAAATTCATGTCACTTTCCTAACTGAATACCTCTGATTTACCACACTTCCTAATTCCCTGTTATCAGAGCTAACCATGATAATCCTACCACCAAAAAGAAAAAATTCACTGGGCAGCTGTAAGACTGTTTATCCAAAGCTACATGACTCCCACCCACCATGGGCTGTTCCAAGTGCTTTCTCTCCTTCTCACCACAGAAAACTCAGTAAATACCCATTTTTTCCCATCAGAGGACAAACACACAATCACATGCATACATATATATTTATATTTATTTCACACACACATATCCCTAAACAGTGCTTGTGAGGCATCTCTCTTTTACATGTAGGCTCTGCCTTCTGTATAACAGAGACATTGCAAAGACTAAAAACTATCTGATACTCCTTGAAAATAGACAGACAGGAGTAAGCTTACTCTAACATTCTTCATACAGCATCTAAGGAAACGTTATCAGTGAATAGCTGAGATTTGAGAAATAACTAAAGTTTTCGAAAATTCCTATGGGATAATGTATGGATAACTCTTTATTAAATGTAGCTGTAGCATAATTTAGAAATGAGAAATAATTTAAAGTCATATTGTATAGATGGATTTTTCTATACTAGTAGGTAATAAGTCAAATTTTTTAAGAAAAACACCAACACTAATTAGATGAATATGAAAAATATTTCATTAAGATTCAAGATAAAGCAGAAAAAAGGAACTGATTTGCAAAAATTAGGTGTTTTCCTGATGATAGGGTCTCAACCTCGTATTTCTCAGCCCATGCAGTGATTCTGATTACTATTAGGCCCTTTTTCTGGTATAAATCCTAAATTATTTCTTGTTGTACCTTATAAAATCAGAATTCTTCCTTCAAAGAAGAAATTTATAAGAAAAACTTGCCCCTTTCTCAGCTGAAGAAACTGAAAACCCTTATGAAATCAACATCTTCAAAGCCCAACCCATGAAGAAAGCAACATTTTATCTGCTGTGGTTTAAATGTGTCCCCCAAAGTTCATGAGTAGGAAACTTGATCGCCTATGCAGCAATGCTGGAAGGTGGGGGCCTAATGGGAGGTGTTTGGGTCATGGAGGCACCGTCCTTATGAATGGATTAATGCTGTTGTCCTGGGAGTGGGTTCCTTATGAAAGGACAAGTTCAGCCCTCTCTCACCGTTTCTGTTGTACTCTCTTGCCCTCTCTTGCCTTTCTGCCTTTCTGCCTTTCTGCCTTTCACCATGGGCTGAAGCAGCAAGAAGGCCCTCACCAGATGCCAGCTTCCTGATCTTGGACTTTCCATCCTATAGAAATGTGAGAAGTAAACTTCTGTTCAGTATAAATTACCCAGTCTGTGGTATATATAGCACCACAAAACAGATACTATTCAAAAATAAAGTGTCAAATTCTTAATAACTTGTTGTTTCATAGTGAACTCAAATCTGCTTTCCTTATATTTTTAATTACTTGATTTTCTATTATTTTCTTTTTTTAACATTATATTTTAATATGGATCTTCTAGAAAATCAGAGTATTGGCTTACATTCCAAATGTAGAAGTGAAATGACAAGGAACAGTAATTTCCCTGGCTGTTGATGTTTATTTTCTATGTTGCTGTTTGAAGGAAACTGATTAAAAGAAAACTCCTGGCAACACCTGAAAACATGATGACTCAGAAAAAGAATCACAGTTTTCTCACCGAACAAATTGTTGGGAGTAGAATATTTCTGATATAGATTTAGAAATCTCTATGAACTGAAGGCATTTCCTGGGCAATTAATCAAGAGAAACTTTTACATAAAAACACATCTCGATTGAGCTATTTGCGTAAGAGCCCACAAGCTGCAATGACTAATTATAAGTCTCAGACCTGTGCAGTTTGCTGAAATGCTTTTCTCCAGGCCGTCAAAAACACCATGACAACACACAAATTCAACAAGAATAAACTAACAATGGGAAGCTACAATTACAGAAAGGAATTATTCAAAGTATGTGACCTTTGCACAAAAATGATACACGTTTATTTGATACTACTGACTCTCCTCTATTTCCGCCCTTTGATAGGTCTGTGTAATTCTCATTAACAATAATGAGAGATATGTGCTAAAAATGAATAGCTGCTAACTCCAGCCATCTGTGCATTCCTGGTACAAATAAAATTGAATGTCATCACTACCCTATTGGATTTCTCAGTAATGCTCTTTGCTGATAAGAACTTTAAAAAAATACCAATGGCTTTTTTTCTTTTTCTAACTCATAAAAAACATGCCCATTCCCCTTGCTACATAAAGGGGTCTATTCTACTCGGAATCCAGGCAGCCACTGAGAGGTGAGGGTGAGATAAATCCTTGCTTATCAAGATAACTGTTTCCCCAGTCAGTATAAATGGAGACAAAGTATACCCAGACTCGAATGATTAAAATGGCCAAATTCTTAGCAGGTTAACTCATTACTTTTCATCCTTCTCTTGCCAGCCCTGAAAGCTAAGTAGCTGTCTTAACAGCCTGCAGCAATCACTTCCAAACAACTCTCCTGCCCTACAGGAGAAAATTAAAGGTAAAATGGACTTAATTCATTTTTCCTTTATGAATTACTGGCTGTCAAAAATTTGAGAAAGGTCCCAAGCTTTAATGGATACTTTTGGAAAGAGAGATCATGTGCTATAGAACCCAAGATGGTATGCTGGAGAGCCAGAAAAGCTGGAAAACTGGAAAGTCGCTGGTCAGGAATTTTATACACATACACACACACACACACACACACACACACACACACACACACACACCCTTCACCACTGTATATACAGGAAGAGAGAAGCCAGTATGACCATCTCCAGTCCCAGCCAAATGTCTCTGCAGTGACAACTGAAGAACACATAGCATCACAGGGCCACATGGTTCTACCTTCACTTCCCTAAGCAGCCAGTTGACCTGCAGTAAGCCAGCCTTTGCAAGAGCACCTCCATACACCCCTTTCAGGGTTGAGTGTTAAGTCCTGCTTCCGAAAACCCAAGGGTCTAATGATCAGGTGAATTGCTTCTTCCTCTAGAGCCACACAGAAGGCTGTAGTGCTTGGGATCCTCTCTTAGGTTTGATCATTAGATCTAGTTTTATATGACATACGATGACAGAACTGCTAAGAATATTTATTAGCTTGGCTAACAACTAAAGAAAAAAATGGTAATCACAGCTCTCTGGAGAGGCTTTTTAAATTTCATTTTATGGCACTATAAAATGAGGCCATACCCTGAGCATTTAAATGGGCAAATTATTTGGTTGGAAGTAGCTCAAATTTTGAAGTTCAGTCACACTGGTAGACATAAAAACTAAGCAAATATTCAAGGTAAGCATCCATTTCAAAGGTAACTAAGACATTACCAAAAGAGAGGAAGCATTTATTTCATATAAATGGCCGCATGTGTGTTGCAGGAGCATATATGTTTGGGGTCAAGGTTCGCTTTATTTTAAAGTTTTGGCAAAATGTAGTACCTCATTGAACCATCAAAAAAGCAGTGCCAATATAAAGCTGTCAGCTAGTAATTTATTTGTAAACAACATGTTTAATTATAATAGCGCAAATAACAAATCACAAATCAACTTACTTTCTCTGAGAGCAAAATTTTTAAAACTATTCCCTTTACAACTTATTAAAAAAATTTAGTATTGTGTATTAAACAGGATTTTAAAAGGACATATCAAATACTAATAATTACTAATTAGTAATATTACTAATTACTATAGTAGTATTAGTAATAAAAATTACTAATATACAAGAAAAACTAACAGTCATATATTTAATAAGGGTCTAGCATCTAGAATATATAAATACCACAACTCAACAATAAAAAGACAAATAACCTAATTAAACATGGGCACAGAATTTGAATAGACATTTCTCCAAATAAGATATACAAATGGCCAATAAGACCATGAAAAGATCTTCAATCTCACTAGTCATTAGAAAAATGTAAATCAAAACCACAATGAGATACCACTTCATACCCAATAGGATGGCTATGGTCAAAAAGAAAAATAAGAAGAAGTGTTGGTGAGAATGCAGAGAATTTAGAACAATTATTTATTGCTAGCGGGAATGTAAAATGGCACAGCCACTTTTGAATACAATTTGGCAGTTCCTCAACAAGCTAAACATAGTTACCACGGGACACAGCAATTCCACTTGCAGATATACAGCCATGAGAAGTGAAAACATATATTCAAACAACAACTTGCACATGAATGTCCATAGCAATATTTTTCATATCAGCTAAAAACTGGAAACAACCTAAAAGTCAATCAACTGATGAAAAGATAAACAAAATGTGGTATACCCACACAATGGAATATTATCAATAGAAAGGAATGAGATGGTGATACATACTATAACATGGATGAAACTCAAATACATTATGCTAAGTAAAAGAAGTCAGTCACACAAAAACACATAATATATAATCCCAATTAAATAAAAGGTCTCAAATACTCAAATACTTAGATTAGTCGTTGCCAGGGGCTGGGGGAAAGAGGGAATAAATGAGGGAGAGGGGAGTGACTGCTAATGGGTATGGGGTTTCTTTCTGGGGTGATTAAATTTTAATTCTAGAATTAGAGGGTGGTGATGGTTGCACAACCTTGTGAATATACCAACAATCACTTAATTATACACTTTAAAAGGGTGAATTTTATGGTATGCAAATATATCTTAATTAAAAAATTACAAATGCTAGTAATAAAAAATTAAATGCTATAAAAAAGTTTATAAAAAGAAAACTTATATTGTCCCTCCATCTTCCCCAATAAACCACTCTCACTGTTAAGGGTTTTCTGTCAATCTTTCTAGAAATTTTTTAGGCATAATGCAAGCATAGACACATCTTTAAAAATACAGTGGACAATACTATACATTTTACAGTATGTCTTGGACATCTTTCCATGTCAGTAACATATAGATTGGGGTATGAAGAAGGGGGCTGGAGAGAGAGAATGGAGCTGAAAGAAGGAATGCCAGAAAGGAACTGAAATCACCCTCTGGGTGGTGGAGGAGTAAGGATCAGTACCTTTCTCAAATTTTCAAATGTCTGTTGAACAATCCTGGATATCCTACATACATCTTAATATATTGAAATTAAAATCTCAACTGTTGCCTCCTCATAGCCAAAATCACCCTCCTTCTTCTGTACCCTTTATCTTCATTAAACCACCCAAGATTGGGAGTCAAAGAGGAGTGAGTCTTCCATATTCCCAGAACATCACACACAATAGATCACTGTGCTCTACCATTTTAATTTAAAATATCTATCAAAATAGTTACCTCCTCTCAATTCTTATTGATACTAGCTCAGTTCATGCCTTTGTTTTCATTGTCCAGACACTGAAATAGCTCCCATTTGGCTTCCCTGATGCCAATCTATGTACCTATCATTCCATCCATCCTTCCATCCATCCATCCACCTAGTCATCCAACAAAATATTTCTGAAACATGAGCCATGGGTCAGGCATTGAGAACACAAAAACAAAGAAGTTATCATCTTTATCATTAGACCATTCAAAGTTTAGTGAAAGGGAGAAACATGGAGCTGGGAAATGATAACAAAATGCTTTTTATTTGTGATTTTCTTAAAATTTTACTTTAAGTTCTGGGATACATGTGCAGAACGTGCAGGTTTGTTGCACAGGTATACATGTGCCATGGTGGTTTGCTGCACCTATCAACCCATCATCTAGTTTTTAAGCCCCACATGCATTAGATATTTGTCCTAATGCTCTCCCTTCCCTTGTCCCCAACACCCCAACAGGCCACGGTGTGTGATGTTCTCCTCCCTGTGTCCATGGATTCTCACTATTCAACTCCCACCTATGAGTGAGAACATGCAGTGTTTGGTTTTCTGTTCCTGTGTTAGTTTGCTGAGAATGATGGTTTCCAGCTTCATCCAAGCCCCTGCAAAGGACATGAACTCACTGTTTTTATGGCTGCATAGTATTCCATGGTGTATATGTGTCACATTTTCTTTATCGAGTATAACATTGATGGGCATTTGGGTTGGTTCCAAGTCTTTGCTATTGTAAATAGTGCTGCAGTAAACATATGTGTGCATGTGTCTTTATAGCAGACCAGGTGGAACTATCGTCTTTTGAGAGAAATCAGGGAGTAACATTAAATTTGAACTTCAAGGATGTATAGAGGTTTGCAGGTATATAGAAAGAAAGGGCCATTTAGGCAATGGGAAACGTATGCTCCAATATAGAGAGATGGGAATGGTCTGTCAAGTGCAAACAATGAGAAAACATTGGGTGAAGGCAAACACTGAATGGGGAATGAGGGGGTAGAGTGACATTTTATGTACTTAGGGTTTAAGATGAGACTTGAAAACAACTCAAGGCCAGATTGTGAAGAGCTTATAAAGCCAGGAGGTGGAGTTGGATATTCTGCCCATCCTGCGAGGAGGAGGGAACAGGGGCCTCCAGACACAGGGTGTTGCCTCACTGATTTTATCTGGAGTAGAGGACAGAGACTGGGACAGATTGTGACTCTCTGGAGGCTACTGCAATTGTCCAAATTACCAAGTGGGACAGCAACATTGAGAGTGGGGAAACAAAAGGAAAGAAATGGAATCTGTTGGATTAGTTACAGTGAGGGATGAGCTACAGGCCACTTAGAGTTTTCTATCTTAGATAAACAGGTGAACGTTGTGCCACTTCCACACCTAAGTGCCAAATATATAGAGTAGTGGGAGGATGAGTGAAAGAAGTGGTGATGAGTCCTATTTTGGTTGCATGGGAAGTAACAGGTAGACATCTTTCTAAAACACAATCCTGTTCCCCACTGCCTTCAGAATAAGTTTTTTAAAATTGTTTTTATGATGCCATGCAAGGGAATATCCATGTGTGCCTGTTCCCACATGCCCCTTGCTCTTGAGATTATCTAGGTTCAAATCCAGAGTGACCTTGAGCAGATTACAAATAACCTCACTAACCTCAGTTTAGTCATATGCCCATTGCAAATCATACTACCCTTCCAGGGTTGTTGGGATTAGAAAAATTCTTGCACACCAGTGTTTTGCACAGACACTGGCCCATTAAAACTGCTTAACAAATGAGAGTGCAGTTTTCCAAGAAAGGCACTTAGAATTATTTTTCCCCCAAATTACATTAAAAATACAGAGGTAATATAGGGTTTTAGAAAGGTCTTGTGTGTTTTTAAACTTTACAAAACTTAGTTGATCGTATGATAAAAACAGCCTAAAAATAGCATTTAAAATGTAGGGAAGTTTAGTTAGTCACTTTACCCAAACATTTTAATTTTAGAAAACTATATAAAAGTAAGATGTCTATCAGAGATGAGAAGAGAAACCAAACAAACTGAAAAACAAAACAAGGAAAGAAATCCCACTCTCTCTAGCAGCCGGGAGAACTGAGAAGCCAGCACAGATCCTTTCTATCAGGCATACCGACAAAGTAATCTCAGCTTAAAAGTTTAAAGTTTAAAAGTTTAAGGAAAAAAATAAAAAACACCTAAGCTCTGTAGGAGGAAGATGCTACATCTTGATGGCATGATACCTACCCTCTGACCTGACATAACGATGAGGAAGGAACGATTCCACAGTGTGATTACTAGCCGGACAGGGGCTAATACGTGGTTTGAGTTCTCAGTCCTTGTCTTCGTTATGTGCTGCCAGCACTCCCACTTGTATCAGACAAGATCAAGGCAGATACAGATACTGTGCTGCAGAGAAGTCCATCTCCCCTTCAGAGAGTTGTTTTCCAAAAGGAAAACCATCATATATCAAAACAAAGGCCTTCATTTCTTTTCGGCTTTGATGCTGCTGCGGTTCTCTAATCACACTGTGTGGGGCCATGAAGAACTGTCCCAAAAAATGATTCCTGGAACAGGCATAAAACCCCTCCTGGAAATACATCTTTTCTCTTGGCTGCTTCCCCAGAATTCCCCGCAGGGAACCATCTTAAGCAGGCAGAAGGATGGATGACCGAGGTCTTCCCCCATCTCTGCCGTCCACGATCCTTGAAGCGCATCCAGAGCTGACTGTCTCCAGTCTACGAAGCCACTGCCTCCATGAAGGCCCACTCACCAGGCCCACTCAAACTCACTTCAAAAACAGGAATTTCACATTCCGGCTCAAGAGAGGGCAAAGACTCGGACCAGCAGCTCAAAAAAGCTGCTAGAACTGCCAACACAAACAGCTTCTCAACTTCCATTATAAGAGGTTTTCATCAACGCCTGGAATCCTTTGTATTATAGAAATAGCTTTCCACCCCAAAAGAAGCACATTAAAAAGTAGTCCCTATGGTCCCAGGAGTGCTTGAGCCAAACCAATTCATACTAGCACAAAAAGCCTTGCTTTGGAATCAGACACAGTGTTTATGATTCTGGCCCTGGAACCGAAATGGCTAAGTTTGAATCCTGGCTCCACTACTTAATAGCTGTATAAGAGTGGACAAGTTACTTAACTTCCCTGAGCCTTGGTTTCCCGATCTCAAAAATGGGACTGAGTAATAGCACCTACTGTCTTGGAGTTGCTATAAAAAAAAAAAACATGAATTAAACCTTGCAGAATGCATAGGACCAGGGCTAACAGCAAATAGGTACTCGACAAAGCCTGTTCTTATTTCTGCTGCAATTATAGGAACATAATTTCCTATAGTTTCTTCCATATTCCATATAGTTTCCATATTCCATATAGTTTCTTCCAATTTCCATAGTTTCTTCCACCATGCCTTTATTTTCTTCCTGCTCTCTTAGTAGCTAGGTTTTTTTGTCTGTTTATTTGTTTCTTCTGTCTTGCTGGCTGTTGTGGAAACATGGCCTTGTTCTTCTGGAAACAAGGAGGATAGAGATACAGGCTGAAGATTTTTGTACTTTTGTCTTTTAAAAAAATTTCATTAATTATCCCTACATCCCCTAAAACTGTGTCTTCTTATTCATCATTATTGCTTCTAGCTTGGGCTACTGCCTATCTCTCCAGCACAGAGATGGTTCAGGATTAATCCTCCCAGAAGATACTCCTCGTTATGTTCATCCCAGGCTCAAAAAGTTCAAAATCTTTTATCTCAGTACTCAAGGCTTTCCTCTGTCCTGATCAGCCCTTTCTGCCCTTCTTCTCCCTACCGCAGAGTCTAAGCTACAGACAGCCCCGTTTCTTCTGAGCATGCCTTCTATCTTCCTACCTCTCTTGCCATTGCTTAGGCTCCCCATCTAGTTCTACATCTGGTAAAATCTTTTCCATTTTTCTAGTCCAGCACAAATACCACCACATTCATAGAAATTTCCCAACTCCTCTCTCCTCTGAATGTCCATGACATTCATATAGAATTTGTCACCCTGCGCCATGGGTAATGCCTCTTTGCCAAATTTCAGATTTTCATTCCAATCTGCCTACTGGGCAGGGCTACCTAGCGATCCCAAAGCATCTAAAACACAGCCTGGCCAAGATCTCTTTGTTCTTAACTCTGGTCATATTTTCCATACTTGTTCCTACATCCTGCCACAGTTAGCCAGGGATCTCGATTATACAGGTGGGTCTCACCGAAACCAAGGAAATCTGAGAAATTGGCCTTCCCAAGAGGAAAAAGAAGAAAATTATATTCCTTCTGGGTCTCACAGAGAAGAGTACGGAAAACCCATCCTGGGTCCAAGGTGACTCTGGACCCAGGGTTGTTTTATTGTCTCATGAAGCAAGAGTTGGCTCACCTTTCACCCCCTGTTGACTTGGTTCCCCTCCATCACTGCCTTGATGACTCACATTCCACTCCGAATGCCTTTTTTACAGCTTCAAATTACGCATAATTTCTACCTCCTTATAACTCCATTTCTTTACAACTCACATTATTTCTTCATTCTGTAAATGTTTATTAAGTGTCTACTATTTTTGCAGGCACTGGTTGGATAAGACAGGTCCTTTCTAGATCAAAGTTCTACTCTAGACTGAAAGACAGATATTGAACAAGCAAGTAAGAGTGTGCCCTATTTTCTAGTGGGAAACTACGTGAACTTAGACAAACCTAACTTGGGCCTGTCTAGCTCCAGTGAAGAGCAAATGATGAAAGTGACATTTAAAGTTCACTTGGCCTAGGAAAAAAAATAAATTTATATCCATGCTTCATACCTCACACTAAGATAAATTCCATGTGGTTCAAAGACTTAAATGCAGAAAATCAGAACATAAAAATACTAAGAGACTGTGTCCCCAGAAAATTCATCCATTGAAATCCTAACCTCCAAAGTGATCGTATGAGGAGGTGGGGCCTTTTGGGAGGTGACTAGCAATGGGATGAGTGCCTTTATAAAAGAAGTCAAAGGGAGCCTATTTGCCCCTTCCACCTTGTTCTCACACAGAGAGAAGGCTCTATCCATGAGTCAGAAAGCAGGCGCTCACCAGACACTGAATCTGTTGGTACCTTTGATCTTGGACTTTCCACTCTCCAGAACTGTGAGAAATACATTTCCACTGTTCAGAAGCTCCCCAGTTTATATTTTGTTATAGCAGCCTGAACAGACTAAGACACAAATCATAAAATTACTAAAAGAAACCACAGGACAATTGTTCTTATAGTCTTGTAGTGTGGAAGGGGCTTCTAAGTATGATACAAAATTCAGAAGACATAAAAGAGATGACTGAATACATTTGACTATGTAAAATAATTTTGTAAAGAAAACCTGCATAACAAAAACCACCATTAGCCAAATAAAAGAAAAGTGACAAATGTCAGATCAAAGACAAACGTATCATTTTCCTAATATATAAAAAGCTCTTACAAATATATAAGAAAAAGACCAATAAAAGAATATGACAAAGTATAAACACATTTAAACATGTCTATTGTCACTTGTAATAAAATAAAAGCAAATCAAAACTGCACTTAAGGGTCATTTTCCACCTACCATATTAACAAAGATAAAGTTTGAAAAGCGCATTGCACTGGCAGAGTTTATGGAAAAAGAGGCATTCTTACACATTGTTGATGGGTCTGTAAATGGTTTAGCCTCTGTAGAGGACGAGTGGTAAAATCTAGAAAAATTATAAGCATAGTACCCTAGCAATTCCACATTTAGGAATTTATCCTACAGATATATTCACATACACTTGAAATCAAGTCTATTCAAAGTTATTAATTATAGCAGACTGCATGAGAGGAAAAGACTAGAAACAACCTAAAAGTCCTTCAAAAGGAGACAGACTCAATTAAATAGTATGCAGAGGTGAAAAAGAGTAGAAAGCCTTTAGGTATAGATATGGGAAGATCTCCAAAATAGTTTGCCAAGAAAAAAAAGCCAAGGTGTAGAACAGTGTGAATTACATTATACCACTTGCACAGATATCATATTATAAATACTACGGATCTGCTTCTGTCTCTCACGATGCTGCTTCTGGGTGTAGTGCCAGTTACATCCCAGTGCCTGATACAGAGCAGACATACCATCACTATTTGATGAAAGCAAATAAGTTAACGAATAAAGGAGATAAATGTTTAAGGAACACACTTAAATACTTGGCCCATCCTCTAAACGCAATATCAGATCTTTTTATACATGAATACAGAAAGGCAGTAGCTGAATCCTGGATCTCTAGTTCCAGGAAAATTTAAAATAAGTCCTTATATAGGACAAACAAGGATTGTATGAATTAGTTTACATATTTATATATAAAGATTACTTTTCAATAAGCATAAGTTCATTTTTCTATGTTCACTTATTCATATCCCTGGGGTCAAGGGAAGCATGCAGCAGGATTCTGTTTTCAACCTTTTCCTCAAAAATCTCTCAATGGCTTGGGAGAAAATGTCTAAAGTCTTTATTCTGGCAACTCAGGTTTTTACAACTAGAAAAGCAACGGAGGCAGCCGGCTTCTCTCTCGTATCAACTCCCTACTCTCACCTGTTACTCTTGGCATGAAAATCTTTGTCACATCCACAATCACTGCCACTTACTGAGCATCTCCTATGTGCCTTGACTGTGTTCCACGCTCAGTGTGCATCTCAACCACATGCACATGAGAGGTAAGCTATAATATAATTGTCTCCACTTTACAGATACAGAGATAGGCTTAAAGAAAGGAAGTACTGTGTCCCAAGTGCTATAGCAATGATGATGTTGTTTCTTAGGAGGTAGTCTATTTAGTTTTCTACACTGAATGTTCTAACAATAGATAATGTCTTGAATAACTTGGACTGTGAATGAAATATTAATATAAACTAATAATAGGTCTGTGAGAGACAACACAAGTGAAATCCTAGAACACTGCTTCTTTATCTGCTTAGGAATCCCTAAAAAGCCCCTGCTTTGCGTATTTAGGTGGCAGAAGAGCACCCACACTCAGCAAGGCGATAGGACACCTATCTGCCAATTACCCAGTGAGTGTTTCTCACCAAGGCCCATTCATCGCAGGTTATCAGAAGATTCTTCAGTTATTCATTATTATAACCAACTCATTCTCTCCACGGTAATTATCTGTGAGCAACATATCATGCTGCCCTTGGAACCATCAAACTGACATATGATTAAATAGCAGAGGGCTCTGCAGTTAAATTTAAAACCACTCTCTTACACTTCAACTCACACATCACATCAAGATCTGTTCAGCCACGAGAATATTCCAGTTGACCAACACCAATGGCTGGTGAGAGACTATTTCGTTACTTCATGCTCCCATGTGAGACGGGTGGTGGTTATGTTCTCAAAACCTGAAAAAGGGATTTTTCCCAGGACCTAAAGTAAAAATTTGCCAAGCAATTCTATGTATGAAATCCTGCATTCATCCCAGGTTAAAATGTCTCAAGACTTGCTAATATTCACCATTATGTCTTCAAAATTATGGGTGGAATCTCACTAGAAATAGTACATTCCATCAAAACACTGTGAGAATCACACACTTTACACCTTTCACTGAAAAAAGTTACTTAAAAGCATAAATTATTGTACATACAGCTCCGTATATGCCAGTAAGAGAGGTACTTATATTAACATGGCTACCAATCTACAAAAATGCTGGATGAGAACGTCAATCTGCAAGCTGGAGTTAAAACATGAGTCTCACTGTTCTTGGACTGGAAAAGGAGCCACACCAGGAGTTTGAGATCAGTCTGAGCAACATAGTGAGACCCCACCTCTGCAAAAAAAAAAAAAAATTCAATTAGCTGTGCATGGTGGTAGGCCTGTAGTTCTAGCTACTTGAGAGGCTGAGGAGGGAGCATCACTGGGCCCAGTAGTTCAAGGGTGCAGCAAGCTGCAATCACACCACTGTACTCCAGTCTGGGAAACAGAGCGAGACCCTATCTCTTCTTCTTTTTTTTTCTTTTTTTTTTTTTTTTAAGGAACCATAGAGGCTCTTCAAGGGAAAATTTATTCCCATCCCCAAACACAGTCTACAATTTCTAAAACTAAAGTTCTTATGCAAAAATAATTCTATAGAACCCACTATGTTTGCACGAAGTGTAAATTAGAAAAAAAAAAAAAAAAGCTTTTTGTCTATCCCCAATAAAATAGTTGTACCCAAAGTAAAATCAGCTGATTTCTGGGTTCTGTTTTATTTTTCACATCTATTTAGCTTAATATTACTCTGAATCTAGAGTAAAATGAGAGAGCAGCAAATATTAAAATCATCAAAATCCTCCACAAAAAAAATGTCGAAAGCATTTGTTATACGTAACAACAATGTATTTTCCTCAGACAAACATACACAGTGCCCACTCATTTTTAAATAGGTCCCCCCAAAATGTAGACTTCACAAAGATGTGACACTACACAGTGTGGAAATTCCAAGCACCTTCACCCAATATGGAAGAAAGTCCAGTCACAGGATGGTTGGGTTTCTCTACAACCTGAGCTAGTATTGTGCATAATGAAGTGATAGAATTCACATTTCATAAGAAAAGCCATATAAAGGAAATAAGATATTATTTTTCTAGAAAGTGATTTATAATAATACTAAGAAACTATTTTTTTAAATTCCTTCCCCTTCTCAGCATTTACAGAAAAAGCTAACACATCTTGAGAGATTTACTATTTGCTGATATTCATCCATATGGTAGTACCAACCAAAAGCCAAGAGGATGAGAGAAACAGGGAAAAGAAAAGGTTTTAGAAAAAAAAAAAAGTACAGATGAATGATTAACTCTTACCGACTTGGTATCTCTTATTCTGGGTCATGACTTATAAGGCCTACCTGGGGCCATCCTTCAATTTTGCTGTTGTTGTTTCTCCAAGGAATCTCAGACACACACTGAACTATAAAACGTTTCAACTACAGTGCCAATTGTGTTCCTTCAGTCTTCACCATTCTAGAGGGTATAGAGTGCCAGAACAGCAACTCAAGCAAAAGCTAAAGAGAAAAACAACATGCAGCATAAAGCCCTAGTTCTATAAATCGGAGCTGGCTCAGCAAAACATTAGTCATGGCAAGTCCCACCAAGGCTAGGATCGGAAAGGTGTAAGCACCAATCCCTGGCTACGCCTCAAGGGTTCAAAACCATTTCTAAATATAGAACCCACTTTATGTCTGCAGGAGTTATAAATCAGGGAAAACAACTTTTTTCCATCCCCAATAAAATATTTGCACCTAAAGCAAAATCAGCCGATTTCTGGCTTTCTACCAGTTTTGCTTGGGCATAAAATTTTCTGACACTTCACCAGAAATGTCAGCATTAGAATAAGGCAGCTTTAAAGAAGGATATAATTTTCTGACCTGTGGATAACCCCTTCAACCCCAACAGGAAAAAGGGGGAAAAGCACACCTGAAACCTGGTTTTTCCAATTATTAGTATAACTGATACAAATTATTTTTCTTAGTGGCCAAATTCTTCCTTACAGGAAGTATTGGTCTCTGAATTTGGTGAGGGGAGGGATCATGTCAGTTTTACTGCTATATCCCCAACACCCAGCCAGCACAGACTCTCACTTGCAGAAGGATTTCAATGAATAGTCAAGGAAGAAGAGGAAGGAGGAGGGGGAGGAGAGGGAGAGAGAGGAAAAGAAGGAAATAGGGATTGAAAGTGAGAGAAGTTCAGATGAAGATCTTTTCCCCTCTCCTTTTATTTCTGTCTTCATTTTTCTTGAACTTACAAGCATTCGACTTGATAGAAAACCAATGACATCTTTTCTCAGGGCCTCATGTCTGAAGCCAGACATGACATCCAGTGTAGACAACTCAGCTTCCAGAAAGAGCCCCAGCAACTCTCCATGGGGACAAAGAAAAGAAAGAGTGGGGTGAGACAAACCCAATGGTTGCTCCTTTGTTCAACAGCATTAAAGAGCATGACTGCCGCCTCCCATGTGTGGCACAACACACTGTACAGAGCCCACACAGTCAGTGGGCTCAGGGAAGGCTTTGGTGGAAGAGGCAACTCCTGCCCTGGCTTTAGAGGGGCAGGATCTGTACAGGAAGAACCAGAGGCATTCAATCTCAGCATAAAAGGAGAGGCTGGCTGGAGAGGGGAGATAAATCTCAGAATGAAAGGAGAGGCTGGCTGCACAGCTGGCAGGACAGTTTTTCCCCAAAGTGCTTCATGGAATATATTCAATGAACACCATATTCAGAAAACCGAGGATTGAACAGAACTGCACAGGTTTCCTTACTGCAGACCTTCTCAGTGCTTTTACTATGCAACTGGAGCAGAAGTGGCAAAAGATCCCATCTGTAAATCAAAATGGATTGATTTAGGGGGTAAAAAAACCAATGCCTTTTCTTACTAACTGTATAAATTTAGCACAATGTTCAACTTTGATGAACACGTTTCCTCTTACCTAATATGGAAAAAAAATAATAGTCCCAACCTCAGTTGTTATGAGAAGTGAACATTAAAAAGAACACTAAAAAAAAAAAGTAATTAATTCAGTGCTGGCACTTAATTAACACCAAATGTATTACTGTTGCTGCTTCTGCTCCTGTTGTTTCTATTATTATTATTGTTATCAACCTATGTCATGAATATAAAAAAGAAAAATGTCACACCGCATTTCTTAAATGGTTTGGTCAGTTTTTCGTCAGGTATTTTTTGGAAATGCTGGGCCAGCACACAGTGCCTAGCCTATTACACAGTAGGCACTCACTATATATTTGTGGAGGGAATGGGGCAAAATACTGACCCTAGCAAAGAACAAATTGCAGGACACTAAAGGGATGCTCTGGCAAAGGTGTTTTTCATTATTTATTTGGGCAACAGACCTCTGAGTTCTGGGAGGAGTGACTTCACCTTTTGCTAGAAGAATGAGGGATTGAAAACACAGTGTTCAGCTTTGGGGAAACATCACAAAGAGTTTATTTTGGTACAAGTGTTTGAAGTGACTCTATAATAACGAGCTCACGCCTGCTGCCAGGCGCCAGCCATCAGCTTGAGCCTGCTTGCAGGGCAGTGCACGCGGTCCATCACCAACAGCCCCTTCATCAAACAGGTGATGCCCATGTGCAGGCAGGATCCCAGAAGACTTGCTCCAAAGATGGCTCCCTCTTCTCCAAGAGGGGACACTGAGGCCCAAACAAGGAATCAGCTGACCTGGGATCCAAAGTGGGCTGAAGACCGAGAGGGCCTGGGAGAAGTCTATGTCTTCTGGTTTTACTTGGTTGATTCTCTGGCAGGACTTTGAACTGAATCCCAAAGGATACTTTTTATTTTTTTAGTCAATTGCTGCATACATTTTTGGAGATAACCTCATCTGTCATAAGTCACATGCTAATCTCACAAATAGTTACTAGAAATATAAAAGTTTCACGTAAACCCTCCCCCGAGTACAATACAGAGATCCTGACAAACCTCTCCAGCTTCCCACCTGTTTGTGTATGAAGACATTCTTGACAGACATGGAGTTTACTGGAGTGGAGACCTGAACAGATTTGGAATATGATGCTTGCATTTTACCAAACCCAGTACTTAATATCTGTCCACCTGAATTTAAGCATGAGAGTCTACATAGAGTTTGAAGAGGAAATGAAGTCATCTGAAAAAGTAGTTGGAGGGAGAACTTCCCATGGAGTCCACAGCACACAGAAAAGTCTCAAGAGTTACTGCAGTTTCCAAACTTCAGATTAGGAGGTGGGGATGTGCAGGGCAAACCATAAACTATGGTAAGAAAGACTAGATACAATTTTTCTAAAATACATGATATGTGTATACACATACACACATATATATACATATATGCACACACATACATATGTATCTCAACTGTATGCCATATAAAGAAAGTACATAGTCAGAGATCCTGCATTCAGTTCAATTATTACATTTTATCTTATTTTAACTGGTAAACCTGGAAGTCATTGGGAATAAAGCACAGTTAATTCTGGAAACTTGTCAAAGTTGAACAAAGCTTCTAGGACTCTAAAGACTTTTTGTTTCCAAGAGGGCAGAGCTGCCCAATTCTTCCTACACTAAAAATATAACCAGAGATGATTATTCACAATGATTGCACATTTTCATCATGTTCATTTGAGGCAACAGGTTAAATGATATTGGAATGATATGAACCTTGATGTAACTCCTATAGTTCATCCAACTAGATTTGGCATGTGCATTTTGCCACATCCTATCAACACACCCTGCCCCTTGTCCAGAGAACCACTGGACATCCATCACCCCTTCCAGCCCTGTCTTCTGAGAGTCAGAGTTCATGTTCTTTCACCATGAAATAGGAAAAAAAAAACAAAAAAACTACCACACAATAAGTTCCTAGAGCATAAAAAACCACAGTAGTGTATAGGTAAAAAACTAAAGGCCCTGACAGGAAGCTTGAGGTGTGGGAGCAAAAGGGATCCCTGGATCTCAAGTGCTTCAATATTAAGAGGTACAGGTTAGGGCAGCAAAGGGAAGGCAAAAGGAGGGGGATACAGGCAGGCAAGGAGAAAAGCTTGAAGCTTCATTAAATGAGTGAATCAAAAACTTGGAGAAAAGGTTTGGATGCATGTTTCTAAGCCTTCCCCATCCCACCCTTCCCTACCGCCCATTATGATGTCTGTGTTTCTGCACACAGATGCACCAGATTTGTTCTGCTCCAGAAAGTAAATTAAGAGTCATTAAATTTGAGAATAAGAGCAGTTCTCTGGGGGCCATGCTTTTAATCTCTGATCAGATCTCTTGGAACTTTTGAGAATGACGCTTTCCTGCACCGCGATGAAGTTCAGGCAGTTCTTGGGGGATACGCAGTGTGGTATGTGAGAGTGGCAGAGAAGTATTCAAGGACTATGAGCCACCAGGATTGGAAGCCAGCAGTGGGACAAAATCAGTAGATGAGCAGGTTTGTGTATAAAGACATGCCTTGTTTTGAAATAACTTGGTACTGTAGTCAATGGATTGGCCTGGTGGTTTGGGTGATGGGGCAGAATAAAGGGTTGCAGACCCTGTGTACAGAGAAGAAAATAATTATCGCTTGCCTCTCAATAGAGCAACTATACTGACTGCCACATTGATGTGATGCTTTCTTTTTTTGAAGTTTAGATAGCCTCAAATCCTAGAATGAGCATCCTTTAGTAAACTCATTGATTGAATGATAAAGAAATCACTACATATTACTATGTTTTATTGGAAAGAGAAGTTGTCCTTGACTTAAGGAAGAAGAAATTATGGGCTTGGGCCTCCTACATTGGAGGAATCAAGCCTGGGATGCATTTTCAGACAAAACGCCCATTTCATTTCTTAATATTGGGGTACACACAGTCAACAATGAATCAGGTCTTACACTTGGTTCCATATGCTATGCCCTAGGTAATTAAAGTATGCCTTATGGATAATAAAATTGAAGTTAGAAAGTTAAAACCAAAACAATGTCAGGAAATAACATGTGTGTACAATATGTTACTAACACATTGATAATTTTCAAAAGTGACTTTTTAAACAGTATTATACATCTTTCAGAACACAGTGATTTATTAAATGAAAAGTCTGAACAGTTTGCACTGTTAAATTTAGCTTTTAAGTTGCTGTGTCATGGGCAGATATTTTGTTCTCCTAGGTTAAATTCAGCATCCTGCATTATGTTTTTATCCATGGCTCCACGTTGTATCATCCTGCAGTCAATTTTCTGAACTGCTCAGGAGAAATGCACTGGGGAGTTATCATGAAAATTTCTCTCATGGATTTTATAATCCAGAAATAGAATTAAATAATCCAACACTGACTTATTTCCATCTTTTTCCTTGCCTTTTCCCACCTATACATCCTTTTCATAAAATAAACCTTCCCAAGGCATGGAATGAAATGAGCGGGGGGAAATGCAGTGGCCCGAGGAAAACCATTTCAGAAATGTGTTTGTTAAACAAGTGCAAGCCATAAATTGAGCTTAGGAGGGAAAGGCAGTTAGAAGAAAAACTGAAATTACTGACCTGAGAGTCAAGCTGATTGGAGCAAGGGTGAAAGCAGCAATTTGGAGGATAAGCAGAAAGGAAAAGGGATAGCAAAAGAGAATAAAAGGAAGGAAATGCATTAGTTTTAAACATATAGCCAACAGATGTTATATCAGCAGGTTTATAACTAAACGAAGCAAACTTTTATCTTATATTACCCCCAAAAGCCCTGGGCACACACTGTAAGCTGTTGTATTAAATATCATACCAAAGAAACTGGTAGCTGCTCTGATATGTATAATTACAAAAAGCACTGATGTGAACCAGAGGTGTGCTCCCACAGTACAATGACAGCATCAGCCCTTCTCTGGAGGAATATTTATAGAGAAAGTTCCTATCTGTGTGCATATAAAATTTTATTATTTAATAAACTGAAATGGAAACTACTAAGGTATTAGACCTGGGTAAGTGCTCATGTCAGAAAGATTTTTATTTGAACCAGTAAGTTGGATGGTTATATCCTATGAGATATTTTTCCTTCATCCTTGAAAACCAAAAGGAGCTGAGCAATTTGGCTTTCGGTTCAAAGATTTCCATTTTAGATGCTTACAGAGCACTGCACATAGCAATGATCAAAGACCCCCTGAGGAGGGCTTTTGGTGGTGTGCCACCCACCTATCAGCTTCCGCAGCAAGGACAGAGTAACTTTCCAAGCTGAGAGTGATTTTTTTCAGTCAGAAATACGAAGTTCCGACTTCATTACTGAAAATATCAAGTTATAATACTTTTTAATTTGTTTGTATAAAAATATCTAGCATGTCCGTCTCATTGGTTAAAACAATAATCTCTATTGTCAAGCAAAAAAAATAAAAACAAGCAAACAAACAAAAAACCATATTCATCTTCCAGGCTACTATAGGAGCACATAGTGGACATTCATTTTGTTGATCTGTAAAATGCCCTTTGCAAAAACAAAGTGGATAAACAAATACTTTTCCAGCTTTCTGCTCAATGGGGCCCCACCATTCCATACTATAAAAAAGTAGTTTTAGGTATTTCACATGGGAAGGAAAAACAAAACAAAATAAAATAAATCCTCAGGATAAAGCTTAAGCTAGAACATTTCAAATGAAAACAGTGTTGATTACAATGATACAACTGAAAGAGAAAATTTAAGATTAACCACACGGGGAAAGTGTTGATTTGATAATCCCTTGTATCTGAAATCCCCCTGCAGAGTGTTTTGTGATCATAAATGCGCAACTGATCTAAAATGAGAGTTATGTCAGGACACGATCACTGTGGGGACTTTGGCAACACTGGCCCAAGCTGCCATTTCAAATCCTTCTGGATCAAAGGTAATTAAATCAAGGTCTGTGGCCAAGCCTTAGGAAATCCTAAACTGAAATAGCAAGCACACATTTCAGATGTAGTTGCCTCTTTCAAGGGCTCCCAGTTTTCATCAAATTCTCAAAGGTGTCTGTGATGTCCGTGACCTTCCCCAAAAAGTTGCTAGGAATGGCATATAGCCATCTGCCACTTGTTTTCAAGAAATTCTTTCAAATACATTAACAAATGTAAGTGAAAATTACTCGGCAAGAAACATTTATATCAAAACAAATAAAACTGGCATCAAGTTTTTTCCATGTACCATGAAACTTCTAAAAGATATTATCATAATTTAAAAATAATAATAATGCTCAAGTTTACATTTTGAATGGAGCTCTGAAAGGCATCAAGGAAATTATGTTAGTACATTATTGAGCAAATCAGAAGAAAAAATAACATTCTCTTCCTCAAACTTAGATAAGGCTCTTTTAGGCATCTAAAATGATTTCTCAGTGTCCAAATGTCTGGTGATATTATTTCTCCAACCAGATAATTAAGTGGAAGGCTGTTTTCCATTCTGATGTTATGTCTTACGAGTGGAACCCCCAGGGATCCAGCCTCCTCTCCGCATTGGGGAGGTATGTGATTGAGGGCTCAATTTGGGCATTCTCCATCCTCTAGACAAATACCAACAAAATCCCTAACATATTTAAGATAATTACATGAAAGGTCACCCAAACTGATTCCTTCCCATGGGCGGGATGTGAGAAATATAGTGGCAGCAGGTCTTACTTGACAGATTCTATTAACCTCTCTCTTTCCCCTAAGTCACCAAAGGATTAATTCTGAAACTCTAAATAAAACTCAGAGACCTTGATGGGCACTGACACAGAAGCACTGCATATTTCACTGCCTCTAAGGTTTAATTAGACACTAGGTTCTGTAATATACGTGACATCTGACATTGGAGATGGAATAAAGACTTCAGCTGAATTTGGACCAACTCTCAGAGACTTGCTCAAGGCCCACCACCCACCTAGTAGCAAACTCCCCTGAGCTGCCTGCAGTCCAAGGCAGAAGCTCCCCACTGGGCCGTGCAAGAGTTTACAGGCATAACTGCACGTGGGACCACACTAGAGCAACATGCACTTTAAAAAGCAAAATCTTTAATGGCTGATGAGAAACACCACGCACATGGAATTTAAGAGGTAAATGCATTGTGTAAATGCCAGCCATGTGCTATCTGGAATGGGAAGATTAACAGAATAGAAAGTAAACACATACTGCCTTCTGAGAGAGGAGGGGGCCAGTGTCAAGGTTGTCTGAGTTATTCCTAACCCTGTACCTTTTGTTGCATACAATTGAAGTTCTGGAATATTTTAGAACATTTCCTCCTTTTAAAAGAGGTCCTTTCACTCTGGTAGGTCACATTACAAGCCAGAGACCACAAATCTATTTCAAGTTCAATTTTTGGTTTTCAAAATTACAAATTTAATTGCAAACATTTCTCCATGGCTCCAAAATGGAGATACATGTCACATTGCTAAGAACTCTTTAGTTGTCAATATTGTGAGGTATGAATTTTGTAGTTTTATCCAGCAAATGACAATATTGCCCAATTTGAAAAAGGTTGCTTGACAACTGGAAGAAGATGTTTTGGTCAGAATACACATGTAGCACAGCAGATAATGCTTCAGAAAGGCAGGCCAAGGCTGAGCCCTTTTTTTCCCAAGAAACTTCCCCTCTGAATCTCCACCCCCACCTCCTTAGGGGCCTGGGCTGGGGCTGAAGCTCAGACATTTCCCAGACAATGCTCTGCTGCTGGACGCAAGACACGGGCAGGCAGAGTACTGGGACAGACTCAGGTCCCACCACACGTTTTATGAATTACAGTGCCTGGGAGGCATCAG
This sequence comes from Homo sapiens, assembly GCF_000001405.40. NCBI lineage: Eukaryota > Metazoa > Chordata > Mammalia > Primates > Hominidae > Homo > Homo sapiens. Next base: position 55,989,177 of record NC_000003.12, read on the forward strand.
CTTTAAGGGGAGGCAAAGGCAGAGATAAAGAAAATGTGCAGAAAGTACATAAAGATAAATGCCTGTAAAATCACTGCTGCTTTAATGCATTCCATATTGAAGAAATAAAAATCTGAATATTCTTGATGATTTAAAGGCAATAGTGTCCAGCTAAGACCTGTTTGTCCAATTAGACCATTAAGCTGTTTATATGTAAATGTTTATAGTAGCTTGTCCTGATTTTCAATTACAGTTCTGGGGGGCTGGTTTAGCATAGAAAAAATGCCATCTAAGCGTGAAGCACATCACTTTCTCTCCTGTATGCTAATAAAGAGGTAGATCTCTTGCAGCCCAGCAGCAATGCCTGCTCAGGAAGGCTGTATGCTGGCTGCTTGACTGTTTAGTGCTGCTGTACTAGCTTCTTTCTTCTGGCCCATTAGCGGAAGGGATTGTTCTCAATGGCTCATCTGTCAGCCCTGAGTTTGAATCCTGATTAGATTCTTATGAGCTCTGCAACCTGGAGGAAGTTACTTAATCTGTATAAATCATAGTTTCTCATCTGTAAAATGAGAATAATGACAGTTTCTGTATTGTGGGTGAGACTAAAAGGTACACAGTATTGCACGTCAAGTGCTTCCCAGAGTACCTGGCACACAGTGAGCATAGAATATACATACAATATACATACCCTAGTATTACAAATAAAACTACTATAATTTTTAATATTATTATCTAGGGCATCCTCCACATAGCTCACCACTTCTCAGAGCAGTGGACTAGGAATCAGGAAACCCATATTACAGTTTCACATCTTTCTGACTACAGGCCCAATCTCAGGAAGGTCATTTAACTTTTCAAGATCTCAGTTTCCTAATCAATGAAAGAGACATGATCATAACTTTCCTGTGATCTCATGTCAGTTTTTCTAAGAAAAATTTTGGTTCTAAAATGTAGTTCCAAAATAGATCCATCTAAAATCACAGTGCTCCCCACTTTTTAAGAACCAGCAGACTAGCAGAACATCCTCACATTTTAAAATTAAAACAAAGCCCTTTAAGGATTCTATTTGGGATAGTTACCTCAAAAAAAAATGAAATCCTTGACTTTACTGCTAAAATTGGTCACAATGAATAAAAATCAGATTATCATCAAACTAATGCTATTATGAAGAGAAATATTAATTGATTTGGAATTTGAATGTACCAAATATTATACCGGAAAATGTTGAAATTTTATTGGAAATTAACCTACTTGTTTAATACAGAGACAAAGTTGAGATTTTTTTTTCTTTTCTTAGAGAGAGGAATCTTGACCCCAGGCTGGAGTGCAGTGGCTCATAATTTACTGCAGCCTTGAACTCCTGGACTCAAGTGATCCTCCTGTCTCAGCCTTCTGAGTAGCTGGGACCACAGGCACACATTACCATACCCGGCTAATTATTGTAGATACAAGGTCTCCCTGTGTTGACCAGGCTGGCCTCAAACCCCTAGGCTCAAGCCATCCTCTCACCTTGGCCTCCCAAAGTGCTGGGATTATAGATACGAGCCACCATATCTGGCCTTGATAATTTATTTGTTTTAGCATTTGTTCATAATGATATACATGTTCCACTTTACCTGGGGACCAATTGCTTGCAAAGCATCATTTGAATAGGTTGTTAGAGATTCACTCACTTCTAACAAGATTCAAGGCCATGAAAGGCTAAGGACAGATGATTGCTTGAGTCCAGGAATTGGAGACCAGCCTGGGTAACACAGTGAGACCTGATCTCTACGAAAGATTTTTAAAAATTAGCCAGGTGTAGTGGCGTGCACCTGTAGTCCCAGCTACTCAGGGGGCCGAGGCAGAAGGATCACTTGAGCCTAGAACTTCGAGGCTGCAGTGAGTTGTGACCATGCCACTGCACTCCAGCCTGCACAGCTGGCAAAAAGCAGAGGCAAAATTTGAACTCAGGTCTTTCTGTCACTGAAGCCCATGATCTTTCCACAAGATGATAGAGAGCTACTCTGTGTATGTCTTGAAGTCCTTTAGGGCCTCACAAGTGTCTCGATCAAAGCTGGCTAACATTCACAGGTTTATTCAAAATTTGGTGATCTCTTCCATATGGATTGAATCTGGGAAAGACAAATTCTGCCTTACTGCTGAACCAATAAGAAATCTGCAGAGGTTATGGAGTTATGTAGGATTTTTCAGAAAGTTTTTTCCTTACATGAAGTACAGGAAAAGACATTGATAGCAAGCTTATTTTTAGCATCCACACTATACATAAATACAATACGGATATGATTTATCTGAAAATCTAAATACTCTGATGCAACACTCCCTGTTTTTACACAGAATTTGCTATCATGCAGGACCTATTCAAGTATATGTATTTAAAAGGTCCTCTTAAGAGATAAACCTCCAGGATGAATTTGTCATGATGTGCCAAGAGACATCCAAAGGATATGAGCTCCTTCCTTCTTCCGCTATCTTGAATGAAGAATTCCCAACTATATTCTTCGGTTTTTGGTGTTGGTGGTGGTGTTGTTGTTGTTTGATCAAGACAAAACTAAACCACAAATATTTACCTGTGATGGAAAAGAACTGAGGTTTTGGGTAGTCAAAGCCCCAATTTCTTACACACTTCGCTGGAAAAACGCTAGATCATGGACATCACTCAAGAAAGTTGACCACTATTTTCTTCAACACTGAAGAAGTATATAATCCCTCAGAAGATAAGCCAATTGCATTCTTAGTATTCCACAGAAACGTCATCTTTCACAGGCCATATTCCTCATTTATGACTTGTTTCTAACTTGTAATATGAATGTACAGTCCAAATCCACCACAACCGGAGATGGGCAACCACGCAGTCCATGTTCTCTCACTGCCAACAATTTATATAACTGTAAAATTTACCTCTCCAGTTCTGCGATCTTCTTGTCCTTGTCATTCTTCTCATTCTCCACCTCCTTGAGGATCTCCAGCAACCGGTCCACTTCCGCTTGGGCCTTGCCACACTCGTCGCGGTAGTAAGACGCCTCTTTATCGAGCTGTTTTATTTGGTCTGCAAACTCAGGGTTCATCCTGGAGTCATCTTCAATATTATGTGCCTTCAACATTACATTTTTAAAGAATGTAGTTAAGACAACAATTTAGAACAATAGACAGTGCTGTCACCAATGGTCCAGAAATTAACTTTGGAGAGAAAATCACCACCAAGATTTATGGGTATATTGTCAGTGAAAAGGCAAAATAGAAAAATCACACATTTCAGCTACCTTAGAAGAATGCTGATTTTAAAATAATATTAGAGTTTCACAGGGGAGTTTCTTCAATTATTGATATTTTGTTCCATTAAATGTTGCTACTTTTAGCTTTTCTTTCCACCAAAAAGTAGGGTTAGATACTGTGATGTCTTTATTCCCGGTCATTTGATAAGCAGACCTAAGACAATTCAACTCCTCACAGTTAAGGAGGTGATTCATACAAAATGCTTCCATTTCCAATACAAAGACACCAAAACAACACAATATTGGATTATTTTCCAAGAACTATCAAGGGCACATGTAAAGCCAGATAACATATAAGAGACTGATTAACTAATAATTGAACATGTCATTCCACTGAGAAATTTCAGCAGGAAATATAGTTTGAAAGGAGGCTTGGAGGTGAGGAAGGGCTTTCCAGCTAACAGTTATACCCATAAATCCTCATTCTCTTAAATAAATTTAACCTAAACCAGGAGGAGGATGAGCTAATTCATGAACAAGTACACAGACAAGAATCTGCAAACACATGCATGGGTGGGTGGCAGCTTCACACACAAGAAAAGACACAGGCAACAACACAGCAACAACATTGCAGAATAATTTGCAGCCAAAGTATTTGTGGGTTTGTGTGTGAGAGAGTGCGTTACAGCTTTTTTTTTTCCCAAAATAAACTTTTGGCTGAAATATTCCCAGACAGATAGAAATAACACTGCACTGCAATGTTTTGCCTACCCCTTGTTTCCCATTATTCCTAATTGACTTCTTCAAAGAGCAGGCAGGGAAAAAACAAGTAGTTTATACAACAGTGCACATTCAACATAGAAAGTTCAGATAAGTCATATACGTATGTATCTCCAAAATCCATGGGTGATATAATCAAATGTTAACAATTTTTAAGGACTTAAGTTTTTCTGCTGTCTTGCTACATGGAGCAGATATTTATTGTGTTTTTATATACTTTTTTGAAAATTTCAGGGAAAAAACAAGGCAAGCAAGCTACAGCTACTGTGGGATTGAATGAATCATGCATGGTTAGAAAAATTAATACTAATACTACGGTTAGAAGGTTTGACAGTCTTTGCAATGATTTAATAGAAAAAAAATTCAAAAATTAGTATAAATAAAATAAATTTCATATGACAAAATAATCATTTTAGAAATAATATTTTTGCATGTAACATATTATTTAAGCATGAGGATAAAGGGGAAAAAGTTGCTTTCATGTTCTTAAACCTAAGATTTCCTTATTTAAGAAATAAACTCAATTACACAAAAAAAAAACAAGAAAAATATGTCAATTCAACACACTATCAGGTACTGGTTTATTCCCTTTTACCAACATTTTTCAGAAAACATTTATTTTCATTTATTTACTATGCACTCTGTGTTTCATTATAATAGATTATTAAACTTTTTCAGTACAATTAAAATAATCTGAAAGAGAATCCTGAGCTAACATACCTTTAGGAGTATATTTATCTAATAATTTCATTTTAAGCTTAAGTAATGAATAAATTTCCTAATCTCCACTTTAAAAATGTAGAGCAGAAATTCTATTTTAAAAGAAAGTAACTACTCCATATACCTGCTTCTATTTGTGACAATATGAATCATTACTTTTGTTACAGAAAAGCATTTAAAATACACAGCTTTTAAATTGCTAAAGAAAAACTTCGTGTTAACCTCTCTTTCATTTTCATACTGTATTACCATTCTTTTACAGCAGTTAAAAACCTTTTCATGACATTTCTTGAACTATCCAAACAAGGCTATTAAGATTTTTAAAAAAGAATTAATGACTGAGTAATGAGCAGCTGGAAGCCCTCAAAACAAATGAATACGTATATTTTGATTGCCTGTTTCTTAGGACAGTTAAAACTCCTTTCCTGATGCTAATTTTTAAAAGTTCACAAATAGCTAGCAGTTAGTTGCTGTGGCTTATTTTGGTTGTTTTTCTTATTATTATAGTCCGTTTTTAATAAGTGGGTACAGGATTACTAGTTGCAAGACCAAGATTCTAAATCCAGTCCTGCATCTTATATTTACAAAAGATTAGGCAAATTAATTAGCCTAAAAACCATGAAAACTACAAAATGACAAACACGGGGGGAGATATTACTCACTTTTGTTTTTATTATAATTATTATTTCATAATATGCATCCCAGAAATACAGCTTGTTACTCAGCTAAGTTAATAGATTTATTTGATTTTCATTGACAAGATACTACATACTCCCTAAAAAAAAAAAAAAAAAAAAAAAAAGCCTCCCTGATAGGTTTACAGAGACAGCGTAGTCTGCTAGAGATAGGTATGTACACATATTCCTTATTTTAGCTCCATGAAGAAAAGATGATTATTCAACGCCACTTTTCAACAGTGGGTGAAATCAGATGAATTCATAGTCTTTTCAAACAAGTAAGTAAGTATGGTGAAAGGACTCATGGGATGTTTAGAAGCACAGAAAGCCTAGGAAAAAAAGTGCCTGAATCTAGACTGTACCACTGTTGACATCATTTGATGCTGAAGTTAGGTCATGTCATTAGAATGAAGACCAGAGCCAAGTTTACGACTGGCCTGGTATCTATTATTAACAGAACACACTTCAAGTGCTAATGAGACTTTTAAAATAAATAGACAACCTCGGCCGGGTGCGGTGGCTCACGCCTGTAAACCCAGCACTTTGGGAGGCCAAGGTGGGTGGATCACAAGGTCAAGAGATCGAGACCATCCTGGCCAATATGGTAACACCCCATCTCTACTAAAAATACAAAAATTAACTGGGCATTGAGGCACACGCCTGTAGTCCCAGCTATTCAGGAGGCTGAGGCAAGAGAATTGCTTGAACCCAGGAGGCGGAGGTTTCAGTGAGCCAAGATCATGCCACTATACTCCAGCCTGGCGACAGAGCGATACTCCATCTCAATCAATCAATCAATCAATCAATCAATCAAATGAATAGACAACCTCAAGAATACCTGTGAGTTAAATCTCTCTATCTCTATATCAATATCTACTGATTTTCAGGCAAAAGAACTTATGTCAAGCCACTTTCAATCTTGGTGCCAGAATTGTTGGGAGAGCTATTAAAATGTCATTTAAATGTTTTTAAATCAACAGAAAGCTTTAAGAAAAAGTCATATAAAGATGACAGGGAAACCGCTGCTTCTTGGATCATTACTAGGGTCCATGTAAAGACTCAATGAAAGAGAGTTTCACATGACTGGGAAGGCTGGTGAGTCCCCAGCTAAGCTTAGGTATTGGAGGCAAAAGCCTCTAAAGAATTTACAAAAGATATTGTACATAACCAGCTCTATTCAGCCTGAGTCACAACTTTTCAGAGGATGGGCTGAAATTTTTAACTAGTAACCAGCATGAATGTGTTCTACCATGATCTACAGACATGAGTGATTCTACACTAAATAAAATAGTGGAGGAAATTGAGCTTATTAAAGCCAATGCTTCCTTCAAAATTATGAGTCCTGAGCTTCCTCCAAAAATGGAATGAAATAAGCACTTTATTTGTATTTAGGCAATATTCTCGCCTTTTCAAATAACAACATGAGTTCTTTAATCTGACTAGCAGCTCCCGATAGAGATCAAAAGTAGGTAACAGACTTGGATCTATCATACTTTAGACACTACAGCGAAAAAAGCAGATTTGAATAAATCATGATCACAGTAAATTCCTGCCATGGCATTCTAATGCATTCAAGACATAAATTGAAAATGCACAGTAATATTTTTCCTTAAGAATATGTTGGTTTGCAATTAGCTCCCCAACAAGGTCTGGGAAGGCTTGCCCTTTCTATACTTCTAAGGAACATCAACTTTGTCCTCCTATTTTCATTAGTCAGGAATTTACCTCTTAAAAACACAAATTGGTGTGAGTTTTCTTTTGATGGTTTCAGATCTTATTTACCATGAATATAGCAAGCTCATCGTCACTTTCAAGGACATCCACCATCATTAAAACTAAAGGAATATCAATAAGCATTCTTTCATTAATATAGAGATTTAATTCCACTGATTAAACAGGTCAGTTTAAAGGCAAATCCAGGTATCCGATTCTGCTCAAAAATATTTCTTAAAACATTTAGAGCAACTCTCAAGCATCTTATAGAAACACAAAAAAATGGGAAAAGGACATTTCAGAAATGTCTGCATCGCATACTACATCAGTAAGTTTTGAGGGACTCCCAATTATATTTCTTGTATTTCCATATGTAAGGAAATGTCCCCGCAAATGGGAATAACCAAAACAAACTCTGGAGTCTCACTGATGTGGGCAGGCCTCTGGGTTTTGATGTGAACTGACTTTGAAAGCCTAGATCAGGCATTAAGAGGACTCTGACCATGGCTTGGGATGAGCAGTATATTAACTTATAGTTATAATAACCTAGTAGTTATTTTAGTGAAAGAATTTATAACTACTTCAGGAAATAAGGCAAAACTTCAGATTAATACTATATGTAAATGAAAGTTAAGAAGCCAAAAATGGCTAAAGCCAAACTATGGGGTTGTCAAGTATCAAAATCATACGTCTATTTACATTTAATCTTCTAAAGACTGGTCATTGATTATTTCCAATAAAATGGCAGTTCATCAATCCAGATCCCTAGAAAGGAAAGTATTAACTTTGGTCCAGAAACCTGCTGTGAAACAAGGCAGGGAACATTCAATTATTACATTATATAACACGTTCCCTTTGAAATAAACCCTACCAATTTTAATTAAAAATCATTTCCCTCAAAATAAACAAATAATTAATCATGACCATAAAATAAAAGCAGAATGTTAACGAATGTATTTGATGACTTTTCTTCCCTGCTGTTTCTGGGTTTTAGCAATAATTTGCTAAATTTAGGCAGTGTAGAAATATGATTTCGATTGTGGCATGTTGGTGGTTTAATGTCCATTGACAGCGCTTTAATATTCCTTTCATATCTTAACAGCAGAACAGGGTATAGAAACTATTTTGAAAATTATATTTGACTACAGTCTTCTAAAAGAATTTCAATCTTCTCATAATTCTAAGTTATAAATAAAATATTACATTTTAAAAGAAAATTTTTAAGGTGATTATTGAGTTATAATATTTATATTATATATTATATATGTTATATATAACATATTATAACTCTATAATAGACTGATATAACTCTATTATAGACTGATGAAACATACATATTATTGTTTAGAATGAAGAACCAAGGGAAGAAAAAGAACCCAACTGAAGATAACCTGCATAGTGTTTCTAATAATAAGACAAAACTCCAGGAGTAGAATGATAGTTAAGCTGCAGAAAGGTTACAAAAAAAAATTACAATATCAAGGCAAAACTTTAGGTTCCTAATTTAGAAAATTAAATTTCATTTAAAATATATCAATACCAGGCATCATTGCTGAGCCTAAATAATACATTTGGAAACTAATAATGATGTATTTTGAAATGTTATACATCTTAATTCTGTTTTTTTTTTTTTTTTTTTTTTTTTTTGTGTGTGTGTGTGTGTTTTTTGTTTTTTTTTTTTTTTTGGTAGAGATGGGGTTTGCTATGTTGCCCAGCCTGGTCTCCAACTCCTGAGCTCAAGTGATCCTCCAGCCCTGACCTCCCAAAGTGCTGGGATTACAGGCACAAGCCGCCACACCCAGCCCCTATATATCTTAGTTCTAAAGGAAATTATTCACTCACAATTCAAGCTAACTGCATTCAGAATATTCAAAAATTTGTGTATTAAAACAACCACACCAAAAAAATTATTTTCATAGATGGAACAAATAGGATATGTATAAATAAATATAAATAAATATTCTTATGTCTCTCTCTCTTTCTCTCTCTCTCACACACACACACATACACACAAAAGAACAACTGTATGCTTAATACTTCTAAAGATCCCCCAAACAAAACTGTAATTATTAATGCAATCCTTTTTAATTATGGGATTTCCTAAAATTAGCAATGTAGAGAACTGAGGTAATTATCTGGATGTCCTCAAACAAAACATGTAGCTTCAAATGTTGAGTGTTATTGCAAATATTAGTTGAGTTTTTTAGACACTGAAAGCCTGGATCAATTATAGGGTATGTGTTTGTGTGTATGCATGTGTTTACACATGCTATGTGCATGCCTGGAATTATCTCTTAAATAGTTGTAACTTTCCACTGTGCTGGGAGATAACTGGTTTAAGAGTGAGTCGAATACTTTTCAGAAATAGGCTTCAAAAATCATAAAAAGAAACTGCTATATCCAAACAATGACTGTGAAAGCATTTATAATTCAGCCCATTACGTTCCTGGGACTATACTGTCCTGTAATGACCTACAAAGCAGGACATTAACAAGATTTTTTTTCTATCTCTCTGGAATGAAACATGCCTGCTTTTTGGCTTTTGTTATGTTTTTTGTAAACACTTACGTAAAATGTGAGCCCTGCTAAATATGTGTTGAGAAGAGATAGGATTTCAAATGGATACCTACTAGGCACTGGGTACCCCAAGTGTGGGGAACATCAGAGGGGTCTCAAATGTGCCCTGGCCAACAGCAAGGTTGCACCCAGTGCCTCCAAATCAGTCATTTGCCTTTTAGCAACAAGGGTATTATATGAAGCACTAAATTGAGGGACCCAGAAGGTCTAAAGATTTATTAAAATTTTTTGAAAGACTCCCGATACCATCTCTGCATACAATGACCACAAGGGCTACAGCAAACAAGGTATTTGAGACTGATGAAACACGCATATTATTTGTTTAGAATTAAGAACCAAGGGAAGAAAAAGAACCCAACTGAAGATAACCTGCACAGTGTTATAATAATAAGACAAAACTCCAGGAGTAGAATGATAGTTAAGCTGCAGAAAGGTTATAAGAAAAATAATGATATCAAGGCAAAATTTTAGGTTCCTAAGAAATGTCATTAGATATTACTTTGTGCAATAGAGTGACTAAAGTAAAAGGAGATAAAAAGTAAAAGGTTCCTTTCGACCCTAGAAATAAAAATACTTGCAGAAGCACTTAAAAGCTTAATCCTTGTTTACTCTGACATAGTGTAGACTGTCAGACAGAATTGACTATAAAATTATCTTATTTAACAAAAAACAACTATACTATAATTCACCAAAAATTTGTTATGTGGCCATATAGAAAATAAACATACAAAAATAAAAGAAATTTCCTAGCTATGATAACTGATTAGAAAATAAAATAATAAGTATATCATTTACAATAGCAACCTAAAAATTAAATATATATAGATATGCTTAAGACTATCTTTAAGAAGAAATATCATGGGAAAATATTAAACTTCACTGTAAAAAGCCACTGGAATAAATACAAGTTGGATCAGGTTTATGAATGGAAAGAAATAATATTGGGAACATATAAATAGTTCTAAAATTATTTTATAGATTAAATATATTTAAAATTAAAATCAACAATTTTGTGTTTTAATTGACAAAGTGATCCTAAAATTTACTTGGAATGATAGAAAATTAAAGGCTAAAGACTTAAGACAAAATGAAAAGCAGAAATAATTAAGGTGTAATTTGTTTTACTAGATATTTAAAAATATAATAAAGATACAATAATTAAAATTTTGACCCAACAAATTAGAGACATCAATAAAACTGAACAGATGCTTAGAAACTAAGACACTCACCCAAATGAGAACTTCATATTCAATAAAATAGTATCAAGATCAGTGGATAAAGAGAGAATTGTTTGATAAATCATGCTGGATAATTAGTTGATAATTTAGAAAAATATAATTAGAACCTCACCTCTCAACATGAATAAAAATGAACTAAAGATGGATAAAGGGCTTAACTTGATACCAAAAGCAAAATTAAAACATTTTAAATATAGGTAAGTGAAATCAGAGAATAGTTTCCAGAATAAAGGTAGTGAGGAAAGCCTAAAGAAAAGTACAGGTCAAGAACCTAAAAATTGTTCTCTATATACATAAAAAAATTTAGGCTAAATAAAACTGCCATAAATCTGGCAAAAATTCTATATAAAACACAGAATAACTCATATAAACCAATGAACAAAACAGTAAACTCAAAAGCAAGTGCTTAACTGATTTAAACTACTTACGTAAGAAAAAATACAAAAAGCTAATAAATGTACTGGAAAACCTCAACTTCAGTAGTTATTAAAGAAAGAAAAGTTAAAAAGGCAAAAAAAAATTCCACCTAAACATGTGTCAAAGTTATGTAAAATGACAATTCTCAATGTTGGCCAGGGTGCGGCAGAAAGGCCATTTTTAATCAGTGCTGGAAGAAGCATGCTTTGGTGGAATTCCTAGGAAACTTAAGATAGTAGGAACTATTGGGATCTTTACAAATCACTGGCACAGGAAGGAGGCAAGCACGGTGGCACATGTTTGTAGTCTCAGCAACTCCAGAGGCTGAGGCAGGAGGATCCCTTGAGCCCAGGAGTTTGAGACCAGTCTTAGGCAACAGAGCGAGACTTCGTCTTAAGTTTAAAAAAAAAAAAAAAGTGATGGGGGAAGAAATTACCAACATTAGAGGAATAAGCAAATAGAGTAGAATAGTATACAATCATTAAAATAGTATTTTGGAGGAATAGTTCATTATATGAGAAAATTCTAATAATGTAAAAAAAAATAGAATAGAAACCCAAATAAACACTTTGAAGTAGAGTGTTAGATAAGAAAAAGAAAAAGTAACACAAGAGTGAGAGAAGGAAAGGAGGAATAAAGGGAAGGAGAAGGCAAGAGGAGAGAGGAAAGAAAGAAGAAAAGAAAAAGAGAGAAGAAGAACAGCAACAACAAAAAGATGTCTAGGTGGAGAACAATCCAAATGTTCCAGCAATTATTTCTGTGCCGTGAGATGTCCTGTTATTTTTTAATTTTCCTCTATAGGCTTCCATATGGTTGCAAATTCTCTACTGTGACCATATATTATTTTTACAACTAAGAAAAACATAGTCATTTTTAAAAGACAATTAAGGGTAGAAAATCCATCATGCTGCATCCCTATCAGTCCAAAAAACAATTGGACACCAAGACAGGGGGAGTTAAAATAATGAGAGTTTGGCTATATTCCCGGGATGCCAAACCAATGGGTTAGTTTAATTAACTTGAGGAGAAAAGTCAGTCAATGACTTTTGAATTAGTCACTGAAAAGACTGAAAAGTTCACGCTGGCATATTAGAGACGCACCACTGGGGTGAAGTGAAGTAAAAGTTGATGATGCCATGTCACTGATATTTCTAGAAATGGTCTAAAAGCTAACTGAGAGTTATTTCTTTGGTCCTACCTATCCTGACAGGGAGAGTGAACTCCTAGCATGGTCCTGGTATATTTTTGCTGCTGCAGGAACAAGGCTCTCCCCATCTGTCATGCACACACCCAAAACATGACATTCTTTGGTTTTCTTCCTGTTCCTAACTAGTAAGTATGAAACAATTGCAGTGGGATTATTTCGCTTATTTTTTAAACAACTTTTTTTAAACACTCATTTTTTCCCAGGGTGTTTTCGAGCTTGAAGATATTCCAGTCTTATTTGTCTTTCTTCACATCTCCACTGTCCTGAGCCTGCTTATTAGCACTTCTATTCAAATGTTAAGGGAAAAGAAACTTAAGCTGATTATTTTTTGCTTCTCTGCTAAAATCTGCATTTTGAAAAAGAGGTTAACAAAGATGCTCCAGCAGGGTTTTAGGAATTCTGTTTGCAAAAATAAAATGTGTTGTAAAGAATGGAGGGTGGAGGCTGAATCTAACTAAGTACACCTGAACATCTTGCAGATCAAGCTGTATGTATCCTGAAGCAGTGGCTTAACAAATAAAAAGTTGTGGGTGCAATTGTTTCCTTTATCCATGCTATTCATTTTCTCCATAAGGGGATTTATACATAGGAGGTGATTAGAATGCATGATAGCACAGATCACATCTGCCAAATGATAAACTCTAGCCATCTTTATGAAGTATTTTCCCAGTAAGCCACTTAAGTTCACTGAACAAAAAAGCTTTTCTTCTTTAATAAGTTTAAAAAACAAACTGCTTCATATATTAATAAATGCACACAAGTCACTAGGATAAAAAAAATTCGTGGTGGCACCTGGCTCATTTTACAAATATTTTTACTAGTTACCTTTTTGTACTCTATTAAGCTATAATCAGAATTGTTACTATCTGTTATTAGGAGACTATATTATGGTTTGTCCTCAGCCAAATGGCATGCCTTTAACTGTTACAAAATCCACAGTAATGTCAAGTATTTACCAATCTCAAAGAGCGTAACCCTGTTTTTAAATCTAAACCTGTTTTAACTTCTGTCACTTGAATAAAACAGATATTGAATTGTTTGCTATTTTACAAATGTTGTTATCCCTTTCGGCCTAGATATGCTTGTGTTTGAAGGATTTAAGGAAGAGTTCCATAAGCCTAGATCTTCAGCTGACTTTTGTTTTTCTATAGTCTTTGGGCTGAGGTTAAGAAGGAGGTAATATCAGAGTTGGCAATATTTTCTTGAGTTATTAATTTTTAAATTTCACATTCAAAAGAAATGGCAGTGGCCTCAGCACAGATCATTTCTTTTGACAGAACGGAAAGGGGAAGAAACTCAAATATTTTCAAAACCTCCCCAGTATGGCACACCGTGACTGGTGATCAATGGATCCTCATGCTTTGATATGTTACAGCGGGAACTTTCAGAAATGACTTACTGGGTTGTACATCTGATTGAACAACTGCTCAGCTTGCTACATTGCAAAGTTGGGGAGGCATTGAGGCACAGACAGGGAAAGAAGGAAAGATCCAGAAAAACAGCATTAGCTCAACAAAATCCATGCATTCGCACAGACGAGTTGGTTGTTAAAAAAGAAGAAATTTCAGTTTCTAAACATTCCACAGTGAAAGCGAGATGCTCTAGGGAAATACAAATGTTGACTTTGGCTCCTAAAAAAGAATAGCTGGAATAAGAAATGTAAGGTTTGTGTTACTTTCCCTTTCTCAAGTTAAATAACCCATGAAATAAAGAAAGCTGTCCACTTTTGATGATACATGAAGTGCTGGCCTCCAGCAATGAATCAGAAGAAGTACTTTTGGCCAAGTCTGCAATTTATTACCTGAACTTCAAAGATGGTAATAATAAAAGATTAATTAAACGTTATCATTGAATTTATAGCTCTTCTTTTACATTAACACAAGCCTGAATTTTCTATTCGGTCTATCTTCAGAAAAATACAGATCAGCAAACAGCAGGTTAGCAATAGCAAAATATCAGTCAGACTTTATTGGATTAACTTAAATGGGAAAAGAAGAAAAATTTAAATCAGCAGGACCAAAATACTGTATTATCCATTGCCTATTACCAACTTCTACTGTTGTCTCCGGATTAATAGAAAACATAATTTTCAAAGATATCCTATTATGTTCCAAGTGCTTTAGAATCTATAATGTTTTCTTGTCTATTTTGTGTTGAAGATTTAAATTTTTGTGGGTTTAAATGTGCTGAATATTATTTTAAACTGCACTCTCAACTTATATTTTCTAAATACCTGCACTATTTATCTGGGGCTCAATGTCAAGGTGTACAGGGTGAAATATTGTAGAAACTGTTACTTTGCTTTAAGCTAAGACACACTTTTTAAGAGCCTCTATTACTTTTTCCTTCAACTTGAATGAAGTAAATGACAATGTTATCATGGTTTAAAGAAACTCCCTCCTCAGGTATAATATTAATTGAAAAATTACTAAAGAGCATAAATCATATTTTGAATTGCCATTGCTTCTCAATTGATTTCTAATCACATAGGGTAAATTTACTCCCCCATTTTGAACCTCAAATACTCTTTTGAAAGACAAAATGATCCATACGTCAATTATCAGCCTCTTCTCAACTCTTGGGTGTCTACTTAAGATGGATGAATGCGCTTAATTACAAAGCACACTTATAATTTGCAATTATGCATTATTTGGTTAGTATCATTTTATCAGCCTCACTAATATCAGTAAAAATTTCCTCACACATGAACATTTATAAGTAGTGGGATGGAATGTATAAGGGAGTTCCTTTTCTGCCTATAACCATTTGTCATCACAAAGTATTGAAGGCATCTTAAATTAACACAGTATAATAAAGGGTTAAAGTAATCATGTGTCTGAATGTTCTCCACAAACTTTTATGTAAAAACTCCCTTTACCAATGTCAAGCATTGTTTACAAGACAAAAATAAGTTTAAATCACCGTTTGGATTTCATTGCCACTGGCAGACAAGGTTTCTGTTCAACGACACACATCTACAATGTTGTGTAGATTTTATAGGAAAAATACCTGGACACTCACAAACCTTGAGCAAAATTCCATTGGGAATTTTTGGTGTATTTATGACATAATAAAACTATTATGTTTTCAGCTTTCATTTAGTAAACTTTTATATTTAATTCACAAGTCACGTACCCTTTTATTTAAAAAGAGGCCCAGACACACTTAAGCTTTTATAGCTGCTTATTTTTCCATGAGTAAATGATGTGTTTATATGTATATTCACATACTGTTGGCTTATATTTTCAAATATTTCATGTAGATCTCAATTTTTTTAAGGTGATGGGTATTTGAGGTTTTTACGGAACTATTTATTAGCAGAAATTAAAGACTACTGAAAAAATATTTTAAACTTTTGAATTTAGTTAATGCTAGACAGCCAAAAATAACAAAATAGCATTTGCAGGTTAGACATAAATATATTTAAATTATAATTACCCTATTTAAACTCACTGCACTATGCATTTAGGAGATAGTATAAGCAAAGATTATGTATATACTTAGAAATAAGTTATCTTTTCATAAATGAAATAGGTCCTTTACAGCAAGACAACCATATTTGTTACTTTAATTCTAGTGACGTGGTAGAATGTTAAAATGCTGTCAGGAATAATGCTACAATGTTTACAGGATTTGGTCTGTGAATTTCAGTGTGTGGTGTCTACCTGCGAGTCAAAGGAAACCACACACTCTGAGTGATCTCAGGGGCAAACCACAGCTATGTTGAAAGAAACTATACTGAATTGCATAAATGTTGATTTATTAAACTAGTCAAGTCATTACACGAAAAGTATAAGCAACAATATGTGAATCTCTTCCTTTTAATTACTAGTGGATTTCAAATTCCCATAGATGATTTACACTAAAAAGGAAGGTGTCAAGCATGTACCTATAGAAATAATAAATGGAGCCCCCGATCTCCATAACAATGACTCATCAGAGTAGGTGGAGGACATCTTTCATGCCCAGGTCTATTTGAGGCCGTCTTTCTTCTCGACTCAGCACACTGTGACTAAGGTAAAATAATGCAGGGAATGGTCATAAGGAGCCAATGAATTTCTCTCTTTCACAAAGCTAGCTTAAAGCCTGCCTTATGATCACAAAACTTTTATTAAATAAAAAATATTCTTCATAAGTTCATCCCTTAATATGCATATCATAGATAATATTTTGAAGAGCACATTTATATAGGTCAGGAATGTATGTCATATACCCAATACATCATAGCCAAGTCAATCTCCATTTAAACACCCTCAAATGGGCAATTTAAATTCTTTTATTTATTGTTCAAGATTTCTGCTTAACTAAATATTGCTTGAAATAAGTGAGATGATGAGTGGATTGGGAAATATATTTTGCAATATAGAGATTTTCTTGCTGTTTTGTTATTAAAGGATTTGATCGGTGTATTTATCTTTTTCTGTATTAGCAAGTAGACTTTCTTAGTGTGAAATTTCTCATGACAATTTCCTAAACATCTCTGTAAAGTGAATACCATATAGTAACATTTCAGTTATATATTGCATCATACAAAATAGTATATTAAATTTTAAGATATCTAGAGTAATTCCTTCACAGATATGTGATTCCTTCACATCCTTGACCATCCATGTCATATTTTTCATAACTTTAGCCAATAAATCCCCATCCCGGTGTGTGCTATGAATTATACATAGTCAAATTGTATTATATGCTTTGATTGATTGTTTAGATTCTTATCATCTCTTTTGAATAAGTTTATGAGTTGTCAAAGGGAAACAAAATGCTTAAACTCATAATGTTATGAGTTTTATGTGAACAATGAGTGCAGACATACCAAACAACACAGGGAAAAAGTCAAAGTAACAATGCATGACTGGAAATGCACTCCACAAAAATGTCTGGGTCAGAGAAAACATGTTAATGCCGCCATGTAAATATCCTATTTCTTTTCCAAAGCCTTCTATCTACAACAAGCTTTCTTAGACAGTAAGGCCATTTTGATCAAATATAAATAGTCATTCTACAGAGATGGGACTTGACAATTTTGGTGAACTTCTAGAAAGTTAAC
Source organism: Homo sapiens (assembly GCF_000001405.40). Lineage (NCBI taxonomy): Eukaryota > Metazoa > Chordata > Mammalia > Primates > Hominidae > Homo > Homo sapiens. The sequence goes on from NC_000003.12 coordinate 56,006,750, forward strand.
AATGTCAGAAAAGCTTTTTGCAAAGTTCTGGTACAAAAAAATGACCTACATCTGAAAGTAGCAAAAGTTTATTAATATCTAATGTGGCTTCCGGATTCTGTGATTTGTTGAAAACATTTCTATTTTTCTTTGCTGATAGTTGAGATTTGCCCAGAGAGTAATGGCTGGTTTTTATAATATTTTTAACTTCTGCTACTATTTTGATCTATTTTTCAAGTTTTTCTTAAACAGGAAATCTGAGATAATTTTTCAGGTTTACAGACAGATTTGATAGACTTCTTAGCAATAAAGTTAAGAGTATTTAATTAATTCTTTTATCAGCAGACAGCAACAGATAAGGGGTTTGTTTCTTTTTAAAAACGTCTCTTCCTGTTCCATTTTATAAATTCATTTTTAAATAAGCATGATTCTTTTTCTTAGACTTCACTTACCTTTTTTAACTGTGCTTCCAATTTGCTACATTCCTCTTTCTTTTGTTCAATGGCTATTTCTAGAGATTTTAATTTGGAATCCCTTTTCAGCCCCGCAGAGGCTAATGAAGATGCATGTTCTTTGAGGTCAATTAAACTAGACTGAAAGAGAAAGAATGTGAGTGAGTAAAACACTGAAATTTCTACTAGCAATGCCTTCAATTTGAACACATTGATTCTATACATAGCAATAAAGTGTGCAGTAGACAGAAAGGGTAAATATAATCTTACTAAGGTAACAATAGTCAGCTCTGGTCAGGAAATTAAAGTTGGCCAGCTTACAGAACGAGTAGGATCTAATTGCCGTAGAATCAAATGTGACCAAATGGTGTGGTCAGTAAATGCATGTTTCACGTCTCAAAGTCATGCTAATGATGTAAGTCCCAAGGTGGTCTTTACATGTCATAGCAAAACAGACACCCTGAACCTTCCGTTTACATTTATTGCTGTCAGACTATGCAGACATTGAGACAAATACGAAAGAAAATACTGACTTTAATGCATCCGCTCCCAAGAGCAAGTCAAATATAAAAGAAGCCTCCTACTACATTTTTATCAAATCCCATTTCTTTAACAGATAAATGATCAATGGTTTTACAAACATCTTCTGGAAAATTAACATAAAATTATTTTAAAATTTAGAGTAAATTTTATGTTTGCGTCCTTTGCAATCTAGATTTGACAGATATGATGAATCTTTCCAACTCAGACATAGGGTTACCTAAATTGTTCCAGTCACTAATCATGTCCAGAAACCAACAGGCTCCACATATAGTTTGAATTCCAAAAACTACAGAAATAAATAACTTGCATATATCACTGAACATAACTTTGCAACCTAAAAGAGCAATGTTTGTCATCAAATATGAAATAGCAACATCTAACTATGTGACTCAGATGTACAGGTTTTACCCCAAAACAGACTCCATGTATTTCCTTCTTGATCATTTGCATCACCTAGGAAGATACTAAAGACACAATGGTCTCTCTGTAAACAACGTTGGCTAATAATTTACACTGGGTTGCTTCATGGACACTGGAATAACCTTGATGATAAAAATCACCATCATCCAGCAAGGTGCTTCTAAAGCCCTCTGGGGAACAGGTGAGCCATTCTCATTCTTCACATCAGGAAACTGAGGCTCACAAGAGCTGAGCATCTTGTCAAAGATCACTTAGCTAGTAAAGGCAGATACAGGTCTCAAACCCAGGTCTACAATTCCAATTTCAATGACTTTTGTCATATCATTCCCACAGAAATAACAAAGGATATTATAATCCAGTCACTTTGTCATGGTGAAGACATATCTTCACTCCAATTAAATTATAAGCTCCCTGCTGACGGCAACTGCATATTGTTTTCCTTTATAAATTTTAAATTGCCAGATGCAATAGCCAGTTTTAGTCAACTTGGCTAGGCTCTAGTCCTCAGTTATTAATCTAGGAGTTGCTAATAGAAGGCATTTTGTAGACATGACTAAAATCTACCATCAGTTGACTTTAAGTAAAGGAGATTATTCTCAGTATTCTGCATGGGCCTGATCCCATCAAGTGAAAGGCCTATGAGCAGAATTCAGGTTTCCCTGAGGAAGAACAAATTCCACCTATTGATTGCAACATCAGCTTCTGTCTAAGACCTTCCAGTCGGCTTTTGCTGATGGCCTGTTCTGCGAATTTTGAAAATGCCTAGCCTCTGTAACTGTGTAAGCCAATTCCTTATGATAAAGTTCTTAATCTGTAGAAAATGTTTAACGTGGTTCTGTTTTTCTTGCAGAACCCTGACTGACACACCCAGCCCAGTGCCAAGCACATCATGCAGAAACAACAAGTGTTTACCAAAATGTCTATCTGAAAGTCATACAATGTTGGCATTATTTACAAAACTATTTTCACTTACAGCTTATGCTCCACCACTTCATCAAGATCTCTTTTCATTAGAAGTATATACATTGATTTTAAGGTGCAAACCGACAAATAACACTTGCAACCGGTGAAGAATGCTATAAACAAAGTCAAAGCTTCCATATCTTCTGTCGCATACAAACAACAGTCATCACAGATCCTCCAACTCAGAATCAGCAGTGGAAGCTAGGAAGAGAACTCCATTCTTTATATTCATAACAAAGAAATAAGCTCCTTTCTAAAAAGCAAGTAGGTTTAAATTTTAGGAAATACGGATTTTCTTTCTGATTTTCCTCGAAACTCCTCTTACTCATCCATTCTTTTCCTTCTTCATCTAGATTCCTAATTTATTCAGGACTTTAGTTTGTGTGGAATTATCAGTACCACACGAGTGAGGAAATACTGCGGAGCTAGGAGATAGATAACTGTGCTGTGGTACCGTCCAGCAGGGTGAAAGGTCTATAACAGCTCTAAAGAAGATGGACAGTTACAGCAGACAAAAGTAAGTGTGAAGGGGCCAATTGCAGGCAATCTCCACGCATCTCAGAGCTGTGAGGATTAAATAAAATAATGTGTAATTACTGCTGCTCATACTTCTCCACCGAACTATCCCCAAGAAAACTGAGAGGGTTACAGGGATCCCTTGAAGAATGGGGGAATAGCCCAAAGCATCCTCTTCATAACCCCCAAGCAAGAATTTCTTCAAAGTATAAGATTTTACTTTAAAAACACAGGTGGCATTTATATTCTGTATTCATGTTTGCTATGGTATAAAAATACAGCTCTAAATTATTTACTATAATGTAAAAATAATATGCCAGAAGAGCAGCCACACTTAAGCTCTACCTTGGGGTCCAGCATGGTACCACATCTCCTAATCTGAGAGTATTGGGTGGTCCCTTTGAAAAGTACAGATGAATGCAAAGCACTTGACACAAGGAATAGTACATAGCAGACACCCAATAAAGTAGAGCTATTGTTACTATCATCATCGCTGCTGTTGTTATCTCAAGCAAGGGATCATGGGCCTGTGAAAAATACAGAATCCTTTAAGCTGTGCAAATGTGGTAAGACATAAAGAAAAGTTTCAAGGAGCTACATTGTATATGGTTAGCAGAGCAGAGAAGATAGGCATAGGGCATCACAGATGAAGGAAGTTACAAAAAAAAAAATTCCTTTAAATTCAGGCAGCTTTACAAAAGAAAGGTTACTACATTCCCCAAGCCTTCATACAGTGCCTCCTACTAAGTCTCTAGTCTCTTGCAGCTTCATTGAATATGGGTTTATGAGGACTATCAATGTGGTTCATTTGTTTTTCCAGACTCACCTCTTTCTCAGTCAGTTCAGCCTGTAAAGCATTGACCTTCTCTTTCAGGTCTTTGTTCTCTTTTCGGAAGGATTCTATCTCTTCTAGTCTTTCCCGATCATCTCTTTCTCGCTGTTCTTTCAAGCGCTCAATTATTCTCTCCTGTAAGGCAATTAACAAAAAAGAAGAGGTGAGAACCCATCAGTGTATATGCCAAAGCATACTGTAAAAGAAAATAAGAGGCAGTACATCTAAGAAATGCTGTACAGGAATCAACACACACAAGAAAATCAAAATTGGATTCGTGGGGAGGCTGTGCATAACAGCACTTGGGAAGGACAACCAATAACAGCTTTTGACTTGTTAATAAAAGTTAATATCACAGGGTTGCAAAGGAACGTAATGTTCAAGTTCTGTGGTTGCTCTTGGTTCATGGTAGTATCCAGCAAATTTCTAGAGCAGCTCTAGAAGAGGGAGCTTCAGACACCAAGACTCCAGACCTACCACAGCCTTGCACAGGAAAGGGGAAGAAGTAGAACATGCCTCTTGGCTCCGCCCTCTTTGCTTAGCCTCTCCATTTGTCATCAAAGAGCCTTCATTGGTTTCTGAAGACTGTTCTCTGGCTAGATGGGAATGAAGTGGGGCAGGACCCAAACCCTCCAGGACTTAGAGCTGGGACTCATTGTGAGAACTTGAGACAAAGAATCAGTCCATTGTGTATGTGATTTTCCAGTGTGTCTGAGGATGTTTACTTCTGTGTTTTTTCAGTGGTTTCTTGATAGTCAGCAGAGAATCCAAAACACTGGCTGAGTTTGAACGAAGTTCAGCAGCAGCTTTATTTTATTGAGGGCTTACTACATGCTAGGCACTGTGATGTGCTCTCCTCATCAGCCCTCATCACAAGCGCAAGGGCAGATCCAGTGCTCTTGGTGACGGTGTAGAGGTGAGGAAACCCAGAGCTCCGAGATGCAAGGTGGCCCAGGTCATAAACAGAACGCCTCCCACATCCCAGGCTCTCTGACTGTCAGCCACACCCATGAGACCACACTGCCACAAACATACACCTGGAGCCATTCAAGGAGGTCTGCCTTTGACTTTCACACTGAAATGAAAACACTGCTTTGTAGACTTGTTTTCCAAAAATAGGGAATCTGCCTGATATCAAAGTAAGAAACTTAAACACACACACACACACACACACACACACACATGCACACGAAAATTCCATCTGCGTAAAGCTTGAGTTAGATTTCTGAAATTAGTTTGAAATTATCCAACACATATCTAAACTTCCTCTCGGATGGCCATGTTAAAAAATACTGGTGCAACAACTGTGGCCAAGGATCCTGATACTATCTTTTATATTCTTATAATTGCATAGTGCAAGACAATGCCTGATAAATAAGACAACTGTAAAATAGTATTTAATGCAGAGGGAAGTTAGTTTGAACAGTTAGCCTGTGATTTAAGATCCCCCGAGGAAGCAACTGTTCTACCCCACTGACAATAATTTATATATCTAATGCTTTCAGCGGAGGAGGTACCATTACTATTTTCCAATTATTTAAAAACACTTTAAATGAAATATATTATTATAAGAGAGGAGGCAGAAATATAACAAATGAAACTATTAATTGCCTATATTTGTTTCTTCTTGATCCCAGACCTAGTTTACCTACCTGTGACAATGGTGAGTGGATGACTATGTGATCCACAAGAGAAGGAAATGGCCACAGTACATGGTCAATCTCTCAAGGGTTTTTAATGATTTCAGCAACCAAGACCTTGCTGCCTTTTGCCCACACTACAACCAATTACCCAGCCACCTCTCCGTCCCATCCCTTCCACTACATGGCTGTTGGAGCGACATTTCTAAAGCTCCAAAAGGACCTGTCGTCTCACTATTTGGAAACCTTCCCAGGAATCCCTCTGGCTGGATCACGTGGCACTTATTCCCACTCGGCAGCCTTCACGTGGTTTCACTGCATGATCATCCTCCCAGCCCCACTTTCAAGAGGGCAGCACTAAAATCCTATGAGTCTTCTTGACCCACAGCTGGGCAAATCATCTGGCATACAACAAGCAATTAAAAGAGCTGAAGGAAGGAAGGAGAACTCAATTAGGGATCATCTTGGCTTCAAAGAAAAGGTAATAAAATTAAGCAGACATGTTAACAGCCAGAAGGTGTCAGAATCGTTTGGAAAGTAGGTCGATTTGCTCTAAGCACTCGTACTATTGACTGGGCATTGATGACAAAAAAAATCAACAAGCACTATAATGTTTTTAAGTGTTATTGATGATTCAATACTACAACATATTTCTCCGTCAATCACAAAACCAATTTAACTGTCAGCCGCGCAGGGCCAGATGTCAAAAACATGTGTTAAAAGGCCCTAATATACCATGATGTACTTGATTAAAAACTAACTTGCAGAAATTCCAACAATGTGTTCTTGTTTTAGTCTTATTTGCATTGGCAAGCATTCCTTGTGCACTCATCTGGCTCTGCACAGGTCTAATCTATTTGTGCTTTATCACAGGGTGGGAACTAAATTACAGTGGCCTCCAGCTCCACTATCTGGCTTTCTCAACTGCTTATCTGCTATGTGGCTACAGCAAGGCTTTGCGAGACCAGCTTTATAAATACAGTGGGTTCCATCTCTTGAGCTTCTGTGTGTCAATCCTAGAACCAAGTCATATTCAATCTTAACTCACGGAGAGGCATTATTCTTTGCACTCTGTTAATAGTTGAATAAGTTCCTGGAAAGTAAAAGGAATAACATACTCCCTAGGATGCCATAATCCAGGGGAAATGGTGAATACTGCCTGATGGATTCTTTTCATCAGCCAAGAGACAGCAAATAATTAAATGTACTTAAAAATTCATGAGTTTTTATTAATCATTTTGTTTCACAGCATGCCTTGTTACAGGGGGATTTGTGCAATTAAATGTGGATAAAAATGGGACTTGTGAGCAAAACTCCATTTAAAGAAGATTGTGATGTTGCCAAAAGCACAAAGATCTTTGAGTTTTAGTCTTATTCTATCACCTGTGAGCTACTGGCCTTGGGATAGTCCAGAGGAGGCAGCAAAGTCTCAACGAAGGACCAGCTTAGACAGGGTGGAAACAGCTTCCAGGAGCGGTGGGTTGAGAAGTTAGCATGTGCCATGATTAATTAATGATGTCTCTCTAGGCCCAGAAATGGGGGATGATGCTGTACATGTCGATATTTTTATTTCTGGGCAAATCATTTCACCTCATTGAGCCCATTTCCCATCTTAAAATGGAAGAGCATAGATTTAGTGTTTCTCAAAGTGTAGCCTTCTGACCACTTGGATCAGAACCCTTCGGTATATTTAAAAATCAGAGGTTCCTGGGCTCCACAGCAGAGCAGCTGAATCAGAATCTCTAGGAAATAGGACCCAGGAAACTGTATTTTAAGAAACCTCCTAGATGATAAGATTATTTGGATATATACAAAGGTTTGATGCATACTGGAATACTTAGAATAAATCTTCTATTATTTGTCCTAAGATAGAGAACCTTGCCAGTTCCTATCCAACGGTTTTATCTGTGCTTTCCAAATACATTAGGCATTCTGATTTTGGCACCTTTAAAAAATTCCCTCCACATCCATTGCTCTATATCTGCTTTTATTCTTCATCGCTATGAAAAGTTAAAAAAAAACAGATGCAAACAGAGTTTGGAAATAAATAGCTCACAAAGCTGGTACATAGAGCTCTTTTGTTTGACTTGAGCATCATAATTTTTAAAAATCTGAACTTGAATGTTTTGAAATAGACCAGGGATCTGCAGCTTACCATAGCTACCAGTAGTCCCTACTACACTTCAGCAAAGCCACATCCCTCATTTTTGTTCCCTCCCTGGCCCTTCTAGTCGTCTAAGTTCTCAACTCCTCATCTGTTGTCCAATTCAGATGCCATGAGCCTGAGATTGCAGATCAGCAAACTGAATAATTCATTGTCAAGGGAGTTCCAGGACAGCATGAAACTTAGAGGTCAGCTAATAAAAATGTGTATTTTGAAGATGAGGTACTGAGACGCTGAGAGAAGAGGCTTGCCCAGGTGATGCAACTGTCAAGCAGTAAAGACAGTCCAAGGGGCCAGACTCCCACAGACCTCAGATTCCTTCCCAGACACCCCCTCAGCCTCAAAGGAAGTACTTAAATAAAGGGAGTAGTTTCAGATTTGGGAATTACTTTGGGATTTAAGCTAGAATAAATCAAATCTTAATAGGGTCCAGAAAAAAAAATAAAATCCTGCCAAGAATTCATGACATGAAAAATTATATGGTATATGTTTACTTCTGTGAATTTTAAGAAAGAAATCAAGAGGTAGAAATAGGGTGATATCATACAACCCAAATATGCTAAATGAACACATAAGCAGTAATAGTTTTTGAACAAACATCCCCTCATTCCAATGTTACAAATAAAACTACTGCAGAGAGCTCTGGAAATAAATTATTAAAAGATGAAAAGAGAATATCTCTCCCCAAAAAGTCATCTTATTAAATATTCTTATAAGCTTTCAAGTAAAACCTTATCATTCTTATAATTTAATCCTGAAGTTATAATCTTTCAATGTTTAAATTGTTACAGGATTTATAACTTTATTAACCAGCAACTGTTTCTCCTCCATGGTTTTTTTAGCAAAATTAATTTGGAAATACATACTAAATATGATGTCAAATAAGGTAACTCAATGTCAAAATGTACATTCTTTATCTTACAAAAGCCTCATTTTAATTGTTTGCTATATTTTATTTTATTTACATTCTGGGATACATGTGCACGATGTGTAGGTTTGTTACATAGGTAAACGTGTGTAATGGTGGTTTGCTGCACCTATCAACCCATCACCTAGGTATTAAGCTCAGCATGCATTAGCTATTTTTCCTAATGCTCTCCCTCCCCCGACCCCTTCCAACAGGCCCCAGTGTGTGTTGTTCCCTTCCCTGTGTCCATGTGTTCACATTGCTCAGCTCCCACTTATAAGTGAGAATAGGCAGTGTTTCGTTTTCTGTTCCTGCATTAGTTTGCTGAGGTTAATGGCTTCCAGTTCCATCCATGTCCCTGCAAATAACATGATCTCATTCCTTTTCATGGCTGCATAGTATTCCATGGTATATATGTACCACATTTTCTTTATTCAGTCTATCATTGATGGACATTTGGGTTGGTTCCATGTCTTTGCTATTGTGGATAGTACTGCAATGAACATATGCATGCACCTTTATAATAGAATGATTTATATTCCTTTGGGTATATACCCAGTAATGGGATTGCTGGGTCAAATGGTATTTGTTGTTCTAGGTCTTTGAGGAATTGCCACACTGTCTTCCACAATGGTTGAACTAATTTAGATTCCCACCAACAATGTAAAAGCATTCCTTTTTCTGCCCAGCCTCACCAGCATCTGTTGTTTCTTGACATTTTAATACCTGCCATTCTGACTGGCATGAGATGGTATCTCACTGTGGTTTTGATTTGCATTTCTCTAATGATCAGTGATGTTGAGCTCTTTTTCATGTGTGTTGGCTGCATAAATGTCTTCTTTTGAGAAGTGTCTGTTCATGTCTTTTGACCACTTGTTAGTGGGGTTGTTTGTTTGTTTCTTGTAAACTTGTTTAAGTTCCTTGCATATTCTGGATATTAGACCTTTGTCAGATGGATAGATTGCAAAAATTTTCTCCCATTCTGTAGGTTGTCTGTTTGCTCTGATGATAGTTTCTTTTGCTGTGCAAAAGCTCTTTAGTCTAATTAGATCCTATCTGTCAATTTTTGCTTTTGTTGCAATTGCTTTAGACATTTTCATCATGAAATCTTTGCCTGTGCCTGTGTCCTGAAGGGTATTGCCTAGATTTTCTTCTAGAGTTTTTACAGTTCTGGGTTTTACGTTTAAATCTCACAATTTTTAATAGGACCATGAAGACTAGCCCTAGAGTCATGGGTCTTTTTGTAGCTTCCTTTTTTTTTCTTTTTTTTTTTTTAATAACTTTTTAATTTAACTCCAAAAATATGCTTACCCATCTTTTTAGAGCTCCTAGGTTTTTATCATAGAGCCTTGGTTCTCAGACTAGAGTTTACATCACGATGACTTGGGGAACTTGCTAAAGTGCAGATTCCCAGGCCCTATGAGGTTCTGATTTGGTAGGTATAGATGGGGCCTAACAATAGAGACTTTCAACAGGAGCTTCCTGGTAATTCTGAAGTAACAGAAGAGAAGCCTCCTTTAGGATACACTGGCCTAGGAAACCCATGGGCATTTAATCTAATTCCCCCATTCATCAAATGGGAAATTTGAGGCCCTGAGAGAGGCAATTACTTGCCAGGCTCACCCAGTTAATTAATGGCTCCCCAGTTAATTAGTGGCTTAGGTGGGACTGGCCCCTAGGTCTCCTTCCAATTACTTCATTACCCCAGAGTTTATAGGCTACTGTAACAGGGAATATAGGAGATAATGCTATTACTCTAGTAGGGCATCCCAGAGGAAAACCCTCACAACATCCCATGCATGTGTGGACAAATCCTGCAAAGTGCTGCAGGATCAAAAATGATGGGAAAGATGAAGAAAAAGAACATAATAAAATCTACTCCCACACTTCAAAAGTTAACATTTCTTTTCTTGGTTTCAAGCTAAATTTGAAAATAATGCCAATAACATGGGCCTAAAAACTGCGCCAGCACTTCCATGTCCAACCAACAAACAAGCCGTCCCTCCTGAGAATTCCTAGAGAACTTTACCTGCACTGGCTCTTTGACATTCAGGAAGTGTTGGAGGAGAGGAGAGAGCATATGCAAACTCAACTCCAGGGTCTGATACCTACAATAGGTGCCCAGAGAATGAATGAACTCATTTAGCCAGAATGAAATGGACTGGAAATCATTTTAAAAGTAAGTAAACATCAGAATGAGCTGTTTGCCTAAAGGATTTTATTCATTCATTCATTCTTTTATTCAAATTAATCCCCTTAAATGTAAGTCAGAAGGAAACCCTCAGGATGGCATCCCATCCCCTTCAAAGTAAAAGCCAATTTTTAAAAATCTTGTCTCACAAGGGCCTGTGAAATCTGCTGCCCTTCCTCTCACCCACACCCTTGTACTTGCTCTCCCCTCTGCCAGGGCTTTCTCCCTCCACAAGGGCTCCTGGCTCACCACTCACTTTCTTCAAGTGTTTCCTTAAGTGTCACCTTCTCAGCAAGCTCCTACCTGGCCATTCTACTCCAGCACTCCCTGTACCCCTCCCTGCCTTCTCTTCTTTTGTAGAAAATATTACCCTCTGAAATCCTAGGAATGTCACGTATTTATTGTCTGTCTCCCCATCACCTCCACTAGAGTCTAAACTCCATTAGAGCCAGGATTTTCACCCATTTTCTTCTCTGCTGCATCCCAAGGCTCAAAAGAGGACCTGTCACATGGTGGGGGCTCACTCCACCAGTATCCAGTACTGAGTGAGCATCCCCAATGCAGGTTATGCTGGGCACAGGGAATGGAAAGATAACACACACATAGCATATGTTTCTTGGGTTTGGAGTCTAGCAGAGAAGAGAAATTAAAAACAGATAAATGAACAATTAAGAATGTGACATGAGCTCTGGGGAGTTTGTGGTGTTCCTGAGACATAACGGGGATACCTAGGAGGTGTCCCCAAGGAAATGATAAAATAATAATAATAGTGATAACATTACATCTACTATTCTAAACACATTCCATATTTTCATGCATTTTCTCCTCAATATAATCCACTGAGGTGGCTACTATTATTACCCTCTTTTACAAATGAAGAAACTGAGAGGTTAAGTAATTTGTCCAAAGTAGAAAGTATCAGACCTAGGATTTGATCCCAGGCAGTCTAGCTCCAAAGTCCACATTCTTGACTACTGCACAATACAACTTCTCATGAAGCTGACCTCTCAGAAGAGGAGGAATTAAATTAGCAGAGAGTGAGGAATATCCTCAGCTGGGGAATAGCATCTGAGGCAGGAAGGAGTATGGTACAGTTGAAAATCTAGAAGCCCCACATAACTAGGGAACAGAGAACCTGGAAAAAGAGAAATGGGGGATGAGGCTGGAAATGAAAGAAAGAATGAGGGAGGGAGCAGGCACACAGAGTGGGGGCTTGCCAGATCAGATGGGAGAAGGGACCCTGGGGGCCAGGTAGAGGATTTCAAATTATATCATCGTAAGAGCAATGGCAAGCTAGTGAAGGTTTTTAAGGAAAGCCAAGAGTGATGTAATCAGATTTGCATTTCAGAAAATGCCCCTGACTGTAGTATGCCAAGTCCACTGAAGAGGGCTTGTGTGGGAAGAACAAGGACCAGCTGGGACTAAAGGTAGTGTTAGCAAAAGAAGAAAAGCAGGCACATTTAAATGCATTGGGATCAACTTTCCCCAACTCTGTTTCCCCATATCCTGATTCCCCAGTTTTTGAGTGCATGCTCACCTTCTCTGACAGAGCTTCCTCTAGCGTCGCCAGTGCAGTATCTGTATTACTGGAATCCGTCTGCAAGGACTTCACTCTGTCTTTCAGGTTGGTCAGTTGCTTGTCTTTATCCCTAAGTTGTTCTTGCAAGTTTTCAATCTAAAAATAAAAATCAATATTTTAATGCATATTTGATTACATATCCTAGGCCAAAATTCCTGAAGTGGATCTATTAATAAAAAAAGAAAGAAAAAGACCTGAAATGATAGAAATTGTCAGTAGCTTTGACTTAGACAAAAGGCCATTTTGATGAAATCTTCATTTCTCCATTTAGTTCAAGTCTGTCTTTAAATGGTGATACAGAGGAGCAGAGTATCTCCCTCCATACAACGGTAAGCCCTTCTGACACGTACGTAATCACTATTATTTCTTTGTATTTCTATCCCTTTTACCAGCCTTTTAGGTCTCAAGTCGATAGGCTTGAACTTGGTACACTGAACCAGGGAAATATTATGCAAGATTAATTCATTGATTAAACAGACATTTACTGGAGAGCCCATTCTGCACCAAGTACCATATCAGTATATGGCAGATCCCATGTAGCCATTCACTTACTCCTTTATTTCAGTATTAAAGTTTGTGATATGCCAAATGTTGTCAAGTGGCTGTTTCAAAGTAACCACATGAAAAGCCAAGTAGGTTATCACCAGCAGACTGTTAATGGGAAGAACTTGTGATATAAGTCAAATGTAACAAGTACTAAACACTCCATTTGGCAACTAAGTCATGTGCTGGCAACCAACCAGCCACTTTTATCCACTATCTGCAGCCTGAAATAAACACGCCAAATAGCCGATTACAATGCCTGTCCAGGAGCAGCAGCAAGGACTTTCTCCTGGGCATTGAGGACATTATCATTCATGTTTTTATTCTCTGCTTTCAAACCATGTATTTCTTATCTAAGGATTTAAAAAAGCCCCACTATACAAACAATTTATTCGTATTAAGGGTTTTAAAATGACAAGGAAAAAAAGCAGTACAACTCTAAGATAAGTCCATTCAAAATATTTGCATTCTGCACCCAGCTTTCTCAGGGAATCATTCCAAAAGTATGTTTCACAATGTACACTCAAACAAATTTTTTGATTACTTGATTCCCTTAGCATGTATCTGGAATGGTAATCCAAATAATAATAATAGTAATCCCAGTAGTAATGAGGAGGAGGAGATGATTACAATGACAATGGAGGTGGCAGCAGTAGCAGCGTCAAAAACAGCTCTGGATGCAAAGACAATGGCTCTGCTGACCTTCAATCTGGAGGACATGGTCTTGGCTAATTTTTTCAATGGCCACAATGGAAACCCGTAAACTTTGTGGCCTAACAAAGATGAAATTTTTTTTCTTTCCTTCCTTTCTTCCAGCCTCCTTCCATCCTTCGTTCCACCTTTCCTTCATTCATTTTTTTTTCTTCTGCCTTGAGATAGACAGCTTAGAAACTCAGGTTATAGGTCAAATAATTATTCTTTTCCTTCATCAAAATGTAATGTGTTCCCATCCAGCTGCCACTGTGAAAATTAATTGCCACTCCTTGGAAAACACAGCAATTCAGAAGGCATAATCATCTCCAGTCAAAACAAAGGCTTCCTCCCTTCCAGACAAATGTTCACACAAAAATACACATAAGTAAGAATATGGATGGTTATATGTCAGAATGATACTGGTTATATGGAAGAAGCCAGCAGCTGAGAGGACTGACTCTTGGAAACAGTGTATGTTATTACTTTGAATACACCCATGGATACATTTGTGTACACACATGTACGCAAATCCACCGTGGTTCTGAATACACTGATTAGACCCACTGGCCCACCCTGGCAGACAGTGCCCTGGGCATAAGAGGAGGACATCAGCCTTGGGGCAGTAGTAGGCAGCAATTTCAAAGGACTTTGGGCACGAGAAATAGAGACCAAAGGAAAAGTGGCTGTGCACTTATGTCATAATCCCTGGGGCCTCCTCATATAACTGGAAAGACTAGGGAGACTGAGGGTCAGGGTCCTACTGGCATGCAGGTAGGGGTCAAGAGCTGAAGAAATAGGGATGGTGGAGACTGGAGACATGCGATCTGTTTATCTCACATCTAAGAACCCAGCAGAAGAGCCAATGATACTGCAGGTGTGACTGACTAACAGAGCTGGAATTAAAGATGTATTTATTGAGCTAGGGATGCACCACTTTAAGAAATGCTGCAAAAAGATCACCAAGAATGACTCTTAAGAGAAAAAAATAAGGTACAGAACAGTGTGTAGCATATAATCTCTTGCATAAAATTTGAAACATCTATAAACAGATAAATATATCTGGAAACAAATCACAAGAAATTTTAACTTTTGTAGGGTAAGGTCTAGGAGGCAGAAGGAAGAAGGAGTTTCTGGTTTTCATCTTTGTACATTTGTGTAGATTTCTGCTTGAATTTTCTAACCATGTGGGTTTTATTATTTTAAAATGTCAATCAGGGTTATCCAGCTGGTAAAATTATGGGCCATTTTTGGTTTATATTTATACATAAAAATAATAAATACTATACACATGAGTAAATAATAATTTAATAAATAAAACAAATGCCTACTTAATACTAAATTGTCCAAGTTGCCAGCAGTTACAGATTGTTGGCATATTTATTTATTTTTTTAATGGGAGCTAAATTTTTTAATTTTAGGTTTGGGGGTACATGTGAAGGTTTGTTACATAAATAAACACGTGTCAAGGGGGTTTGTTGTACATAACATTACATTGCCCAGGCATTAAGCCCAGTACCCAGTAGTCATCTTTTCTGCTCCTCTCCCTCCTCCCACCTTCCCCACTCAAGTGGACCCCAGCGTCTGTTGTTCCTTCTTTGTGTTCATAAGTTCTTATCATTTAGCTCCCACTTATGAGTAAGAACATGTGGTATTTGGTTTTCCGTTTCTGCGTTAGTTTGATAAGGATAATAGCCTCCAGCTCCATCCATGTTCCCGCACAAGACATTATCTCATTCTTTTTTATGGCTACATAATATTCCATGGTGTATATGTACCACATTTTCTTTATCCAGTCTGTCATTAATGGGCATTTAGGTTGATTCCATGGTTTTGCTATTGTGAACAGTGCTGCAACGAACATTCACATACATGTGTCTTTATGGTAGAATGCTTTATATTCCACTGGGTATATACCCAGTAATGGGATATTGGCATATTTAAACCATGGCCTATTATGCAAGTATTTAAAATCCTGTTTGCATAGCATTGCTAACTAAATGAAAATAGTAGATCTTTAAAAAGCAGAATGTAAAATAGTATGGCATTAATTTTGTAAAAAGAAAAAATTATTGCATAGAACAAAAATATAAGGAATCTACTAAAATGTTTTATTTGGCAATGGGACGACTGATGATTTTACTTCTCCTCTTCATGCTTTTCTGCATCTGCCAGTGTGTTTTCATTGAGTGTAAACAGAATAAAAAGATATTTTAAAACCAACTACAAAATATCAGAATGGTTATTTAAGTGACTTTTGAACAATAAGTTTTTGCTTTTTAAAAGGACTCTGCAGGAGAAAATAATCCTTTCATACTCCAAAGATGACTGAATTCTTAAAATTTAAACTTAAAAGACTGGAGAGAATATAAAATTCTGTATCTTTTAAAAAAAAGTACTGCACAGTTTTCTCATGTTCACAAATTGTTATGACATTTATATGAAAAATGTTGGGAACCTTTTTCTTCAAAGGGTGAGGTTGTGCAAGGCTCAAATAGCAGGAATTGGAAAATAAGCAAATTGAAAACAAGGGTTAGGATGGGAAGCCTTGGGGGTGGAAAGGGAAGGGTTTTTTTGAGAAATTTCATATTGCAGAATTGGACACCACCTTAGCAACACAGACAACAAAGTATGAGATAGGCCTGAGTACAAGGGAGCTAGAGAGAAACCCTGCCCTTGCCTTTGACTTGAGCTGCCTTCTGGTCATGGCTGGGAAGATTCAGAAGGAGCCAGTACTGCTGAAGCAATAGCTATGCCTTCTGGGGCAGAAACCTGGAAAGGGGGTAAGAGAGGAGGAGAGCTCAGACCCTGGAGGTCACTTGACAACCCTAATCCTAATGGCTTTAGCTGACTTCTGAAGCTCTGCCCAAGAATTAATGGGGTCCTTAACTCTGGGCTTGCAAAGCCTGAGATGGGCCAATGTTCAGCAGGGGAGCTTTGTTGTGAATTTCACACAAGTGTAGTCCTCAGCACAAAAGGGACCATTGACTAACAGCCACAGCCTCCTTGACTCCACATTTGCTCCTCCTTCCATTTGGTCTCCATGCTGCAGTCAAAGGTAACCTTCCCAAAATGCAACTCTAACTGCATGACTTCCTTCCTTAGAACCCTTCAATGGCTCCCATTGCCCCCCACATAAAGCCCAAACTCCCTGATATCATACATGAGGCCCTCCGAGGGATGGTCCGTGTGATCTTCTACAATCCCTCAGCCAAGCCCTGGCCCTGCCGAATCACTAGTGCTATTCCCTAGCACGAGGATCTCCTTATATCTTCCCTATCTTTGCCTATCTATTTCCTTTTCTTGGAGCCCTCTTTGCACTCCAACTGTTCACCTATTCAAGCTCTACTCAAACCTTTAGATATCAGCACACTCCTTGCCTCCTTCAGGACTCCTTCTCCAACCCCCTAAACCAGGTTAAGTCCCCTAATCTGCATTTTTCATACACTATTAAAATTGCTTCCTTACTTATCTATTTCCACAACTTGGCCATGAGCACAATGAAGACAAGAGCTCTGTTCTACTCACTGTTGTATCTCCAGCTGCAGCACCCAATTGTTGGCAACACCCCACATATTAGCTTACTGAATGAATGAAAAAAGGAATGAAGGAAGGAAGGAAGGAAGGAAGGAAGGAAGGAAGGAATTCTAAAGAAAGTGGCTTGTGTAAAAGGAAGAGGCCAGAGTAGGTGACGGCTGAGTCCCTTCAGCTCCGAGATTCTACAAAGAAGTAAAGAAGTAATAAAAAGTGATGGAGAAAGTCTATACATAGCTTAAAACAGAGGACCTAAAACATACTTAGGCATCGTTACAGTTTCAAATATACCCAAATGTATCTTTCTGGTAGTTTTCATTATAAAATTCCAAAATTCATTCACTAATAAAATTTATCTTCTCTCTAAGATTTGTCTCTGGATTTTGTATTACCCACACCTAGAGTATCAGTTAATGTTATTAGCTAAAGCAACAGAAACAGCTCAGTCTGATTTAAGCAGAAAAATGGGGAAACTCACAAAACTGCCAGAAAGGCTAGAAAATCAGGGTCAGGGAAAATAGTATAGAATTATGCCCAGAGTTTTGATGCAAGTGGTCTAGTGCAAACACTGTTGCCCCAACTGCTGAAAACTAGACATCGAGGCTTACAGTACAGTGAGCTCTGTCCCACTCGTTCTCTTTGGCCGCAGCACCCAACTGTGTTGGCAATACTACATATTAACTTACTGAATAAACGAAAGAAGTGAGAAAGGAAGGAACCCTAACAAGAGTGGCTTCAACTGACCCCCGGACAACACCACTAGCCCTGCAGTCATGTTGCCCCATGATCTTGACTTTGCAGTCCCTGCAGCAGAGAGAGGGTCCTTCAAAATCCCAACATTCCAATGACACTGGGGCAGGTACATCTAATGAGGAAAGCCAAGGTAAGGCATACAGCCCAACTGCAAGGGAGGCTTAGAAACCAAGTGTTAGCAGTTTCATCTTCCATAGTGAGATGTTCTTCATAAAATCAGAACAAAGCTTGGAGTCTGGATGGCCAAAAATTATGACCCATATCCACAGCACCTAGGGAGAGCTCCAGTGTTAGCTCTTGAGCCAGCAAACTCCACCATCCTAAAACAATTGCTCTGGACTTTCTTTCTCTCAAGTTCCTACAGGCTGACAAGGTTAAGGTTTGACTCAGACACTTCTCCAAATATGGTCCCGGCAACTCTTTGTTACCAGTCTTTGACAAGATAACTACAGAAATCATAAGTGTGTATACAGCATCCTAATATGCAAGAACATGATCCATGGACCTGTCATCATGAGCAATGTATGGACAAGTTCAGGTGTTGTTGAACCTGTGTCGCACGTGGCTGGAACTGCACACTGATCAAGTGCACAGTAAGACCACATATTGTTCCATGACAGATTGAAAATTATTTAAAAAAGAAAAAGCTTGCTTGGGGAGCATGAATGCACAGGTCTGCCAATCTCTCCGTGTCCCTCAGAGGTACCTTTTGCAGAATGCCAAGGATGCTCCTTGAGTGGAAAAGGCAAGGCTGGTTGCTAGTACAGGGCCTACCAAACCATGGATTTAAACACAAAGATTTAAGTCAACCCATTGTATTAATTTTCTACAGTTGCATAACAAATTGCCACAAATTTAGCAGCTTAACAGCATCAGATCAGAAGTCTGGGCATGGCCTGATTGGTTTTTCTGCTGAGGGTCTCACAAAGCTAATATAAAGGGATCAGTTTGGCTAAGTTCCCATCTTGAATCTGGGGTCCTCTTTCAAGCTCATTCAGGTTGTTGGTATTATTCAGCTCCTTGCTGGCTGCTGGCCAAGGTTGCTGTCAGCTTCCAGAGGCTATATACAAAGGCCCTTGCCACACAGTACTTCCCTCCCTCTTTAAAACCAGCAACCAAGCATTTCTCACATAGAAAATCACCCTCCTGCTTGGAATATCTCTGACTTCCCTGTCTCTGACCTCTAGCCCCAGATTTACTGCGCTCATGTGATTAGGTAGGGCCAACACAGATAATCTCCCTTTTGATCAACTTAAGGTCAATAGACTAGTGACCTTAATTACATCTGAAAATTCCCTTTTGCATAAAATGTAACCTAAGCATAGACATAACACCAACAGGCACATAATATGGGAACCATTCTAGAATTCTGCTTATTATACCCATATTTTTTCTTTGAAATAAAAACATGTTGGTCCTTTAGATCTCTTATACAGAGAATTCTGTGAGTGGAATTCATTCAAAATGGAGGAATTCTCCACTCTAACAGGATGTGTAACATTTTAATATGGCCAAAAAATGGAATAAAAATTTGAAAACAAATTTTCAGCTTATAAAAAAGTAAGTATTGTATGCAGCAAACCCCCTTCCTCCGTTTCTTTCTTTTTTTTTTTTTTTTTTTTTTTTTCGAGATGGAGTCTCACTCTGTTGCCCAGGCTGGAGTGCAATGGCATGATCTCGGCCTCCCGGGTTCAAGCCATTCTCCTGCCTCAGCCTCCCAAGTAGCTGGGACTACAGGTGTGCACTACCACGCCCAGCTAATTTTTGTATTTTTAGTAGAGATGGGGTTTCACCATGTTGGCCAGGCTGGTCTCAAACTCCTGACTCCAAGTGATCTGCCTGCCTCGGCCTCCCAAAGTGCTGGGATTAGAGGCATGGGCTGCCGCAACCAGCCACCTTCCTCCATTTCTTGAACCGATCTCCATTCTTAAGCAACATAGGTTCCCAGCATTAGGGTCTATTCAGGAAAGCTGCTTTAATGAGATGACTATTTAGAAGGCAACATATAGCTGTCTCCAGTCAAAAAGCAGCCTCACAACTTTCAGCTAATATAACAGTGTCATGATGAGGAGGAGGAGGAGGATGAGAATGATGAAGATGATGGCCATTATCTATTAAGTGATTCCTACAAGCCAGGCACTGTACTAAAAGCTTTCTTTTTGACATTTTATTTTGAGATAATTGAAATTTACATACAGTTATAAGAAATAATACAAAGAGAGTCCTTTATTCTTTACCTAGTTTCTGCTAATGGTAACATCTAGAATAATTATAGTAAAATACTATAACCAGGGAATTGACATTGATACAACCCAACGGCCTTATTCATATATCATGAGTTTTTATATGCACTCATGTGCATTTGTGTATTTGTGTGCATCTGTATTTAGTTCTATGCAATTGTACCACATGTGTAGATTTACGTGACCACCACCAAAGTCAAGATACAGAACAAGTCCCACACCACAAAAATCTCTTGCAATGCCCTTTTATAGCTGCACACAAATCCCTCCTGCCTCTGTCCCATCCTTAACCCATGGCAACCATTAATCTCTTCTACATTTCTATAATTTGGTCATTTCACAAATGTTATATAAATAAAGTCACACAGTATGTAACCTGTGGGATTGGCTTTTTTCACTCTGCATAATTCTCTGAAGATCCATCAAAGTTGTTATAGTTATCAACAACTTCTTCCTTTTTATTGCTAAGTAGGTATTCCATGGCATGGATATCCAGGCTTGCTTAAGCATTTACCTGCTGAAGGACATTTCAGTTGTTTTTAGTTTGGGCTGTTACAAATAAACGACTATGAACATTCAACTACGGGTTTTATTTTTTCGGTGACGTAAGTTTTCACTTTTCTGGGACAAATGCTACCAGAGTGCAACTGCTGGGTTGAATGGAAGTTGTAATTTCTATTATATAAGATACTACTGCACTGTTTCCCAGAGTGGCTTTACCATTTTAATTCTCATCAACAGTGTGTGAATGATCTGGCCTCTGTACATCCCCACAAACTTTTGGTGTTATCAGTATTTTTTATTTTGGTAATTCTTATAGGTGTGTAGTGATATATCAATGTAGTTTTATTTTGCATTTCCCTAATGGCTAATGATTTTTAACATCTTTTCATGTGCTTATTTACTGTCTGTAAGTCTCCTTCGGTAAAATGTCTCTTCAAGTCTTTTGCCCATTTTCTAAGTTTTTTGTTTTACTATTCACCGTTGTGACTCCTTTATATTTTCTAGGTATTAGTCCTTTGTCAGATACATGGTTTGCAATTATTTCCTCCAAGTCTATGGCTTGTCTTTTCATTTTCTTAACAGGTCTTTCACAGAACAAAAGGTCCAATTTATCAGTCTTTCCTTTCATGGATCATACTTTTGATGTCACTTTCAGGGTTTGTTGCCTAGTCCTAAATCATGAAGATTTTCTCCTATAGTTTTTCTAACAAATTTATACTTTCATGTTTTACATTTAAGTACATGATCTACTTTTTGTTATTTTTTGCATAAGGTGTGAAGTTTAGGTCAATGTTCATTGTGTTGCCTGTAGATATCTAATTATCTAATTGATCCAGCATCATTTGTTTAAAAGGCTATCCTTCCTCCACTGGAATGCTTTTGCACTTTTGTAAAAAATCACTTAGGCTTATTTGTGTGGCTGTATTTCTGGGTCCTAGTCTGTCCCATTAATCTATATCTCTATCCTTCAATAATATCACACTGTCTTGATTACAGTAACTATATAGTAAGGCTTAATATTAGTAGAGTGAATCTTTTAACCTTATTCTTTTTTCCCCAAGATTGTTTTAGTTATTCGGGGGGTTATGCCTTTTCATAAGAAATTTATAAAAAGTTTGTCTATGTCATCAAAACCCTTTGGTGGGATTGTGATAGGAATCTCATTAAATCTATATAGCACTATTTGAGCAGAATTGACACCTTTACTATGTTGAGTCTTCCAATTCATTAATACAATACTTATCTAAGTTTGTTTAGGTCTTCTTTAGTTGTGCTCATTAACATTTTATAAGTTTCAGCATACAGATCCTGCAGGTTTTCCTAAGTTTACATCTACATATTTTATTTTCTTTGGATAACTGTAAACCGTCTTATATTTTTAATTTTATCAATAGCTTCCACATATTCTGTTGTTAGTATATAGATATGTAGTTAAATTTTGTATGTTGATCATGCATCCTGAGACCTTACTGAAGTCACTTACTAGTTCTGGGAGTGAGGTGGGTTGTTTTGTTTCATTTTTTGTCCCTTTTTAAAGATTCCTTGGGATTTTCTATGTGGACAACAATGTCATCTTCAAAAAAGGATGACACTTTTTTCTTTCCTTATTGCAGTGGCTAGGGCTTTGGAGTACTATGCTGTATACCAATAGTGAGAATAGGCATCTTTGTTTTTATCCTGAATTTACAGGGAATATACTCAGTCTTAATGGTGAAAAACAGATGTTCGCTATAGGTTTTTTGTAAATGTGCTTTATCAAGCTGAGATAGCTCTCCTCTGCTCCTAACTTACTAAGAGTTTTTATTATGAATGGGTATTGAATTGTGTAAAGTGCTTTCTCTGTGTTAATTAACACATTTTTTTCATCTGTATCCTGTTTATACTGTGGATTATAATAATTAGTTTTGGTGTGCTAAATCAGCCTTGCACACCGGGAATAAATTTCACTTGGTCATGCCATATTATTCTTTTTAAACATTTTTTAATTTGATTTATGTAATATTTTGTTGGAGAGTTTTATATCTAAATTCATGAGAGACAGTCATCTATAGGGTTGTTCTGCGGGTTTTTGGCTTTATTCTTTTTGTTTTTTAATTTGATACTGTCTTTTTCAGGTTTGGGAATCAAAGAGTTACTGCCATCATAAATTAGTAGGAAAGTGTTCCCTCTCATCTCCTATCTGGGAGAAATTGAGTAAAATTAGGATTAATTCTTTAACATTTTGGTAAAATTCTCCAGTGAAGCCATCAGGGCTTGGAAATTTCTTTTTCAGGAGCCTTTTAACTACACCTTCAATGTATTTCATGGTTTTAAGACTATTCAGTCATCTATTTCATGTTGGTTACTTTTGGATACTTTGTGGTTTTTTAGAAATTGGTCCATTTCTACTAAACTGTCATATTTATGAGCATAAAGTTGTCTACAGTATTCTTCTATTAGGTTGCTAATAGCTACAGGAACTGTAATGATAGCTTCTGTTTCATTTCTGACATTGGCAATATACATCTTCTTTATTTTTCTCAGGGTTTCTGGAGATTTATCAATTTTATTTATGTTTTCAAAGAAGGAGCTTTTAATGTTATTGATTTTCTCTGTTGTTTCTATATTTTCGATTTTATTAAATTTTGCTCCATTTTTATTATTTCCTTCCCTCTACTTAGTTTCGGTTTATTTTGTTCTTCTGGGTTATTGAGGTAGGAACTTGGAGTATTCATTCAAGATCTTTCTTCTTTTTTCATATAAGCATCCAATGCTTACATTTTCTTCTCAGCACTGCTCTAGCTGCATCCCACACATTTTGATATTTTGTGTTTTTCTTTTCATTCAGTTTCATGTATGTTTTTCCTTTGAAACTTCATCTTTCGACTATGGGTTACTTAGCAGTGTGATATATAATTTTCAAGTGTTTATAGATCCCCTTGTCTGTCTGTTATCAATTTCCAGTTTTATTACATTAAGATCATAGAACATACCTTATATAAATCCAGTTTGTTCAAATTTGGTGAGGTGTGTTCTGCAATGCAGGATATAGTTTATCTTGGTGAATATTATATATGTACTTGCAAATAATGCATTTCAGCAGCTGTTGGGAATATTCTATAAATAGCAATCAGTTGATAGAATTGATCAGTTCTTTCCATATTTTTCTAATTTTCTACATTTAGTTTCCTATATTTAATTTCTTTATTTAGTTCAATTGCTGATAGTGGTATGTTGAAGTCCCAAACTATAATTGTGAATTCGTTTATTTTACCTTTCAACTCTAATAGTTTTTCTTTCATGTATTTTGAAGCTCTGTTGCATATACATTTAGGATTGCTATATCTTCTTGGTGAATTACTCTGTTTTATTATGATATAATGTTACTGATGGTCCATAGTAATTTTTTCTGCTCTGAAGTCTACTTTATCTGATATTAATATAGCCATTCTTGCATTTTAAAAATTAATGTTAGAACAAAGAGTGATGTCAGTAAGATGGCAGAATAGGAGTTTCCAGTGCTAATCCTCTGACAGAAACATCAATTTGAACAACTGTCTATGCATGAATAATCTTCATGGATGCGAATTAATCTAGGAGTAAGTAATTATACCCTCCGAATGGAGCACAAATATAAGAAAAGACTCAGTGAAGAGAGTAAGAACAGTTTCACAGTATCCAGTCAGCCCTTCCTGAATCCCAGGCAGTGCAGCATGGGGAGAGAGATACATGGGGAAAAGAGAGTGAAATGAGCACCTGACTTTGCCAAAGATCCTAGCATCAGGCCTACTCCGATGAACCCTGGCTCCAGGCTGGCCCCTGAGCAGTCAGATTCCAGGCCCACTCAATCACCAGGCTAGCCCCTGTGGGCAGAGCTTTAACACTTTCCAGTGAGGATCAGCACTAGGCTGGCCTCCAAATACTCAAGACCAGGCACATAGCCATAGACCCAGGCACCAGGCCTGCCCCAGCCCAGGTCAGCCCTAATGACCACAGCCTCCAGCCTGTCCCCCATGGATACAAGCTTTTGGTCTGCACCCAGACAACAGGCTCATCCCTGTGGACCCCAACCCAAGCTGATCCCCATGGACATAAGATCCAGTCCCACCCTAAATAACCCAGATTCCAGGTCTCTACCATGGACTCAGTACTGGACCTTCCCATGTACATGCTGGCTCCAGGCCCACCCCCACATACCCATGGCTGGCCCCATGCAACCAGGTACCAGGCCAGCCAGCCCAAGGACTCTAGCAGCAAACCTGCCCAGACTCCATCTCATGGCCCCTCCAAAATCTCTGGACAGGCTAACAGGTGAAGGCCTTTCCCTGCTGAAGCCAGTCTGTAAAGACTAGAAAAGGAGTCTACTTCTTCAAATGTGCAGACAAAAATTCAAGGCCACAAAGATCAAGAATAATCAGGGAAACTTGATACCACCCAATGAACAAAATTAAGCATGAGTAACCAACTGTAAAGAAATGACTATCTGTAAACTGACTGGCAAACAATTCATAACAATCATCTTTAAAAACCTCAGTAAGCTACAAGAAAACACAGACAACTAAAGAAAATAAGGAAAATAACACACAAACAATAAAGAAATACACAAAAACAAGAAAAAACAATAAAACATTCTGCAGCTAAAGAACACAACTAAACTTGAAAAATTCCACTGGGATTTTTGGTATAGTCTGATTTGTGTGACCCCTCCAAATCTCATGTTGAAATTTGATCCTCAATCTTGGAGGTGGAGCCTAATGGGAGGTGTTTCAGTCATGGGAGTGGATTCCTCTTGAATGGCTTGGTGACATCCTTGCAGTAATGAGTGAGTTCTCACTCTGTTAATTCCA
The DNA here is from genome assembly GCF_000001405.40 of Homo sapiens. Taxonomy (NCBI): domain Eukaryota; kingdom Metazoa; phylum Chordata; class Mammalia; order Primates; family Hominidae; genus Homo; species Homo sapiens. The sequence goes on from NC_000003.12 coordinate 56,032,029, forward strand.
ATGAGAACTGGTTGTTTAAGAGTCTGCCACCTCCCTCTTCTCTCTCATCTCCTTTTTTGCCATGTGATCTCTCTACACACCAGCTCCTATTTGCTTTCCACAAAAAGTGGAAGCAGCCTGAAGCCCTCACCATGCTGACACCAGCATCATGCTTCTTGTACAGCCTACAAAACCATAAGCCAAATAAATGTTCTTTCCTTTATAAATTCCTGAGCCTCAGGTATTCCTTGATAGCAACACAAATGAACTAGGACAAACTTCAACAGGAGATTTAATCAGGCAAAAGAAAGAATCCACAAACTCAAAGACAGATCCTTGGAAAGTACCAACTCAAAAGAAGAAAAATTTTAATAAGTCTATGGGACTTATGGGCCGCCATTAAGCAAAGCAATATATGCATTATGTGAGTCATAGAAGAAGTAGAGAAAGAGAAAGGGGCAGAAGATTGTTTAAAGAAATAATGACAGAAAACTACCTAAATCTGGAGAGGGAAATGAGTATTCAGATCCGTGAAGCCAAAAGAATCCCAAATAAATATAAAAAGATCTTCACTGAGATATGATCAAATTCTCAAAAGTCAAAAACAAAGATAATTTTAAAAGCATCAAGAGAAAAGTGATTCATCACATAAAAAGGAATTTCCTTAAGACTATCAGATTTTACAACAGGAACCTTGGAACCCCAACCAGGCACTGTGGTGTGGCACATTCCTGTACTACCAGCTAGCTACTTGTGAAGTGAGGCTGTAGGATCACTTGAGCCCAGGAATTCAACTCCAACCTGAGAAACATAGTGAGACCCTGTCTGTTGGAAGAACAAAAGAAAGAAAGGAAAGAAAGAAAGAAAGAAAGAAAGAAAGAGAGAGAGAGAGACAGAAAGAAAGAAAGAAAGAAAGAAAGAAAGAAAGAAAGAAAGAAAGAAAGAAAGAAACAGAAAGAAAGAAAGAAAGAGAAAGAAAGAAAGAAAGAAAGAAAGAAAGAAAGAAAGAAAGAAAAAAGAAACAGAAAGAAAGAAAGAAAGAAAGAAAGAAAGAAAGAAAGAAAGAAAGAAAGAAAGAAAAGTAAAGTAAAGTAAAAACAAAGGCTGGGCAGAGTGGCTCATGCCTGTAATCCCAGCACTTTGGGAGGCCAAGACAAGAGCATTATGTCAGCCCAAGGGTTCAAGACCAGCCTGGACAACAGAGTGAGACCCCATCTCTACAAAAAAGGAAAAAAGAAAAATTAGCTGGGTGTGGTGGTGCATGCCTGTGGTCCCAATTAACAAACTATTGTAGCTATAGTTATTTTTAATATTTTGTAGAGTAAAAAGTCATTTATGTTCCACTATTACAGTTTTAGAGTACCAAAAATGTGATCAAAGTCTTACCTTTACAGTGAGTTTTAAACTTTTTTATATTTTCATGTTTTGGTTAGCATCCTTTCATTTCAACTTGAAGAATTCCCAGTAGCATTTCTTGTAAGGCATGTATAGTGGTGACGAGCTTCTTTCATTTCAACTTAAAGAACTACCACTAGCATTTCTTGTAAGGCATGTCTGGTGGTGATGAACTTCCATGGATTTTGTTTGTCTAGGAAACTTTTATCACTCCTTAATTTCTGAAGGACAGCTTTGCCAAGTATAGTATTCTTGGTTGGCAGGTTTTTTTCTTCTTTCAGAAATTTGAATCATGTAATCATCCCCACAAGATTTCTCTCATGTAAGAGAATTTCTCTCATTACAAGATTTGAATCATGTAATCATCCCTCTCAGCCTACAAGATTTCTTTTTTTTTCTTTTTTCTTTTCAAAGGCAGGGTCTTGCTCTGCCACCCAGGTTGGAAGGCAGTGGCATGATCATGGCTCACTGTAGCCTTGACCTCCAAGGCTCAAGTGTCCTTCCCACCTCAGCCTCCACCTACAGACTAGCAGCAGTAAGTCCTTACCTATAAATAATCAGGATAATCAGGATAATTTAATCCATTTACTTTAAATGTAAATAAATTACGGAATCAAAAGACATAGAATGTCTAAATTGATTTTTAAAAACAAGATTCAACTATATGCGACTATAGAAGACTCACTTTAGCTTAAAGGACACATATAGGCTGAAAGTCAATGAAGAGAAAAAGATATTCTATGCAAATTGTAAGCAAAAAAGAATAGGGGTGACTATACTTATATCAGACAAAAGACACTTTAAGTCAAAAACTGTCATAAGAGACAAAGAAGGTCATTGCATAATAATAAAAGGGTCATTTCATCAAGAAGGTAAAACAACTATAAATATATATATATATGCACCCAACATCAGAACATTTAAATATATTAAGGAAATATAACCAAAACTGAAGGTAGAAACAGACAGCAATACAATAATAGTAGGGGACTTCAGTACTCATTTTAAATAATGACTAGGTCATCTAGACAGAAAAACAATCAAGAAACAGTAGATCTGAATAACAATATAGACCAAGTGGGCCTAACAGACATATACAAAACATTCCATTCAAAAGAAGTAGAATACACACACTTTACAAGTGCATATGAAACATTCTCTAGGACAGATTATATCTTGGGCCACCAAACAGTCTTGAAAATTTAAGAAGATTGAAATCATATCAAGTATCTTTTCCAACCACAATAGTATGAAATTAGAAATCAATAATGGAGGAAAACTGGAAAATTCACAAATATGTGGAAATTACTCCTGAACAACCAATTGATCAAGAAAGAAATCAAAAGGGAAATTTAAAAATATATTGAAACAAATAAAAATGGAAACATAGCATACAAAAATGTAGGGGACATGGCAAAAGCAGTTTTAAAAGGGAAGTTTATAATAAGAAACACCTATATTAAGGAAAAAGAAAGATATCAAATAAACAACTTAACCTCATACCTCAAGTAACTAAAAAAATAAGAACGAACAAACCCAAAAGTTAGCAGAAGGAAGGAAATAATAGAAAGCAAAGCAGAGACAAATAAAATTAAGTTTAGAAAAACAACCGAAAGAACAAAAAAACTAAGAGTTTGCTTTTTGAAAAGATAAACAAAATTGACAAACCTTTAGCTAGACTAATAAAAAATGAGAGAAGCCTCAAATAAATAAAATTATAAATGAAAGATGTGACATGACAACTGACACCACAGAAATACAAAGGATTATAAAAGATTATTACTATGAGCCATTTTACAAGCCAAAAAATTGGATAACCTAAAAGAAATGGATAAATTTTTAGAAACACGTAACCTACCAAGACTAAAATATAAAGAAATAGAAAATCTAAACAGACCACTGAGTAAGGAAATTAAATCAGTAATCAAAACTTCCCCACAAAGAAAAGCCCAGAATCTGCTTGCTTCAAAGGTGAATTCTACCAAACGTTTAAAGAATTAATGCCAATCCTTCTCAAACTCTTCCAAAAAATTGAAGAGGAGGGAACATGCTATGGTCTGAATGCATCCCTCAATATTCACGTGTTGGAGACTTAATCCACAATGCAAGAGTACTGTGAGGTGGGACATTTTGAGAGATGTTTAAGTCATGAAGGTTCTGCCCTTATGAATGGATTAACGCCATTATAAAAGGGCTTGACAGAGGGAGTTTGGCCCTTTATGCCTTTGTGCCTTTGGCTTTGTGAGGATACAGCCTTCCTCCTCTCTGGAAGATACAGCATTCAAGGTGCCATAATGGAGCAGAGAGCTGCCCTCAGCAGAGGCAGGCACTTTGAATTGGACTTCTCAGCCTCCAGAAATGTAAGAAATAAATTTCTGTTCTTTACAAACTACCCATTCTCAGGTATGTTGTTATAGCAGCATGAACAAACGAAAACAGAATACTTCCAATCTCATTTACAAGGCCAGCATTACCCTGATACCAAAGCCAACAAGAATACTACGAGAAAAAAAAATTACAGTCCAATATCCCTGATGAATATAGACGCAAAAATCCTCAACAAAAGACTAGCAAACAGAACTCAACAACATATCAAAAGAGTCATACTTCATGATCTAGTGGAATTTATTATTGGGATGAAGAATTGTTCAACATATGCAAATCAATAATGGGCTATGCCACATTAATAAAATAAAAGATAAAAATCACAGGATCATCCCAATAGATGCAGAAAAAGCACTTATCAAAATTTATCCTTTCATGATAAAGACTCTCGACAAATTGGGCATAAGATGAATGTGCCTCAACATAATCAAGGTTATACATGATAAGCCCACAGCTAACTTAATACTCAATGGAGAGAAGCTGAAAACTTTTCCTCTAAGATCAGGGACACGACAAGGATGCCCACTTTTGCCACTTCTTTTCTATATAGTACCTGGCGCCTTCTTTTCACTTTAGTACCTTGCTACAATTAGGCAAGAAAAAAAACAATAAAATCATCCGAATCTGGAAGGAGTAAAATTGCATCTGTTTGCAGATGACATGATCTTAAATAGAGAAAACTCTGAGGGGAGGGACCAAGATGGCTGACTGGAAGCAGCTGCCGTCAGCGGCACCAGGAAGAACGAAAACGGCAAGTGAATCCTGCACCTCCAGCTGAGGTATCCAGGTTCTCTCATCTGGGCTGACTAGGCGGTTGGTGCAACCCATGGAGAGTGAGAAAAAGCAGGGTGGAGTGACGGCCCACTGGGAGCTGCACAGAACAAGTGGAGCTCTCACCCCCAGACAAGGGAGGCAGTGAGTAATTGTGCTACCCTGCTCGGGAAACCACGCTTTTTCTATGAACCTGTACAACCTGCAAATCAGGAGATTCCCTCATGAGCCCATGCCACCAGAGCCGTGGGGCCCAAGCAAAGAGCTGTGCAGACACTCAGCAGCCACTCCGGTTGAAGCCAGTGGCAGCAGGCTGGAGACTGCCTAAGATGACCAAGTTCCCAAGGGGAGGGGCAGCTGCCACAGCAAACCATAGCAGCCCTATAGAAGACGGGCCTGACTGTTAAAAGAGAAACAAACAAACAAAAAGCAACAACGACAACGACGTCAATAAAAAAGCCCCTACAAAAACCCCATCCAAAGGTCAGCAGCCTCAAAGATCAAGCAAAGGTAGATAAGCTTACAAAGATGAGAAATAATCAACACAAAAATGCTAAAAACTCAAAAACCCAGAGTGCCTATTCTCCTCTAAGTGATTGCAATACATCTCCAGCAAGAACACAGAACTGAACTGAGGCTGAGATGGATGAACTGACAGAAGTAGGCTTCAGAAGTTGAAGAATAATGAACTTCACTGCGCTAAAGGAGTATGTTCTAACCCAATGCAAAGAAGCTAAGAACCCTGATAAAACATCACAGGAGCTGTGAATGAGAATAACCGGTTTAGAGAGGAACATAAATGACTTGATAGAGCTGAAAAACACAACATGAGAACTTCACAATGCAATCACAAGTATCAATAGCTGAAGAGACCACGCAGAAGAAAGAATCTCAGAGCTTAAAGACTGTCTTGCTGAAATAAGACAGTCAGACGAGATTAGAGAAAAAGGAATGAAAAGGAAGGAACAAAAGCTCTGAGAACTATGGGATTATATACAAAGACCAAACTTATGACTGATTGGGGTACCTGAAAGAGATGGTGAGAATGGAACCAAGTTGGAAAACATACTTCAGGATATCATCCAGGAGAACTTCCCCAGTCTAGAAAGACAGGCCAACATTTAAATTCAGGAAACCCAGAGAACCCCAGTAAAATACTCCATGAGAAGATCAACCCCAAGACACAGAATCATCAGATTCTCCAAGGTCAAAATGAAGGAAAAATGTTAAGGGCAGCCAGAGAGAAAGGTCAAGTCACTTAAAAAGGGAAGCCCAGCAGACTGACAGTGGACCTCTCAGTGGAAACTTTACAAGCCAGAAGAGATTGGGGGCCAATATTCAGGAAATTGAAACAGGACCCCTTCCTCACACCTTATACAAAAATCAGCTCAAGATGGATTAAAGACTTAAATGTAAAACCCACAACCATAAAAACCCTAGAAGAAAATCTAAGCAATACCATTCAGGATATAGGCATGACAAAACTTCAAAAGCAATTGCAACAAAAGCAAAAATTGACAAATAGGATCTAATTAAACTAAAGAGCTTCTACACAGCAAAAGAAACTATCATCAGAGCAAACAGACAACCTAAAGAATGGGAGAAAATTTTTGCAATCTATCCATATGGCAAAGGTCTAATATCCACAATCCACAAGGAACTTAAACAAATTTATAAGAATAAAACAAACAACCCCATTAAAAAGTGGGCAGAAGACATGAACAGACACTTCTCAAAAGAAGACACACATGTGGCCAACAAACATATGAAAAAAAGCTCAACATCACTTATCATTAGAGAAATGCAAATCAAAACCACAATGAGATACTATCTCACGCCAGTCAAATCCCAATTATTAAAAAAATCAAGAAACAACAGATGCTGGTGAGGCTGTAAAGAAAGAGGAATGCTTTTACATTGTTGGTGGGAATGTAAATTAGTTCAACCATTGTGGAGGACAGTGTGGTGATTCCTCAAAGACCTAGAACCAGAAATACCATTTGACCCAGCTATCCTTCCACTGGTTATATACCCAAAGGAATATAAATCATTCTATTATAAATATATACGCATGTGTATGTTCATTGCAGCACTATTCGCAATAGCAAAGACATGGAATCAACCCAAATGCCCATCAGTGATAGATTGGATAAAGAAAATGTGATACATATACACCATGGAATATTATGCAGCCATAAAAAGGAATAAGATCATGTCCTTTGCAGGGACATGGATGGAGCTGGAAGCCATTATCCTCAGCAAACTAATGCAGGAACAGAAAACCAAACACTGCATGTTCTCACTTATAAGTTGGTGCTGAACAATGAGAACATATGGACACAGGGAAGGGAAAAACACCCACTGGGGCCTGTGGTAGGTGGTGGGGGTTGGGAGAACATCAGGAAAAATAGCTAATGTGTGCTGGGCTTTAATACCTAGGTGATGGATTGATAGGGCAGCCAGTCAAATACCCTTTTATTGCCATCGGGCAGACAGCATCTATTATGTACTTCTCTACCATCCTCACCCTCATACCACTCACCAGCCTAATTGCAAATAAACTACTTAGGTGATAGATTGATAGGTGTAGCAAACTACCATGGCACATGTTTACCTATGAAACAAACCTGTACATCCTGCACATGTACCCTGAAACTTAAAATAAAAATTAAACAGAAAAAAAGGAAAACCCTAAAGACTCCAGTAAAAAAGTGTTCAAACTAATAAACAAATCCAGTAATGTTGCAGGATAGAAAGTTAACTTGCAAAAAATCAGTAGCATCTCTATATACTAACAACAAACTATCTGAAAAAGAAATTAGGAAAACAATCCCATTTACAATAGCTTCAAGACAATAAATATAACAGGAATAAATTTAATCAAGAAGGCAAAAGGCTTGTACACTGAAAACTATAAAACATTGCTAAAAGCAACTGAAGACACAAATAAATGGAAAGATATCCCATGTTCACGAATTTGAAAAATTAATATTGCTTAAATCTCCATACTACCCAAAGCATTCTACAGATGCAAATCAATCTCTATGAAAATTCCGATGTCATTTTTCACAGAAATAGAAAAAAAAATCCTAAAACTCATATGAAACCAAAAAAGACCCTGAATAGCTAAAGCAATCTTCAGCAAAAAATGAATCTGGAAGCATCATGCTACTTGATTTCAAAATATACTACAAAGCTATAGTAATCAAAACAGTAAGGTGCTGGCATAAAAACAAACATACAGATCAATGGAACTGAATAGAAATTCCAAATATAAATCCATGCACTTGTAGTCAATTTTTCTTTGCAAAATTGCCGGGAACATGCAATAGGGGAAAGAGAATATCTTTAATAAATAATGTTGGAAAAACTGGATATCCATATGCAAAAAAGTAAAATTGGACCCTTATCTCACACTACATGTAAAAACCAACTAAAATAGATTAAAGACTTAAATACAAGAGCTGGAACTGCAAAACTGCCCAAAGAAAACATAAGGAAAAAGCTTTTTGACATTGATCTGGCCAATGATTTTTTTTTAAATAAAACCCCAAAACGGGTAGCAAAGGAAAAATAGGCAAATGGGATTGCATCAAACTAAAAAGCTTTTGCACAGCAAAGGAAACATAGACGTTGAACACCAAAACAGATGTTACAATTTTTCTTCAACCATCACATACGTGATTTAAGGACCACAAGGAGAAAGATAGCTTGTTTTATTTAGTTTATATGCAGTTTATTATTAATTACTTTGATTTTTTTTCCATTACACTTTATTTCCTTTCTGCTTGGAGAGCTTCCTTTGCCATTCTTTTAGACAGGGTCTCCCTCTGTCACCTAGGCCGGAGTGCAGTAGCATGAGCATAGATAGCTCAGTGTAATGACGCACCTCAGCCTCCTCTGAGTAGCTGGGATTACAAGCATAAGCTACAGCACTCATCTCCCTTATAGCTATTCTCTAAGGGGAGATATATAGATACATATATATCTATATATGTATATAGAGATGTATATATGTATACATATACATATATATCTATATATGTATATATAATATATAGATGTATATGTATATATACATATATAGATGTATATGTATATATACATATATAGATAGATACATATATCTCTATATAGAGAGAGATATATAGAGAGAGATACATATAGATATATCTCTATATATATAGAGAGAGATATAGATACATAGATCTCTATATATAGAGATATATATAGATATATATAGAGAGATACATATAGATATATATGTATCTATATATCTCCCCTTAGAGAATTTTCTAAGGGTATTATTTTCTCTGTGTTGTTCAGATTAAGTCCTATTGATCTGTCTTCAAGTTCAGTGATTCTATCTTCTGTCATTTCCACTCTACCGTTGAGTCCTTCCAGTGAGGTTTTCCACTTCTTAAATGAACTTGTAATCACTCATTCAATCAATTTTATGATAATTGCTTTACAGCTTTTGTCAGATAATTCTATTATCTGATTCATGTCAGCTGTCTTTTTCTCATCAAAATTGTGATTTTTCTTGTATGACAGGTTTCTTGGTATAATGGGTTATTTTCTTGGTATGACAGGTGATTTTCTATTGTATCTTGGACATTTTAGATATATGTTTAAGAGGTGGGGTTTTTTTCCTATTTACATTCTATGTATATCTTTTACCTAATAGGAAGTCATCTGTTTTGGTTTAGCATAGTAGTTCAGTCTGACCAAAGGAGTGGAAGAGTCTCCTCCCCGGGTCACTGATATCACTGCTAGGGGCAGAGAGGCTCTACCAGCAGTTTGGGGCTGGTGATAGATTGAGCTACCCTGGCTCTGCTGATGAAGCTGCTGTAGGCATCCTGCGCTCACCACTTCTGGCAGATGTAAGACAGGAAAATGGGTTGGCTTACTGAGGGCTTGGCTGGCAACATTTCTGGGCAGACTGGGCCATTACTAAATCCCAGTTGGGCTTCTCCTGTTCCACTCCTTTGGCCAGAGAAAGCAGGCATTCCCTTCCCCTTTCTTCCTTCCTTCCACCTTTCCTCTCTCACTTTCTCCTTCTTCCTTTCCCTCTTTCATTCCTTCCCTCCACCAATTCTTGCTGGCAATTCAGGGCTGCAGGGCTCTCCAGTGCCCAGTAAGATATATATGGGAGATGGGAAGAAAAGTCAGGAAACTCACCATGATGCCGTTCTTCAAGTCCTCAGGTCCCTAGCCAATCCACTTTCTTCTTTACTACCTGTCAAAGTCCTTTTATGATTGCCTGTCGTACTATTTTCAGGTACTCAATTGTATTTGGAGGGAAGGAACAAGTATTAGTGACTTTATGACACCCTGTTGCAGAAATGGAAGCCACTAAATACTTTTTAAAAACAGATTATTTTTCACTTACTCTTTGAAAATACCATCAATGATTTAAAGTGAAAAGAAGCAAAGTAACTTGATTAAGGTGACCCAGCAAATTAGCGGCAAAGTGAGGTTCACACTCAGACAGACTCAAGAAGCCCCAGCTCCTGCTTCAGGCTCCACACAACTACCCCAGGAGTCTTTTAGAGAAGGAACTCTCAGCCCCCTTCCTGCACCTGCACATATAGTTATACATTCCCACGAGATGAAGGAGGGAAAAGAACTAGTTTCTAACTGGGGAATTTAGTTGTTTGCAAAACCTGATCTTCCATTTCAGATTCATTCCCAAATGACATAAAGCTACATGGGAAATAAATTCAAACACATTCAAGCCAACTCACTGTGTTGGTAAATATTCTGTTGGCTGAAATGCCAAACACAAAGCGAAGAAGAGGAGCTTCCTAATACCACTAAGATCTGCATTCCTATCGTGGGGCTGGCACATAGGAGGTTCTCAGTAAATATTCCTCAACTGAAAACAAAGTGAACCAGCCGTTTAAAACACTGGATAAGGCTTGGCTCATATACCTCCTACCAAACAGTGTCCCTGAGAACAACCAACCACATCATGACACCCTGTGGAATATTTGAGATACTGCACTATACAAGCTCTACCAAAGCCCAAATTCAAATGGACGGGTGAAAGCAGAAAATAAGACCGCTCCCCAAAGTGCATAATCAATGTTTAAAGGTCTAGAATGCTCTTTTATCGTCAGCAGTCTGACTTCAATGAATAAGGTACTCTAAAATAAAAGTAGCGGCTTCCCAATTCTCGGTGCTTAACTGAATTTCAGATCATTTATACAATTCATTTTCTCTTAAAACTAATTTTAAAATGTGGTCGAAACCCCTAACCAAGACAACATGTTTCCAAATGGTAAGGAATTTTGTGTAATTTTTCCTTTAGACATAAAATGAACAGGCAGCAAATTTAAAACATCCCCAAATTGTCCTAAAACGGAACATCCTGAAAAAGTCCAATGATGGAATGGCAGGCAAAATCCAAAGGAGCTTCTAGAAATATTTTATGATTTCAAAATATTAATAAGTGATTACTGTAGGCAAGATCTTCATGGTTTGCTAACCGTGGCTAAACGTATTGAGAGGATGGCAGAGCGGCCAAGAGGTCTGGAGCCCGCAAAATGAAAAAAACTCCTAATATAGTGTAAAGTCATTTCTGCTGGATATCGTGATAGTCAGAAAGAAGATTTATTTTTGTTTGTTTTCCATATAAAAACCTGAAGACCTATCAAATTTAGTATGTAAAATATTCTAGTTTTTCAACATTTTGTACTCCCCAAATAAAATAAAAAGCAGAGTGTACACAAGGGGATCATTGTGTGTGGCAAAAGTACATTTGCACACATTGAACAGAAAATGATTAAGAATTTTTTATGGCACTAATTTTATTGGAAAGTCATAGCTATATATGTTATATAGCGTTGGGATCAAGTTTCAACCATGCATATACCTTTCATTTGTAATGGACTTCTTTATTTATTCAAATAGTGTCTGACATCAGAAAAATTGGACTGCTTATCGGAAACACAAGACACTCAGAAAAAAAAAGAGGAATTAAAAAGGAAGCAATAGGACAAGTAAAAAAAAATCTTTTAAAATCTTTAAACTCTCATGAAAACCACATGCAAATGACTGATTCTGAGAAATATATCACAGATCTTCCACAGATTTTCGTTAATACATTTTCTTTTAATACTCATACGTTCATTTTCTACCCTCTAACTCTATTCTAAACTTATAAGTTAGTTGACAAGATAGTACCTGCCTTTCATGGTTGCTTTGTTACTGTTTAATTCCTCATCTACAATTCAATTGCAACTAACTTTAAAATTCAAACACATCATCTAATCTTTGACTATTTAAATAATGTATATTTTAGTAATTAAGATTTGTCAGTAAGATCACTTAAAAAAAATCATTAAACTCTTCAGGATAAAAGTCTTTTCTTGTCCACACACTGTCAATAAACAAAGTGCTAATCTTGTCACTTTCTTGGCCACTGTCTCAGGAATGCTTCTTAAGTACTCAAAGGATTAAATTAAATCTCACCTGCAGACAGGCTTTACAATTCGGCTGAAAACCTAGTTCTCAAAGTAAAATTACTTTCATTATCTTAAGTTAAAACCAAATATTCTGTCCTCTGGGATTTGCAGGAAAAAGAACAGCATCAAAGAAAACAATTCACTTCAAGAGAGTTTGTTCTTCAAGACTCTGTCTGAAAGAATTATTTAAGGGAGAATTCGTTTTGGGAAACATTTTTTCAAGGTCATTCTAAGACAGCTATAAAACTGTGCTATTTAAATTACTTCAAGTTGATGCCTTTTCACAATTTTGACTGTGTTCTTGGGGTTTTAGGATTTTTTTTTCAAGAATTATTTATGTATAGTCCTTGTTTTGAATTCTAAATTTGGTTATGATCTTTTACTTTTTTAAGAGATTATGTAACTTTATGAGCTGAACATTTGAAACCTATGGAGGGAATAAAATGAAGAGATTTATTTCCTTTGAGTTCAAAAATGAAATAATAGAATAAACTAAATTTGAGATTAAAAGTATGTATTCATTTGGGGGGAAAATTGTAGCACTTCAGTACTCAAGAAACTATTTTCCAACTTAAAGTACTCTATCTATGCTCTTTAATTTAATTTAAGAAATAATAGGATAAAATACTCATATTGCAGAAAATTTCCTCTTAAGAAGAGATAGCATTTCAAAAAATCCCTCCACAATGTTGTTATAAGAGTCACCGGGGGCAGGATTAGGACGCGGTTCATTTTTGGACTCTTGCATCTACTTCCTAAATAAACAAATCCTAACTCTCGCTCCCCAAATCAAATACAAACCCAGAGGAAGGACAGGGAGATGAACTACCAGACTGAAAAATAGAAACATTATGTCAAAGCACCCTACATCGTTATTTGCAGACAATTTATTTTGTTATTGCTTAGTATCCTTCATGCTAAATGTTCTGTCCCCTACAGCAAATGTTCCATTTCAAAAACATAGTAACATGTGCTAGAAATAGAAACCACCAAAGCAATAGTTCTAGTGGATATAGAACGTATTTTATGGTAGATTAGAAAAATATACTTTAAAACTGAAGCTCACTATCAATATAATCTATAAAATAACCTAAGAGTATGTTAGAATTCTTTTTTAGTTGGCATAAAGTTTTAGAAATAGAGATTAAAGTGCATTTTACCCTCATCAGACTATCTCTAAAAGAGGGCGGTTAACATGCAAGAATTAAAGGCAAATTTGCAAATTTACTTTTTATTTTCATTTTAGAAACATCAAGAAATGTAAACAGAACCGTAACACTTCTTCAATTAGATTCACAAGCATGACCTGTGGGAAGATAATTTACTAATTTAGCATGTTTTTTCTTTGACCTGTGCATTTGAGTCTTTAACAGTGTGTTCTACCTACATGGCAAGACATACCACAGCCTTATCTTTCCAGAGCCCAGTTTTGAATAGCCCTGATAAGCACCTCAAAGATGGATCCTACCTGTGCCACAAATCCCCTTCACTTCAGATGCGTTTCTATAGGGAAGTATAATCTTACCTAGCATTCTGACGAAAGCCACGGTGTTGCATCTAAAATTCACAAATGCTATACGGTAACTTTGAGCACCTTTAAAATTTATATCAAATATTTTGGAAACTAAACATGAAAGGATTTCTGGAAATTAAGAGTTTCCATGAGGTTAAGGTCAAAAATTCCTCTCAAGAATTTTTTGTGACACAATGACATATGTTATTCATTGGAACAAAGTGATGGGTGGACAGAAAGCCCATAAGAATATAATTCAGCAACTTCTGAGACACACCAGCACCCAAATGATTTACACAATTCTATACAGTCAGGGGATCATCATATTCCTATCACTCACCGTGGTGTGATGAATCACACACCTGCAAAAAATATACTCAATTATTAAAATATAAAAATTACACAAAAATAGCGTGGCTTCCAAATTTGACTGCACACGAGAATCATCTGAATACCTGATAATGCAGATTCCTGAGCCCCCGACTAGAAGTGCTGACACAGTAGATCCAGGGAGAGGTATGGTAATTCACATGTTAAACAAGTGCTACAGGTGATTTTTGATCTCCCAGTCCCATGAACCAGAGCTCTGGAAACACTTGCACTGAAACATTTTTACATCAAACTGAGTCTGGAAAATAATAGTTACTCCCAATTTCTCCCTCAACCATCACCCTTTTCAAGAAAAATTGACAATGTTCTCCCTAAGTTTCCGGTACTGAACTTATTTTTCAAAGGTCTGAGAATTCAGAAAGCATTATTCACTGCCATTTAGGAGATACCCACAGGACATGGGTCCAGGAAGAAGCTGGGGGTGAGAAGGGTTGGCGAGTAAGCTCCTCCTCCCTTGCACCTTCCTTAAGAACAGCATAGACATCGGTGGTATTTACACTGATAAGGGCATCTTTCATGAGAAAGCAAAGGGCATGCAAAGATTCCATCTCTGTGAAAGGCTTCTTCAATGGGAAGTCACCAGTTACTTATGACAATCATATCCATAGCCTATCTTCACTTAGAACCCATTGGAGGCCAACCATAAAACAAAGAGGCTGAAGATATAACAAATACCCATAAAATAATGAGACCTGATAAATTCTAATGGACAGAGTGTCAGCATAAATGAAACAAATTCTGTATATTCTTTGCCTCTCAAGTTCCTGGCAAAAGAACTTCATGGAATCTCCCACTTAGAGAGAAGAGGCACAAAAAGATCATGAGCAGTCACCCTGTAGGCCTGTGATCTAAACCCTGGGGCTGGACAGATAAGCTGAAATAGTTAAGAAACCCTTTCATTTTCTTCCTTTCAAAGTTTAATGTTGTTCATTCCTTCCAGCAGTAACCATCTGCATTTAAGAGGTCTGATTACAGCACATGCAGAATTTACAAAGTAAAATAATGATGCAGGCCCCAGATTCATTCCGCTAGTGGAAAGGAGTCTGTCTTCTGCAAAGTGTCAAAAATTCAGTCTCATCTGCTAGCCTGACGCTGAAGAAAACATAAACCCGGGCTTCTTTTCCCAATTAAATTCAGGGTCCCTTAAACTTTCCTAGGAGGCTAGTCTTGTTCTGAAATCGGATATTTAAAGAAGCAATCTGCTTTTGTCTATGCATTTTTGTTTCCTATTAAGATCCAGAATGTGTTTTGTTCTTTTATTGTCCAAGGCAGCTTCTCCACATGTAATTTTGGAATCTCACAGATCAATGTTTCGGGATGGCCATCAACAACTTCTATGCTTTGTTAACAAATTCCTCTGGTCCTTTAATACCACTGGATCCTGTCCTTAATCAGAGCATATGTTTGGGGTAAGTGATGCAAATCCAGATGTATCCATAGGTGCCATACTGCAGGTCACTGCAAAATTCCCTGCAAAAGCATATTAAAATGCAAGGGGCTGCTATAAGGCATCAAGGAGTCCTTCTAGAGGAAAAAGGCCAGAGTTCATAAGCCAGATACTTTACTAATAATTAGTTAAAATGTACAATGAACCAACTGTGAAACCAAATGCAGTGCTTAAAGCACACAGGGTATTTAAACAAGCCCTGAGAACAAAATGAAGGAGGAAAATGGGGAATATTTGAAGTGATACACCCAGGGAGAGGTGCAAGGAATGACTAGTAGTTTTGTTCCAAGGTAGCTTTCATACTTTCAAGTACTTTTTTAAAAGAAAAAGATAGCTGTAACTTTGAAAAAGAAAAGCAATTTGCCTTTATGCTTACATTTCCACAGGCTCTCCCGTAGATTTCCTCCTTTCCATGGTTCAGTAATTGCTGGCAAGAGGGGCCACTTGCACCCTCAAAATAAGGGGCAAGTGGCTAATTATTTCTGTACAAGCCCATGTTCACATTCAGTCAGTTGCAGATGTAGAATTGTACCCACAAAAAAAGAAGCAGCTTCTATATTATAGGGCCCTAGATGCAGTGGAATTCCAAGAAAGCAACACAATAACCCTGCAATTCATGGGGTGGTGAATCCCTATGTAGTACCCCAAATGGGCTGCCTGGTGATTTTCTTTAAAACAAATTAATAAGAACAATTTTTTAAAAAGATTTAAAGATATTCAGATGATATTCAGATAAGCAAGTCAAATCTGCTCTCAATACTTATGTTGGTCTAAATATTAAACCGTAAATTACTTCAGTGTTTTGTCTAACTCTAACTCAGCCTTCTTTAAACTCAGGAACAGAGGGGGCAGGAAGAAGCTATAAGCCAAGAGCAAGATCTCCCAGTGCCAGGCACTGTTTGCTGATTGAATCTGCGTAACAAGTCTATGATTTGGTGACAATGATCCCTATTTTACAGACAAGGGTCACATTGCTACAAGACAGCAAAGTAAGACTTGAACCCAAGTCTCTCACATTCTAAACACAGTGCTTGCTTTGTTAAAAACCATAGTCATCTGCCCACTACTTTAATTTTTTTTTAATATCTAATGTGAATTGGCCAATAGCATGCTCAAGAACAGCTCTTCTGTAAGCATTTACTTCAAACTGGTCTGACTACATACTATTAGCACCGCAGGTCCAGTCTCAGTGAGAATCAAATAGTTTCAAGACAGCATAGGAAAAATGTTTCATTAACAAGAAAATCAAAGCATCTTCCTTCTCAATATGCCTGGTTATATGTTTTTTGATTCATTCAGTATTGAGCTAATATTTGTTTAATTCCTCCTGTATGCCAAGTAACCTCTGCAGACCTGGTGAAGAAGCCAGACTCGGTCCCTGCCTCTGTAGAGCTTGTGTACAACGGGGGACACAGTCAATAAACAAGTCAACAAATGCACACAAAATGTAGTAACTTCAGACAGTGATAAGTACAAAGTGCTAGGTACAAAAATAAACCAGTTCAGGGAACAGTAAGTGATGGGGGTTTGCAGCTGAGTTACGTGAGATGGGTATTCACGAAGACCTCTTGGAGGAGGTGATATCTAAGGAGAGTGGTAGATGATACCAAGAACCTGCTGGGGAGAACTACAATGCAAGGGCCCTAAGGCAAAAAGGAGTTCCAAATGGCCAAAGGGGGGCAGGCAGTACAGAGGAGGCCAGTAAGGCAGGCATAGCCCAGATGATAGAGGATGTTGGAGAATGCTAAGGACCTTTATTCTGAAAGCAGTAGGTGGCTTTAGCATTTTGAGCATAGAGATAGCATGACTCGACTTGTGTTGACAAAGATGAGGCTGGCTGCTGGGGGTGAGCGCATGCTAAGGACACAGTGAAAGCAGAAACGGCTGATAGGAAGCCCCCACAGCCAAGCAGGCGAGATTTCTGTGAAGAGGTGCCCCATGTGATCATGACTGGACCACTTTAACAGGTGAAGGAACAAACAACTGCAGTTCACCCATGCAATGGATTATTACTCCACAATAAAAAAGAATGGTCTACTGATACTGTGAAGGTTAATACTGAGTGTCAACTTGATTGGACTGAAGGATGCAAAGTATTGATCCTAGGTGTTTCTGTGAGGGTGTTGCCAAAGAAGATTAACAGTTGAGTCAGTGGGCTGGGAAAGGCAGACTCAACCTTAATCTTGGTGGATACCACTAATCAGCTGCCAGTACGGCCAGGATATAAAGCAGGCAGAAAAACATGAAAAGGCTAGATTTGCTTAGCCTTTCAGCCTACATCTTTCTCCCATGCTGGATGCTTCCTGCTGTCAAACATCAGACTCCAAGTTCTTCAGCTTTGGGACTCACACTGGCTTCCTTGCTCCTCAGCTTGCAGATGGACTATTGTGGGACCTTGAGATAGTATAAGTTAATGCTACTTAATAAACTCCCATCATATATGTGTGTGTGTGTGTGTGTGTGTGTGTGTGTGTGTGTGTGTGTATCCTATTGGTTCTGTCCTTCTAGAGAACCCTAACACAGATTTCCACAACTATACAGATGAACCTCAAGTACATTATGCCAAGCAAAAGAAGCTAGACCCAGAAGGCTACATATCTATGGGTCCATTTATATGACACTGTACAAAAGGCAAAACTATTGGGACGAAGGAGCAGATCAGTGGTTGCCAGGGCACTGAGGCTGACTGCAAAGGGGCATGAGGGAATTCTAGAGGATGATGAAACTGTCATATATGTTGATTGCAGTGATGGTCATGGGACTGTATGGATTTTTTAAATGCATAGATTGTACACCAAAAAGGAGGAATTTAACTGTATGTAAGTAATATCTCAAGCTTTTTAAGTGACTAGTAAAACATGCTTATATTAATAGGTTTAAAGATTGTACCACTAAGACTCAAGGGAAGGACAGAGCCCATGGCCATGCAGCTATTTCTATACAACTGTCTCAGTCTGGGACGCCCTCCAGTTGGATCTGGGATCTGCAAGGGACCAGAGTAGAAACAAGCTGGTGGATTGTTGAGGCTGTTTTGTCTCAGTTTCATAAGCAAAAGGCAATGGAAAAGTGTTGGGGTCAAGTGTGAAATGCGTGCGTCTCCTACAAAACCTTCCCTTAGCCCTGCCTAATTCGCCAGCCTCCTTTCCACCCTGCCTGTTTACTCCAGTCACACTGAAGTCCTTGAACTGCTAAGCTCCACAACTCCACCCTCTCTGGCTCAGCAAACACCTTGTCTTCTTTTCTCCTTTCTCTGAAATGCTACATCCTGTCCTTGACAAGGGAAGAGTCCTCCCATATTCTCTCAACACCTGTACTGCTTCATCATACTCCCTGCAACTGCAGTCAGGTTATTAACTCTGGAATCTTAGCTTGACTTTTGTTTACTGACTAATTTTCCATTAAGCCAAAGCTCCATGGGGGCAAGGACTCCATCTCTCTCATTCCAGACTGTATTCCCAATACCTAGCACATACATAGTAGGCCCTCAATACATACATGTGAAATGAATTTCAATAAGTTGCTCATTAGAAATATTAGGTAGGCAGAAGCAGCTCTGGAACAGCTCCTTGATTCTTCTAAAGTAGTAGTTATTAGGGAAAGCACATGAGAAACTCATATAAGGATTTCACAGAGGAAAGCCCATTCCCCACCCATTCCCTGATGCCTGCAGCCAGAGGTCCTGAAAAGTACTTTCTACCCAACAGAAGACACAGGCAGGTGGGACCTATTTACAGTTCAGAATGAAGCACTTCCCTGGGCTGTAGGCTTTACCAGAACTTTGCTCTGCTTGTTGGGAAGGAATGCAATTCATGATTCATACATTCAATAAGAGACCCAAGAATAATTTTCCAAGGCCCACTTGGAACTCAGATAAGTGCTAGAATGAAAACATTTACCAGCAGATTAAGATGGTTTTAACATTTTTCATTTCAAACCCCTATTTGCAGGGGATTACATGATAAGCCAGCTGTAAAACTTAATTCTAAACTGAAACTTGGCAAATAATGATGGACTGCCTTCACACATATTTTTTAGAAAAAAAGGGGGTGGGAGTGCAGAGAGAGAGGGAGACAACCTTTGGTCACTTGTAAGATACTGAAATGCCAAAAAAGAAGAAGTGAAAAGTCGTTTTCAGTGTTTCTTTAAATCATCCTTGCAGAGAGAAGATATCTTTGTTTTCAACATCAATCTTGAGAACCAGAGCTCAGAGATGAGACCAGACTTAAGCAAAACAGGACACTGACTTCCATCAACACCATACACTGGGCAGCTACCCCATCTCTACTTAAAATACAAAAATTAGCCGGGTATGGTGGTGTGTGCCTGTAGTCCCAGCTACTCAAGAGACTGAGGCAGCAGAATTGCTTGCACCCAGGAGGCAGAGGTTGCAGTGAGCCGAGATCGCGCCACTGCACTCCAGCCTGGCGACAGAGTGAGACTCCATCTCAAACACACACACACACACACACACACACACACACACACACACACACACACACACAAATTTAACCTGGTCACATTTATTTGTCAGAGTTAGTGTCCTAAGATGTAGAAAATAGCAACTCCTGCTGTTGTTTAGACACAATAAATTGAGTATAAACTATGTTCTCTTAGGTCCTTGTGGCCCCAGAGAGAAAACCAGACTTTGAGAAATATAGGCAGTGCATGCACTGTCCACTTCGCTTTAAAAGAAACTACAAAAAACAGTCACACAATTCTAGTAATGTGCTGTTGGCCCAGACTGTAAAATCCCAGCATGTCTCCAACCAAGTTCAGAGGAAGCGCCATCAAGGATGCCCTATGGGTAGCTTAACAGTCATTGCAGACCTGTTTGCTCTGTGAAAAGCTACAAGATGCTTTCAGCCAGAAAAAGAAAAAGAACTCAAAATGATGTGGCCACATGGATTCTGTCCTGGATTCTGTTCTCAATCCACTTTAGGTTTTAGAGACATTAAATAGAGAGCCAGTATTACGGGAAAAGGCAGCAGTATGCTAATGCGCAGGGTCAGCAAACTCCCGCCCACAGGCCAGTTTCCGGCCCACCACCTGTTTTTGTAAACAGAATTTATTGAAACCCAGCCAATATCTATACTTGCTGTAGTACTACAAATGGCAGAACTGAATATTTGCAATGGAGGCCATCTGGCCCTTTAAGAAAACATCTGATGACCCTCAGACCAGTGAATATGAGGAGATATTTAAATTCTGTGTGTGTTGGGCAGGTTAGCTAATGTCTTTGAGCCTCATTTTATCCACAGTAAAATGGGATAATAGTAACACCTATCCCAGAAGGTAGTTATCGCAGCTACAAGAGTTAATGCAAATGTAGAAAGCAAGGGGGAAATGGAATTTTAAGAGCTGGGACCCGAGTTGCATTTTGAGAGAAGTGTTGCTGTTGCTTAGGGAAGTATGAACCACTATTAGTAGTACTAATCTTTCCCACATAATCATAGGACTGTCAGCCCTACCCTATCTGAAAATAGTGGAGTTGAAGTGTCTTCATGCTCCTCTGCCTCCTGACAGACCACACCTCCAGCCTCTCATCTTTCCCACACTCTTCAGGTGGGGTAGGACTGACAGTGTGAAGAAAGGTAGTCAGGTGGGCCAAGGAAAAAAGTAGGTAAGGGAAGAAGCTGAACACATGGCAAGCTGCTGAAACAAGCAGGCAAAGTGACTGATGAAAAACTCCACATGGCGAGGCAGCACCAGCTTTGTGCAGAATCAAGGAAGCCTGATGCTCCACTTTCTCAAGTCCTCCTTGTTATGATTATAAGCCCTGCTCTCCCAACCTAAGGTTTCAGGAAAGACTGCTCAGCCCACATGCCTTGTGTGAGTGGTAAGAGGAGAAGTTAAAGGGAAGAGGCTGTGTGCCACGAGTGGGTAAACTGAACAACCAGACCCACAGGGAAAAGAGGTGTAAGTGAGCAGTATAACGGGGATGGAAATTCACACCTGGAGGGCATTCTGGAAAGAGGAGACTGTGAGGGATGGGGAGAAGTGGGGAGGAATGGGCTTCTTTCTGGATGTGGGGTAGAACATGTAAGCTGTATTTACATCTCAAAGGACAGGATGACCTCAGGTGGCACCCGAGTTACACACATCAAGAACTTAGCTCAACAACTGACATATAAAACATTTTCCTGATCTTTTACATGTCCTTGCCATTACAATTATTGTTGGAATCATTATTTACTGGAAGCCAGAAAACTTGATTCCCATTGCTTTTCTATCTCAGGATCTCAATCAAGCCGTTTAGCCACTTTAGAACCTCAGCTTCCTTATCTACAAAAATGGGCATAATAGCTGCCCCGATGACTCCACTGGATTTACGGAAGGGATCAAATGGAAAAACATGTGTACTATGAAAATTATAAGTCCCCTTCGCAATGTAAGGTGGCATCATTAAGAAGAAGTTGACTTTTTTTTTTTAAGTAAAACCTTAACCAGCCTAACCCTTAAAACCAAAACTTCAAAGCTCTTGAAGCAGTTTACATTTCTCCCCTCTTAATTCCAGGCAATAAAACTGTAACCTCCTCAAAGTTACAGGAGATACAAAGACGCAGACAGACCAGCTGCAGCTCATGGTCCACCCCCACCCCGAATAGGCTGAGATCATTTATTCAAAAGCACACCTTTGAATCATCTGTAAACACTTCCTTCAAGTTCCCAGTAAGTTAAACTTTGCTAACAGCTGGCAATTATATGGCAATTATTACACCCATTTTGTTCTTAGGCTTAAAGTTATACTCTCTGGAAAAACAGAGAATGATATAAAGTTGGTCTTTTACTAAAATTGTGTACAGTACCTGCCTCCCGACCCATTGCTTTTTAGGAAATGTCAGGCAGTGCTTAAAGAGAAATAGCAGGACTGTGCCCACACATGGGCCAGAGTGATGAATCTGCTTTGAATTGGAATAAGGAAAAACAAACATCGTTGAACGGGGGAGATTTAGTTCAAGGGTTTCAAAGTAAAAATTCCAGAGATAGCTCCATTTCAAACCACTGCACCCAATTTTGAGATAACATATGAATGAAGTCTAGATGTGGAACATGATGGGAATACAGCTATATTACTGAATAAATGCCTTTCATATATATGATAGCATATTTAAATATGATTGGCTATATAACGTATCAAATGTCTATTACGTCCTATCATCTCTGTTGGGTACCTTGTCCCCCCTGCTGGATACTTTTAACATCCATTGTATCATTTCATTCTCCTAATAATCCTATGGAAAAGATACTGTGTTCTTATTTTATCGATGAGCAAACTGCGGCTTCAAGGGATACAACAACTTGACTCAGTCCATACAACTAGTAAGTCCCTAGTTCAATATACTGTCTGTGGATAAAATATGGGTCATCTCTTTTAGAAAGGCATTTACAATCAAGTTGCTTTGCCAACACTCAAGCAAGCAAGTTGGAGAAAACTGTTGCAGTAACAATCAAAAGCCTGTTTTCAAGATGCTTCCATTTTTATTAAGTCATTCAAAAATTGCCCTCATGCTCTGTATATGTAGTCTTATATCAAAAAGCGATTAAGATCTGACATGGGCCAAATGTCGGTCTTCAGAGGCTCACAGCCCTCATGGCAGTGCGATGTAATTCAATATTGCAACACTGAGGCTCGGAAAGACAATGCGCGTGTTAGGTTGCAGCATTCATTACCTCAGGCGAGACACAGGCCCTCTGTGTATACACTATCAAAGCCCCACTAAACTTAAACTGAAATGCCAAACACGGCGACCTGGGCCCCGTTAATCAACATCTGCTCAACAGTTTGCCTCTTTCCACCAGCTAGCAAAGAGAATGCCATACAGCTTTTGTGCTGTAAAACCTGGGTAGGCTGAAAGAACAACCTGAGCTGGTGCCTTCTAGCTGGGATGGCAGTATTCCCTGATGGGGAGGGCAGACTTAGGGGAGAAAAGACAGTCATAGTTGCCTTTGAGTTTCAGAGATTTTCACTCCCAGCAGAATAGCAAATGAAGCAAGTCATTTTCCTCCCTTCCAAGGAGTGATATCACTTTTTTTTCAGACAATAAAATACATGGAAAGTGAAATGGTTTGATTATCTTTAGCACCAGTAAATTTTATTGTAATCCATGGCCAAATATATTTATGTCTGGTTCTGATATACAACCTTAGCTCCTATTGTTCAGAGGAAATTTTACTTAAAAGACGTTAGTCATTAAGTCTGCCCTGAAGAGCTCAAGCAGAGCTTTTCCTACTAGAATGTCCCGTATAACAGGCGAGACAGACAAACTGCAGAGGTAATGGAGGCTGGCTTCCAAATCTGCCACTCTCCGGGGGCCTATCAGCCCCATCATTAGTACAACACAGCTGCAGAGAGACTCTTCTTATTTTCAGTGAATTCATTCCATCCCAACTTCTTGGCCAATCCCACTCTCAGTCTCCCCTCTCTCTATCTGCACTTGCATGCCCTCATGCTGAGAATTGCCACATTGTGGTTGGTTCTGTCTGCCCACATTTCAACAACAAATAACAGCCTGGGTGGCTCCAGGTTTCATGGGGCCTGAATTTGATAGGAGTGTGGAAGGGGGGTTTCTTTAAAGAAAAATCTTACTTTTGCAAAATTTACAAAAACATAAACATGAGAATACACTGCCAGAGTTTTGGAAGAGACTTGTGCAAAGGAGGGGGCATGAACTTAAGCACCATTAGCTTTCCAGCAAATTCATCTCTGGTATGTAATAATGTTTACTGAGTGATGTCCACATAACCCTCAGTCCATCCTGTCTCACCAGACCAAGAGCTTAACCTTTGCCATGTGACAATTCTTCCTTCATCTGGAGACAAATGCTTTTGAACACCTGTCCCTAGAGGACATAAGGTTTGGTCTGCTCAATTGCTAAGAGATAATTTATGAAAGTCCCCATAAAGAGAGGGAAAGAAGACATGAAATGTCATTTGGTCTTTATAGTTTCCTCAATGTCATGAGGGTGTTGCATGCTTGCTATGACTTTGTTTCTCTTGAGAAACAGGAGAAACCTACTTCTCAGTGCCCCAGATAAGAAAGGAAAAGTTACAACTCAGTGGCCTCTCCACCAACCACCTCAGAAAAGAAAGACACAAATGAACAACACTGACCAGGTCATGTCCTTGAAGCTGATCTGGACAAAATCTGTTTCCCAAATATGTATGTATTATGTATCATACATTATTATGTATGGGCCTTGTGAGAGAGTTGGGGCCTCCTAGCACTACTTGGACATAGGTGTCAATCTTTAAGACCTGAGAGATCTGTGCTGGTAATAGCTGGACGTTACTTAATACCCTCTGAGTTGAGAATAGACGAGATGATGTGACAAGTGCTCTCTGACCGGTTTTGGTCTCTTAGAGCTCTCAATCCTGCACTTAACTGCTTTATTGAAAAGCCAATCAATATATTAAGAGACTGGAATGAATGAAGACACCTTCCCTGGTCAATAGGCATACTCTTTTTTAAAAAAGGATTCATTAGGCGCCAGTTATTGTACTGAGCTCTTTTCACTCATTCTCCATGAATCCTCATGGCTTCTCTACGAGGTAGGTACCATGATCATGTTCATTACAGATATGGGGGCAACTAAGGTTGAGAAGGGTAAGGAACTTGTCTAACCTACATAGTTAAAAAAGAGATAAGCCAAAATTTAACCTCAGGTCTTTTCTTCCTCCCATTTCCCCAATAAGATCCTTTTATTTCTTACCTTCTCCTCCTTCCCCCACAAACACACCATTAAACAATGGCTCTAAATCTTAACACTTATTTTTTATATTTTATTTCTAATTACAGTAAAATATACAAGCAAGATTTACCATCTCAACCATTTTTAAGTGTCCACTTCAGGGGCATTAAGTACATTCATATTGTTTGCTGTGCAGTCATCACTGCCATCCATCCACAGAATGATTTTCATCTTACAAAACTAAAATTTTGTACCTATTAAATAATAACTCCTTATCTTAACATTTCTTGTTTAATTTTTCTTTCTTTCTTGTAATGTGTCAGCATCAGGCCCCACATTGCTTACTCATTTCTTGGTTTTGCTTTGGGCCTATAAAATCTTCAGAACAGTTGTATTCTTCTTAATTAGAAAGCCTCCATCAAGACCCCAGCTGACTGGGTTGTGTTCTGGCATAGCTGCATGGTTCTTTCGCCTAAGATGTACCTAAAATGCAGTACCAAAGCAACTTCCCAGAACCTTGTTTTCATCTGTTAAACTGGAATCCAAACAGTACCTACCTCACTGACATGTGGGTGTTGTGAAGATTAAGATAATCATTCATTGTATTTCACATGTATTGATTAAGCTCCTGTTACATGGTGGATGCCGATCTAGGCACTTGGGATACGTCAGTACACAAAACAGACAATGATTCTGTCCTTATAAAACTTAGATTCCAACAGAGGGAGGCAGATGAAAAATAAATATAATTAATGAGTAAATGATAGATTGTATTAAAAGGTGAAATACTATGGTTAAAAAAAAAGAACAAGTAGACAAAGGTAAGAAATATAATGATCTACCTCTTTAGTTTGGTATAAATATTCAAATATGAGAATTTTAAATAACATTACATAATGTTCCACATTAAATTCTTCTCCAATTAATTGATTATTATTTGTCAGGTATCCTTACAGTGATATAATCAATGTGATTTTCAGAGAAGCACTTGTAAAACAAATCTTCAATTCATATTACAAATTTCTGTAGCAAGATACCTGCACTTGATAAACAGCTGTGCTCTGGTTATAATTCCTGATATCCAAACATACTCACAAGTTGTGACTACCAGAAAACCCCTCCTGAACCCATGCCTCCCCTTAACTTTTAGGGAGACATACCCTGACAAGGTAGATGTACAGACCTGCAAGTGGTCTCTGTAACTGTTACGACCCTTGGACTTAATCCAACGGCTGGCTCTTGGGAAAGTTGAGAGGTTGGAAAAGCCTTACCTTCAGGTTCACAACCTTCTGATTGCTCACCACACCACACTCCAGGTGCCTGGTATTAGTGTCATCCCCACCAACTCTGCCACCACCCCAATCACTTCTGAAAAGACGAAGTCTCTCAGTCCTCTGGTGACATGTGACTGTTAATTTTATGTGTCAATTTGGCTGGACCACGACACCAAGATATTTGGTCAAGCATTATTGTGGATGTTTCTATGAGAGTGTTTTTGGATGACACATGAAGTCAGTGGACTTTAAGTAAGCAGATTACCCTCCATAATGTGGGAGAGCCTCATCCAATCAAAACAAATGGCTGACCTCCCATAGGCAAGATGGAATTCCTCAGCAGACTGCCTTCAGGCTTCATCTGCAACATCAGCTCTTCCCGGTTCACTAGCAGACAGCCTTGGACTCAAACTGCAACTCTTTCCTGGGTCTCCAGCCTGCCAGCCTCTCCCATTAGATTCTGGATTCACAAAGTCCCCATAATCACATGAGCCAATTTCTTAAAACAAATCTTTTTCTTTCTTTCTTTCTTTATTTACACACATCCTATTGGTTCTGTCTCTCTGGAGAACCCTGTCTAATGCATTTGGTCTTTCCTTCTCTACCACAGAAACTTTGGTCCAGGGCCCTTACCCACTCTCCCTGGCTAAGGGTCAATGAGGGGATCATAGAAAGCCAGAAAATTATAAGGCTTCATGTGCTCTTGTAATGTCTTTCTCCATGAGCACATAAAGATATCTTTTTTTTATTTTTTTTATTTTTTTTTTTGGAAATGGAGTCTCGCTCTGTCACCAGGCTAGGGTGCAGTGGCGCCATCTCGGCTCACTGCAACCTCCGCCCCCCAGGTTCAAGCAATTCTCCTGTCTCAGCCTCCTGAGTAGCTAGGACTATTGGCGCCCGCCAACATGCCCGGCTAATTTTTGTATTTTTAGTAGAGACGGGGGTTTCACCTGTTGGCCACGGTGGTCTCGATCTCTTGACCTCGTGATCTGCCCACCTCGGCCTCCCAAAGTGCTAAGATTACAGGCATGAGCCACCGTGCCCGGCCACATAGAGATATTTATATGCACAGATAATGGTTAAAATCCAGACTACTTCAGTTCATAACCTATTGCTGCTACTAATCAGCTACAGGAAGTAAGTGACTTTGGACAACTTACTTCAGATCTCTAGGATTCAGTTTCCCCATCTGAAAACTGAGGTGTCTTTGGGCTCAAAGATTCTTATTTTAATTTCCATCTTTGCCCAGAAGTCCTCTCTAAACAATTTAGGAGAGTTGGATGTATTCTCTGTATTTAAGTCTTTTATCTTAAATCATATCCCATTGTGCCACATCACAATTCTTCCTTTAGTGTTGTAGGAAAAAACAAAAAACAAAAAACTGTGCTTCAATAGAAAATAAATGTTCAGATCATACCCTTTCAAGTTATCTGGTTCTAGTCTTTTATTGTCTTTTAGCTATTGTACAACTTGGTAAACTGTAAATAACCGATGGCAATGAAAATAATTCCTGTCTACAAACATGCAGATTCTGAGCTGTCCAGTAGAGGTTATATTGACTTTCCCTCTGCACTTGGGAAAAAGCCAGCTTTGTCTGCATTTGCACATTCATTTCAATATTCCTGATCTACAAATGTGTCTGTTCTCTGAATTCTCTATCCAGTTCTAACATCTGCCTGGTTCCTCAGCTGACTAATGAGTTAAGTAAAATCTTTAATATGTGTTCATTTTATAACTGTATCAAAGTCATAATTTTACCATTTTAAAAAAATTATCTTAGAATGAGTTCTATCTCTACTACACTGGGAACGTCTTATGTACATTTAATATGTTTGCTCAATGAACACACAAATGAAGGAACTGACAAACAAACATAGTCTTTCTCCCATGGGCACATGAAGATTTCTATATCCACAGATAATGGTTAAGAGTAAAATCCAGACTACTTCAGTTCAGTTACCTACTGCTGCTACTAATCAGCTGCATTATCCACAGCAATTATCTGTACTTTCCTTTTCCCATCTGTAAAATGGGAAGAAACCCCCACCCTTTAAAGGTTGTCATTAGGATTAAAAGAAACAATCCATGAGAAAGTTTTAGTACTATGCATGGCAGCCTTGTAAGTATTTAATGAATTGTACTTATCATCATTTTTAGACAGGTTGACCATTTGGGCAATCATACACATTCTGTCTTTCATCTAACAACCCACAGGGTGCCCCATACCCAACAGGTGCTTCATAAAGGCTAATGACGGTGGCAGTGACCACAACAGTTCCAAAACCTCCTGGCCTGCCAAGCTTAATAAAGTATGTTATCCATTCTTCCAGACCACTGCTGGAGATGTTACAGCCTGACCTTCTATTGATCCCAACATCGTCCCAATGGACCCTGTTCCATTGTAATTTATTACAACAGCCAAATTGAATCCACATGACAGTGCTCAGGGCCAATTCTCATTGAGGGTCTCCCCCTCTTCTGCCCCTGCCCCTACTGCCCCCAAAGATTTGTGGAGACACTGAATTAGATGATTTACTCAATTCCAGATATTACAGCTATTGAATTCCTTTCTTTAATCTTGCACATCCACCTAGAAAACGATAAAGATGGCCTGGCATGATTTGTTCTGCACTCTCGTAAATTTTTTATTAATGCAGAGTCAGTAACCTCCACTTGCCTGCTCAATTCTTCCCAGCCATGGTCTTTATCTTGAGGAATTCAAGTTGCTTGTTGCTACTGACATCTCCTATATTCCTCAAGCCTTTATTCTCAGTTAGAAAGAAGCAAGTCCAGAAAGATAGTTCTCTGGCTGCAGGCACGACTGCACATAAATAATAACAGGATCTAGCAGATTCTACATGCAAGTTTGCCCAAAGATGTCTGAGCAAATTAGTGCCTCCTGTGCTCTATAAGACAATTTCAATCGCTAAAATTGACATTCTTGATTTTTCCTTCAATTCAACACAGGGATGGTGTCTCAGGCTCTTTCTCTATTGACCTTGTAAGCATTTCGAATGTGATTTTCTACCTCCTGCTTTTCTCTCTGGACTAGACTAGTCTGCATGCTGACACTGCAATTGGGAGACTTATCTAACCAAACTAGTTTGTCAGCTACCATAACACTTAGCACAGTGTTTGTTTAGTTCCCATGTCCTTGATCATAGAGACTCTACAAAAGAAAGGAAGGGACTTTAAAAGATGAATTATTCAAAGAAAAAAATATTTAGCTTAAAATTCTAAATAAAGGTCTTGTGGCAATGACGAGAAAAAATATATAAACCACACAGAAACATACAACAAATGTTTGGACTATGAATGGAAATGAAATACTAAACCAAAGATTCTTCAAGAACAGTTTCTGAGAGTTTAAATTTGAACATAGCAAATAACATATATTTCCTTATGACAATTGCCATGTTTACCAGAAATCTAAGTTAAAGTTACTGTAAACAGAAGAAATACATAAATTACCTTGGGTGCTTAACTAAGTTCTGTATCTGTAATTCAGTAAACTGCTATAAAAAGTATTTTAAAATGGAGGATTAAAATAATGCAAAGGAAAATTAGCTGATATACACGTGGGTATAAGCACATTACCGTGACCAACTTAAATTAGCAAATAAACATTTCATGCTATGTGTAGAATTTTTTCTGCATTTCATATTATAAACCATAAATCTTAATTTTCCTTGTTAATGTTAAATGTTTATTTTGTTCATTGGCTTATGCAATAAAAATAGATAACTATTTTATATAGATTCAAGAGATCCCATTTTTAAAAGCCTAATTTGATTTTTAAGAATAAAAAGGCTATACTGTTTCTTTTTTAAAAGAAGTATAACATGGTACTTACATGTAAGCTAATTATTTTAAAATAAAGAAGTACTATTGCTTTAGAAATGAAAAATAAACAGGATAAATAATAAACGGTAAGAGAACTCTTTTCAGTTCAGGCTTCAGGGCAAAACTGTACACCTCTGTACAAGATCTGGTGTGAATTTTCTGTGGGGATCTGAAGCTTATCAGGCCAAACTTACACATTTAAAAGGCTTGGCCAATTACCATGTATCTATCTGCTCTAGGGGTGAAAGCAGCATCTATGATACCTCTGGTCACTCTCCAAACCATTCACTGCTTACTATGAATGCTAGAAAATGAAGATGGATTTGCACAAACTCATGCTGATTACAAAAAATAATAATAATGATACAAGGCCCTTTTTTCTCATTCTAAAACAAGAAGCGCTCATTTCTTTTATTTTTAAAAATAGTTAAATGCTATCGTTTCAGCACAACCCATTGCACACACATGAACACACACCCAAACACACATATGCATGCCTTTCCCTGCCCTTTAGGGAGTTTATCATTAGTATACCACCAGAATTGTTGACCCTACCTAACTTCCCATGTAACTTTGCAAGTTTACCATCAAAGGCTCTGGATTCTGGTCTCAACTCTGACTTGAGCTCACCTGGGGTAATGCATTTGATTTCTGGCTCTCAGACTAGAAAATCTTACCTTCTCAACAGACGGAGACTAGGTTGTTTCTCCAGTCCTTTTCAGTGCCAACATCCTACCCTGCCCCAACTCTGGCTTCGGAATAACTTCAGGGATGAAAGACACATATGGTTATGACAGAGATTGTTTCATAAACAACAAGGTTACTCTCAGAGTTATCTTTAAGAGTATCCTCTTTAGAATGAACTATTGATAAAAGCTACAACATGGATGAGTTTCAATGCATTATGCTAAGTCAAAGAAGCCAGACACGAAAGTCTATCCATATACAGGATGATTCCATTTTTATGACATTCTAGAAAAGGCAAAACTACAAGGCATGGGGAACAAACTGGTGATTGCCAGGGATTGGAGGCTGGGGAGAGAGATTGACCACAAAGGGCAGCACAAGGGAGGATTACAGAAGTGCCCCGTGTCATGATTGTGAAGGGGCTTACATTACTTTGTTTTTGTTAAAACACATAGAACTGTACACCACAAAAAGTGAATTTCACTATTAGTAAAGTTAAAAAGCAATTAAAAATTATCTTTGTGAAATAATTTCATTTTCTTTCCAAGCTCTTAAAAAATTGAGGAGTTTAGCATTTAAGTTCGGATTTTTTGTATAAAATAATAATTTATTGAGCACCAACAGTGATGGTCAGTTTGTTCATTCAACAAATACCTCTTGAACACCTACTATGCTGAGAAAAATTCAGACTGAAAGTAAGAGGTGAGCTTATCCTCATTTTAATGACAGGGAAACTGAGGCAGAGGATATGTAAGTAACTTGCCAAAGATTAAAAAGACCTTAAGTAACAACACTGAGATTCAAAGCCAGGCCTGTCACAGTTCATGCCCTTAATAAACTAATTATACTGAAGCATGCATGTATGTATGCATAAGTTATGTCTGTGTATAAAGTTTTTAAAATAAAAATCAGGTTATACTATAAAGTGGTGTTGAGGGTGTGGGAAAATAGGCATTTTCTGATACTTCTCTGTACATACATATTGTAAAGTTTATTTCCATTAACAAAATAGAGTGAATATCTTTCTATATCATTAAATATACTCATAAATATACTCATCTATAACATCATGTCTACTGGCAGAATTTCCATGTATGAATATACCATCATTTATTTAGTTACTCCTCCACTTGGGAATGCTTTCACTGATCTGGAAAAAAAATTTTTTTAAAGAACTATGCCGTGAACAAGCCTGTAGCTAAATCAATACCTACATCCTCAATCTTTTCCTAGAATGAATTCCTAGGTAAAGAATCAATAGGTTAAATAGCTCTGGTCAAATGCCCCATGTTTGTTTTCCCCTGACTACCTGACATTTCATACCTGCCATCTACCTGTCCCAAAGAACACTACCGGGCAAGCCCTAAGAAACGTGTCGGTAACATGGAACTGCAGCAAAGGACCTTTGCCTCTATTCCTACCTTCCCACCTGGCCACCCTTGTCCATGCCCTCAGCTGTTCACAAGTTCACAGACATTCCATTTGGAGACAGCCTTGGTGTGTGTATGCCGCCCTTCATAAACTTTTATAAATCAGTCTATCATATGTGACCTTAAGAATTTAACTTCTTATTTTAATAACTAAAGAAAGAAATATCTCCACTCCATGTCAATGAGTGCTATTCATTCAAGCACATCCTGTTTGCTTAGCTTTGCTTCATTCAGACTTTATTCACAAAAAAGCTACAGAACGCAACAGAAACTAAGGAAGACCTCACCCTTGGGAACGAACGACTTACTTCCCTTTGCACCAGAAAGGATGTCTGAGGCAAACAGTAAATATAGTCTGGAAAAGAAGTGAACTTTGTTTAACTCTATTAAATATTTAGAGTACACTTTTAAAATCTCAAACTTGCCATGAAGGTTGCTATATGATAGAGTTGCCTAGAGGCTGTAAGAACTTGTGATCTACACCAGAGTTGAGCAAACTGCAGCCCATGGGCCAAACTGGCCCACTGCCTGTTTTTGTAAATAAAGTTTTATTGGAACACAGCCATTCCTATTTATTTACTCATTCTGAATCCAAAAAGAACTTTGGACTTATTTATTTACTCAATCTATTACATTTCAGTTTTCCAGCTAACATTTATTAAGCACCTATAACATGCCAGCACTGTGCTAAGTACTAAGGATAAAAGAATGACTAAGACTCAGTCACTTCCTTTGCTGAACTCAGGGTTTAATGAGGAGAGAGACATAAAGATACAACATAGCATTTTAGGAAATCTTAGGTATTTTATCTAAAATACTACAATCTGAAAGCTGTAATAAAGGCTCATTTCCTATGCATACATTTTTAAATAATCCGGGTCCCCCTAAAATTGTAAAACATCATCAAGACTCCCATTATTTATTTTTTTTCTTTATTTTATGAGACAGGGTCTCGCTCTGTTGCCCAGGCTTCAGCGAGTGTCATGATCATGGCTCACTGCAGCCTCAACCTCCCGGACTCAAGCAATCCTCCCACCTCAGCCTCCCGAACAGGTGGAACTACAGGCACGCACTACCATGCCCAGCTAATTTTTTAATTTTGTGTAGAGACAGGTCTCACTCTGTTCCCCGGGCTGCTCTCAAATTCCTGGGCTCCAGCAATCCTTCCACCTCAGCCACCGTGCCCAGCCTCATGATATTCTGACATGGACTACTTTCTTTTTTAAAAAAAAAAAAGCATTTTATTTTAGGTTCCAGGATACATGTGCAGAACGTGCAGGTTTGTTGCATAGGTTAATGTGTGCCACGGTGGTTCGCTGCACCTATCAATCCAACACCTAGGTATTAAGCCCAGTGTGCATTAGCTATTTTTCCTGATGCTCTCCCTTCCCCTGTGACCCCCCTGCCCCTACTGACTGGCCCTGGTGTGTGTTGTTCCTCTCCCTGTGTCCATGTATTCCCATTGTTAGCTCCCACTTATGAGTGAGTATATGTGGTGTTTGGTTTTCTGTTCCTGTGTTAGTTTGCTGAGGATGATGGCTTCCAGCTTCATCCATGTCCCTGCAAAGGACATGATTTCATTCCTTTTTATGGCTGCATAGTATTCCATGGTGTATATATACCACATTTTCTTTATCCAGTCTATTATTGACAGGCATTTGGGTTGATTCCATGTCTTTGCTATTATGAATAGTACTGCAATGAGCATACATGTGCATGTATCTTTATAGCAGAACGATTTATATTCCTTTGGGTATATACCCAGTAATGGGATTACTGGGTCAAACAGTATTTCTGGTTCTAGATCTTTGAGGAATCACCACTGTCTCCCACAGTGGTTGAACTAATTTACATTCCCATCAACACTGTAAAAGCATTCCTATTTATCCACAGCCTCACCAGCATCTGTTGTTTCTTGACTTTTTAATAATCGCCATTCTAACCGGCATGAGATGGTAGTTCATTGTGGTTTTGATTTGCATTTCTCTAATGATCAGTGATGTTGAGCTTTGCTTAGCTTTTCTTCATGTGTTTGTTGGCCACATAAATGTCTTCTTTTGAGAAGTGTCTGTTCATGTCCTTTGCCCACTTTTTGATGGGGTTGTTTTTCTTCTTGTAAATTTGTTTAAGTTCCTTGTAGATTCTGGATATTAGACCTTTGTAAAAGGGGTGGATTGCAAAAGTTTTCTCCCATTCTGTAGGTTGTCTGTTCACTCTGATGATAGTTTCTTTTTCTGTGCAGAAGCTCTTCAGTTTAATTAGATCCCATTTGTCAATTTTTGCTTTGTTGCAATTGTTTTTGATGATGTCATCATAAAATCTTTGTCCATGCCTATTTCCTGAATGGTACCGCCTAGATTTTCTTCTAGGGTTTTTATGGTTTGGGGTTTTACATTTAAGTCTTTAATCCACCTTAAGTTAATTTTTGTTAAAGTATAAGAAAGTGGTCCTGTTTCAGTTTTCTGCATATGGCCTATTTTCCCAGCACCATTTATTAAATAAGGAATCTTTTCCCCATTGCTTGTTTTTGTCAGGTTTGTTGAAAATCAGATGGTTGTAGATGTGTGGTATTATTTCTGAGATCTCTATTCTGTTCCATTGGTCTATGTGTCTGTTTTGGTACTTGTACCATGCTGTATTGGTTACCATAGCCTTGTAGTAGAGTTTGAAGTCAAGCGGCATAATGCCTCCAGCTTTGTTCTTTTTGCTTAGGATTGTCTTGGCTACATAGGCATGGGCTCTTTTATGGTTCCAGATGAATTTTAAAGTATTTTTTTCTAATTCTGTGAAGAATGTCAATGGTAGTTTGATGGGAATAGCACTGAATCTCTAAATTACTTTGGGCAGCATGGCCATTTTCACAATATTAATTCTTCCTATTAACGAGGATGAAATATTTTTCCATTTGTTTGTGTCTTCTCTTATTTCCTTGAGCAGTGGATTGTAGTTCTCCTTGAAGAGGTCCTTCACATCCCTTGTTAGCTGTTTCCTAGGTATTTTATTCTCTTTGTAGCAATTGCGAATGGAAGTTCATTCATGGCTCTCTGCTTGTCTATTGTTGGTGTATAGGAATGCTTGTGATTTTGCACATTGATTTTGTATCCTGAGACTTTGCTGAAGTTGCTTATCACCTTAAGGAGCTTTTGAGCTGAGACGATGGGGTTTTCTAGATATAGGATCATGTCATCTGCAAATAGAGACAATTTTACTTCCTCATTTCCTATTTGAATAATTTCTCTCTCTTACCTGATTGCCCTGGTCAGAACTTCCAATACTATGTTGAATAGGAGTGGTGAAAGAGGGTATCCTTGTGTTGTGCCAGTTTTCAAAGGGAATGCTTCCAGCTTTTGCCGATTCATGATATTGGCTGTGGGTTTATCATAAATAGCTCTTATTATTTTGAGATATGTTCCACCAATACGTAGTTTATTGAGACTTTTTAACATGAAGGGATGTTGAATTTTATCAAAGGCCTTTTCTGCATCTATTGAGATAATCACGTGGTTTTTGTCATTGGTTCTGTTTATGTGATGAATTATGTTTATTGATTTGCGTATGTTGAACCAGACTTGCATCCCAGGGATGAAGCCAACTTGATCATGGCAGCTAAGCTTTTTGATGTGCTGCTGGATTCAGTTTGCCAGTATATTATTATGGATTTTCGCATCGATTTTCATCAGGGGTATTGGCCTGAATTTTTTGTTGTTGTTGTGTCTCTGCCAGATTTTGGTATCAGGATGATGCTGGCCTCATAAAATGAGTTAGGGAGAAGTCCTTCCTTTTCAATTGTTTGGAAATATTTCAGAGGGAATCTACCAGCTCCTCTTTGTACCTCTGGTAGAATTTGGCTGTGAATCCATCTGCTCCTGGGCTTTTTTTGGTTGGCGGGCTATTTATTACTGCCTCAATTTCAGAACTTGTTATTGGTCTATTCAAGGATTTGACTTCTTCCTGGTTTAGTCTTGGGAAGGTGTACGTGTCCAGGAATTTCTCCATTTCACCTAGATTTTCTAGTTTATTTGCATAGAGGTGTTTGTACTCTTCTCTGATGGTAGTTTGTATTTCTGTGGGGTCAGTGGTGATATCTCCTTTATCATTTTTTATTATGTCTATTTGATTCTTCTCTTTTTCCTTCTTTATTAGTCTAGCTAGTGGTCCATTTTATTTATTTATTTATTTTTTTCCAAAAAACCAGCCCCTGGATTCATGATTTTTTTGAAGGATCTTTTGTGTCTCTATCTCCATCAGTTCTGCTCTGATCTTAGTTATTTCCTGTCTTCAGTTAATTTTTGGATTGGTTTGCTCTTGCTTCTCTAGATCTTTTAGTTTTGATGTTACAGTGTCAATTTGAGATCTTTCTAGCTTTCTGATGTGGGCATTTAGTGCTATAAATTTCCCTCTTAACACTGCTTTAGCTGTGTTCCTGAGATTCTGGTACATTATCTCTTTGCTCTCATTGGTTTCAAAGAACTTGGTTTCTGCCTTAATTTCATTATTTACCCAGGAATCATTCAGGAGCAGGTTGTTCAATTTCCATGTAGTTGTGTGGTTTTGAGTGAGTTTCTTAATCTTTAGTTCTAATTTGGTTGCACTGTGGTCTGAGAGACTGTTATGATTTCAGTTCTTTTGCATTTGCTGAGGAGTGTTTTACTTCCAATTTTGTGATCGATTTTAGAGTAAGTGCCATGTGGCACTGAGAAGAATATATATTCTGTTGTTTTGGGGTGGAGAGTTCTGTAGATGTCTATCAGGTCCACTTGATCTAGAGCTGAGCTCAAGCCCTGCATATCCTTGTTAATTTTCTGTCTCAATGATCCTATCTAATATTGACAGTTGGGTGTTAAGGTCTCCCACTATTATTGTGTGGGAAGACTGCCATTATTTCTATGCTGAGCAGTCAAGGTATTGAAAACTGCTTTAGTTCCTAGCGGTGCCACTTTAGTGGACCAGCAGCATTCTTTGTCAGTATCCTGTGAACTCTACTACTGTTTACTTGCCTCTGAATTTCCATGAGAGGTTTGGGAACTCTGAAAAGTTATTTTAACATGTACTTACATCAGTTTTCTATTGCTGTATGACAAAATGCCACCAAATGACTTAAAACAACATCCATTTATTAGTTCACAGTTGTGTAAGTCAGAAGTCTGTCAAGGTGTGGCTGGGGTCTCTGCCTGTGGCTGGGGTCTCTGCCTGGGGTATTACAAGGGTGAAATCAAGACGTCAGCCAGAAGAGCATCTCTCTGGAGGCTCTAGGGAAAAATTCACTTCCAAATCCATCATATTCATAGTCCCAGGCATTATTCAAAGCACATACAACAGGGAAGTGGGAAAGCTCAGGGGTCCATCTTAGAATTCTATCTACCACAGTACTTTTGTTAGAGTTATAAATGACTTTTATAAACCATAATTGTATTATCTAAGGACTGATTATATGTGGGTGCTACTGCTGGTTCTCAAAATCAGCAATCTAAAAAGGAGGTATGATAAAAATGTTATGACAAAGGCTCCAAATTGCCATATAGTTTGTGCCATTAATTTAGAATACAACTTCCATGAAAACAGTCTGTTTAAAGCAGTTACATATTTTAGTCTGCAGAAGTTGTAGTATAATCAGGTGAGTACAAAGGAAAGTACAAAGTACAAAGACTGCAGTATCAGAACAGTAGAAAAATGCTATTACCCACAGTAACTGTGAAGCAATATGCCCCACAAGAACACATTACCCTTACTTTACATTTATACTTATGGGAAACTAAAACAGGTATTATAGACATTTTGAATCATGGACTTCCCTTACAATATAACATGATAAATGCCAATATAGATATGTGTAAAATTCTTCACAGCAAAGCAGAGTCCATTGGCAAACAAAAGATAAGTAAAAAAAGACAGAACATTTTCCTTCCCACATAAATAAGGTTGATTTAAATCAAATGGCCTGGGAGTATGTAGGGAGAAAAACAGAATCATCTGCAGACTGAAATATGTAAAGGCTCAACCACCTCTAATCCCATTTCAAAAACTATAAGCAATAGCTGGCAGCTTGGATTGACAGATGTGTCAAGATGCCTGTACCCGTTAGGGTAGCAGCCGTGGTCAGGGCACTCTGGGCATTTTTATTTTAAATCTTCAAGGAATTTTGCAAGTAATTATAAACAAACCTTTTTTAAAAAAAAAAAAATCCATCATAGTGAAATTGAGTATAGAATATAAGGTCTTAACCCAGAAGCAAATATTTATTTAAAAGAGAATTTGCCTCCCCTGGGTGGGATCAGCTTTTTCATTGAACGAGAATCAATTCTCAGC